>NC_000010.11:92415822-92718852 GCF_000001405.40 Homo sapiens | reverse complement strand
CCCAGCTAATTTTTGGATTTTTAGTAGAGACGAGGTTTTGCTATGTTGGTCAGGCTGGTCTCAAACTCCTGACCACAAGTGATCCACCCGCCTCGGCCTCCCAAAGCACTGGGATTACAGGAGTGAGTGACCACACCCGGCCATCTCTGAAGTTATAGCATACAAGATGAAACACGGACTACTGACCAAGGCCGTTGCTGAGTGCCTCGGTATCACCCAGAACCTCCACCCAATCTCCAGGATGGCTTTTGGTTCTAGAAATACCCACAACAATTCTGTTACTATCTTTACGGATCCTGGCTTTCTATTTTGGTTCCAGGTTCCCAGACAATAAAACATCAACATCCAGCCTCTATTTTCCGAACGGTGTTCACAGAATATTAATTCTAAGGGAAATAATGAGTGCTACACAAGCAAAGGGTTCTATGATCAAACAAACTTTAGGGACACTTTGTTAAACAAAGTTAAATTTATTTCTCAAGGCCAAGTGTGGTGGCTCATGCCTGCAATCTCAACACTTTGGGTGGCCGAGGCTGGTGGATTGCCTAAGGTCAGGAGTTTGAGACAACCCTGACCAACATGGTGAAACCCCGTCTCTACTAAAACTACAAAATTAGCCAGGTGTGGTGGTGCACGCCTGTAATCTCAGCTACTTGACAGGCTGAGGCAGGAGAATTGCTTGAACCTGGGAGGCGGAGGTTGCAGTGAGCCGAGATTGTGCCATTGCACTCCAGCCTGGGCAACAAGAGCAAGACTCCATCTCAATATATATGTATTTCTCTATTTTGCAGGAATTCTCAGGGTCTTTAAGATATGAATGTGCCATGTAAATATCCAGAAGAGGATAAGACATGACAAATTTCTCAAGTTTATTCGACCCTAGGATCCTTTCTTTCTCATATCCCACACTCTGTGAGGCTGGCATACACAAGAGAAAAATGGATAACCAGCCGGGCGCGGTGGCTCACGCCTGTAATCCCAGCACTTTGAGAGGCCAAAGCGGGCAGATCACCTAAGGTCAGGAGGGAGCTCGAGACCAGCATGGCCAACATGGCAAAACCCCATCTCTACTAAAAATACAAAAATTATCTGGGCATAGTGGCGGGCACCTATAATCACAGCTACTCGGGAGGCTGAGGAAGGAGAATCGCTTGAACCCGGGAGGCAGAGGTTGGTTGCAGTGAGCCAAGATTGTGCCACTGTGCACCAGCCTGGGTAACAGAGTGAGTGAGACTCTGTCTCAAAAACAAAACAAAAAAAAACCCCGCAATGTGTCAAATAAATACATTAAAAAATGGATAACCTATAAGACATACAAAACCATAATTTTGTTTTAGTCCATCAGCGAATTGCGCTGTTATACAAAGCAATCAAGGGAACTGAATTCCTAAGGCTCACAAGTCCTTCCAAAAAGGGACAAGACACACCAGCTGTTTCCTCTTTTGGCAGAGAATGGGAAGAACAGACAATCATCAGAAAACTGGATAAGAAGAAAACAAATTCTTACCGGCAAAGGATAAGCTAGCATGGCAGTTTAGAAGCCCTGAGCACGCTGGACACAGAGAAATCCCCATCTGCTTGCCATCCTTTTCCACTGGCCTCTACTCGGCATGCATGAGAAAGACTGGAAACAGCACAGTAGGCCTGGGAGACCCTTCCCCCTTGGTGGTACAGCCCTACAGCACCTGCCAAGGTTTTAGGGTGGAGCAGGCATACCTAGGGAAGCCCATTCATGCTTTGAGCCTTGTCTGAGGACAAGGTAGTGCCTGTCTGCCCCTGGGGGAGGGGCAAGAAACACACTCTGATATAAATTAGCGGTCTACTATTGCCAGGTGAAGGACAGAAATCTCTCTTGGGCCCCAGACACTCCACCACTACAAAGTCAGAGTTCAGTAGCTACAGGAGAAAGGGGAGGAAACCTGCCTGTGCTCTAGATCCAGAACTCAGCAGGAAGCAGAGGTTATCCCTAGGAGAAGCCCTGAAATGTTAAAAAAAAAAAAAAAAAAAAAAAGTTACCACTCCAAGAAATTATGCATGTCAATGAAAGGGTCAAATCAAGGTAGACAGGGACAGACTGGCTGGTTGGGAGACTGGGGAGAAATACAAGGACAGTATAGTGGGCACTGATGTTAGCAGACCTGGCCCAGGATCCAGGGTCACCCCCTAATAGCTACATGACTTTTGCAATGTTATCCAAAGTCTCCAAGTCTTAGTTTCCTACATGTAAAAAGGGTGAGCCGGCCACGTTGGATCATGCCTGTAATCCCAGCACTTTGGGAGGCCGAGGTCGGCGGTCACTTCAAGTCAGGCGTTCAAGACCAGCCTGGCCAACATGGTGAAACCCTGTCTCTACTAAAAATACAAAAGTTAGCTGGGCATGATGGCAGACGCCTGTAATACCAGCTGCTCAGGAGGCTGAGGCAGGAGAATCGCTTGAACCTGGGAGGTGGAGGTTGCGGTGAGCAGAAATCATGCCACTGCACTCCAGCCTGGGTGACAGAGCGAGACTCCACCTCAAAAAAAAAAAAGAAAAAAAAAAGGTGAGAGTAATGGAATCTTCCCCAGAGGAATGCTGGGGAACTTGGAGCCATGTAAAACACGTGGCATAGTGCCTGGCACATAGAAAACAATCAATTGCTTTGATTCCAGCAGTTGTTGGAAACTGATAAGGAGCGGTTGCAAAAGGCACTTTCCTATTTGTAGAGGAAATTAGTTGTTTTTACCTGACAATCTTTCAGTTCCTCTTCTTCTGTTAACATCTCCCTAGTTTTCTTCCAGGAAGCCCCTTATCCACAATCAATTTACGTGATTCATGTGGCACTGACCCCTCCCCATCCCTACCTTTAGGAGTAGGGATATGACCACATCCTGGCCAACCATCATGTTCCATGTCTGGGCTGTAGCGATAAGTTCAAGGATGAACACGCATGTATGCCAAGGCAGCCCAATGAGAGACAGTCCTGAGACTTCTCATGAAACTATTCTATCTCCTAAAGTTGCTAAGCCTGAAGTTGTGAGGATTGGGAACAACTATAACTCTCAGGCATTGCTAGAGGGAATGCGACATGGTACAGCCACCAGGGTGGGCTGAATAAGTGTTCCCCCCAAAATTCATGTCCATCCTGAACCTAAAAATGTGACCTTACTTGAAAATAGAGTCTTTGCAGATATAATTAGTTAAAGTAAGATCATACTTGATAAGGGTGGGCTCTAAACCTAATGACTAGTGTCCTTAAAGGAAAAAACCGGTCGCTCACGCCTGTAATCCCAGCACTTTGGGAGGCCGAGGCAGGCAAATCACCAAGTCAGGAGATCAAGACCACGGTGAAACCCCGTCTCTACTAAAAATACAAAAAATTAGCCAGGCGCAGTGGCAGGCACCTGTAGTCCCAGCTACTCAGAGGCTGAGGCAGGAGAATGGCGTGAACCCGGGAGGCGGAGCTTGCAGTGAGCCGAGACTGAGCCACTGCACTCCAACCTGGGCGACAGAGCAAGACTCGGTCTCAAAAAAAAAAAAAAAAAAAGGGAAAAACACAGAAAGACACAGGAGAGAAGGCCATGTGCAGATAAAGGCAGAGATTGAGTAACACAGTTACAAACCAAGGAATTCCAAAGTTTGCAGGAGCTACCAGAAGGTGAGAAGAGGAAGGAAGGGTCAGGCTAGTGGCTCATGACTGTCATCCCAATGACGGCAGCTGACCATGGCCACAGACCCAGGCCTCCTGCTCTACTGAGCAGGCAGGGGCCCTGCCCCCCTGGGTGGGGATACGGGCACCCAAACTGCAGCTGTGGACGCAAGCCTCCCCTCACTCTTGAGGGTGGCCAGGAGCAGGCAGGATCTGCCCTCCTGGGTGCAACTGCAGCCCCTGGACCTGCAGCTGTAGACCTGGGCCTCCTGCTCCACAGAGCAGGCAGGAGCCAGGGACAAGCAGAGGAAGAGGCTTCCAAGTTGGAGGGGTGGTAGCTCCCAGAGTGCAGCTGCAGCTGCCCTCCCAGGCACAGGACCCAGGCATCTCTGCAGCCTGCACCCGCGGGGGCCCAAGAAGGCCCCTCCCCAAACATACCTGCAGGCCTGGGGTTGTCTGCTCCCATTGCCTGGCCTCTCCTCTCCCAGTGCCTGCTCCAATCTCCAAGCAGGGTTGGGGCTGAGCCCCGGGGTCATGAATGGCAGCAGAAGGCAGACAGATTCCTGGAGGGAAGGGAGCAGGTTCCAGTAAGGCCACACCTTCAGGCCAGAGAGGGCCTGAAGGCTGGGGGCTGGGCTGCCAGTCCCGCAGACTGGAGTGGGGACTTGTGCCTCCTCCAGGTCACCTATGGCTGCCCATGGACCAATCAACACATACTTCCTCCCCTCTGAGCCCTGGGATCAGCAAGAAGAGGGCAGAGGATGGAGAGACAATGGCAAGACTAGCTGCAGAGAAGAGCTACCCTCTCTGCTGAGAGCAGAGATGCTCTTAACAACCCGCCTGTGGAGAGGAGCTACCCTCTCCAGGGCCTCGTCTCTGCTGAGAGCTGAACACTCCATGGGACAACCTGCCTACAGAGAGGAGCTACCCACTGTGGGTCTCCTCTGAGCTGTGCTAACACTAAATAAAGCTCCCCTTTGACTTCTTCACCTTTCACTTGTCTGTGTACCTCATTCTTCCTGGACACAAGAAGTCAGGCAAAGGTGCCACCGGCCACAAAGGTTTACAGGAAGAAAATCGATACCCCAAAGATCCCAGTACTTTGGGAGGCCAAGGCGGGCAGATCACTTAAGGTCAGGTTAAGGTCAGAAGTTTGAGACCAGCCTGGCCAACACAGTGAAATGCTGTCTCTACTAAAAAGACAAAAATTAGCTGGGCAAGGTGGTGGGCACCTGTAATCCCAGCTACTTGGCAGCCTGGGGCAGGAGTATTGCTGGAACCCAGCAGAAAGAGGCTGCAGTGAGCTGAGATTGCCCCACTGTACTCCAGCCTAGGCAATAGAGCGGGTCTGTCTCAGGAAAAAAAAAAGGAAGGAAGAATTCTCTCCTAGAGCTTTCAGAGGGAGTATGGGCTGGCCAACATTTTGAATTTGGACTTCGAGCCTCACAGAACTATAAGGCAATAAAATTCTATTGTTTTAAGCCACTAAGACCATGGTAATTCATTATGGTGGCTCTACAAAACTGAAAATGTTTGGCGGTTTCTTATTAAATTAAACCTTCATTTATCCTATAATTCAGGAATCCTATTCCTAGATACCGACCCAAGAGAAATGAGAACATATGTTTACACAAATACATTTAAGTGAACTGTTTATAGCTGCTTTATTTGTAATCACCAACTGGAAACAATTCAAATGTTCTTCAAGTAGCAAATAAATAAACAAACTGAGCTACATCCATACTATGGAATACTACTCAGAAACAAAGGGACTATTAATAAGCATATGAACACAGATAAACCTCAAATGCATTGTGCTAAGTGAAAAATTAAAAAAAAAAACCTTCAAAAGGCATGACACCACAAACCTACAGCCATCTAATCTTCAGCAAAGTCAACAAAAATAAGCAATGGGGAAAGGACTCCCCTATTCAATAACTGGTGCTGGGATAGCTGGCTATCCATATGCAGAAGAACGAAACTGGATCCTTCCCTCTTACCATACATAAAAATTAACTCGAGATGGATTAAAAGATTTAAATGTTAGACCTCAAATTATAAAAATCCTAGAAGAAAATCTCGAAAACATCATTCTGAACATTGGCCTTGGGAAAGAATTTATGACTAAGTCCTCAAAAGCAATTGCAACAAAAACAAAAATTGACAAATGGAACCTAATTAAACTAAAGAGCCTGTGCACACAAAAGAAACTATCAACAGAGTAAATAGACAACCTACAGAATGGGAGAGAA
Organism: Homo sapiens; assembly: GCF_000001405.40. Classification (NCBI taxonomy): domain Eukaryota; kingdom Metazoa; phylum Chordata; class Mammalia; order Primates; family Hominidae; genus Homo; species Homo sapiens. The sequence goes on along the minus strand of NC_000010.11, from coordinate 92,712,974 downwards.
AATACTCAGAAACTGCATCAGACAAAGGTCTAATATCCAAAATTATAAGAAACTTAAATAATGCAACAGGCAAAAAACAAATAACCACATTAAAAAGTGGACAAAAGACATAAGCAGACACTTCTCAAAAGAAGACACACAAGCAGGCAACAAATATATGAAAAAATGCTCAACATCACTAGTCATCAGAGAAATGCAAATCAAAACCACAGCGAGATACCATCTCACACTAGTCAGAACAGCTATTATTAAAAAGTCAAAAAACATCAGATGCTGGCGAGGCTGTGGAGAAAAGGGAACGCCTGTATACCACTGGTGGTAATTGAAATTAGTTCAGCCGCTGTGGGAAGCACTTTGGAGAAATCTCAGCTTGAGTTTCCCATCCAGTGTAGGAGACTGACAGGAGGTCACAGTATTGACAATGTGGAGAACTTCAACAGGAACTACTTTTGAGCTATTGTGATAATAAATCAGATTTGTATAGTTTTCTCAAAATAGAAAATAACCTCAAAACATCCATCTGAAGAAATAAGGTCATGAAAAGAGGAAGACAAAGGAGGATGCAAAACTGAGCAGTCACAAACTTGACAAAAATTAAGTACTACATGTGAACAAGAAAAATTGCTTTCAGTATATCTATCAACCTAACTGTGGGTTACCAATTCAGAAATGTTCACTAGTACAAACAGATTTTTAGTCTTTTTGTTTATCTAACCTTTTGTAAACCTAAAGTAAACAATGTATTAAGCACCAATTATCTCTCCTCTTTGACAGAGACAGTATGTAATTCTTAAGAAAATAAGCTCAGGGCCTGGCGCGATGGCTCACGCCTGCAATCCCAGAACTTTGGGAGGCTGAGGCGGGCAGATGACCTGAGGTCAGGAGATCGAGACCATCCTGGCTAACACAGTGAAACCCCGTCTCTACTAAAAAATACAAAATAATTAGTGGGGCATGGTGGCGGGCACCTGTAGTCCCAGCTACTCAGGAGGCTGAGGCAGGAGAATGGCATGAACCCGGGAGGTGGAGCTTGCAGTGAGCCAAGATCGCACCACTGCACTCCAGCCTGGGTGACAGAGCAAGACCCTGTCTCAAAAAAAAAAAAAAAAAACCACAAACACAAAAATTATCTGGGCGTGGTGGCGTGTACCTGTGGTCTCAGCTACTTGGGAAGCTAGGCATGAAAATCCCTTGAAGCCAGGAGGCGGAGGTTGCAGTGAGCTGAGATCACGTCACTGCACTCCAGCCTAGGCAACAGAGTGAGACTCCATTTCAAAAAAAATTAAAATAAAAAAAAAGAAAGTACAGAAATAAACCCATATGTCTATAGTTAATTGATCTTCAGCAGGGTGCTAAAACCATTCAATGGGAAAAGCATAATCTCTATAAGTGGTACTAGGACAATTGGATATCGGCTTGCAAAACAATGAAGCTTTGGGCGGGCATGATGGCTCACGCCTGTAATCCCAGCACTTTGGGAGGCCGAGGTGGGTGGATCACTTGAGGTCAGGAGTTCAAGACCAGCCTGGCCAACATGGTGAAACCTGTGTCTACTAAAAATACAAAAATTTGCCAGGCCTGGTGGCAGATGCCTGTAATCCCAGCTACTTGGGAGGCTGAGGCAGGAGAGTTGCTTGAACCCAGGAGGCCGAGGTTGCAGTGAGCCGAGATCACGCCACTGTACTCTAGCCTGGGCAACAGAGTGAGACTCTGTCTCAAAAAAAAAAAAAAACATTAAAAAAAAAAAGAATGAAGCTGCCTCATACCATATCCAAAAAGTAACTCAAAATGAATCAACAACTCAAATATAAGAGCTAAAATAATAAATCTCTTTGAAGAGATCATAGGATTAAATCTTTATGACCTTGGATTTGACAATTGATTCTTAACTATGACACCAAAAGCTTGAGCAACAAAAGAAAAATTGAGAAATGGAACTTCATCAAAATTAAAAACTTCTATGCAAAAAAGGACATTATCAAAAAAGTGAAAGAATGGTTATCAATAATTTATTGTATATTTCAAAGTAGCTAGAAGATGTGGAATGTTCTCAACAAAAAGAAATGATAAATGTTTGAGGTGATGGATGTTCCAGTTACCCTGATTTGATCATTACACATTGTATGCACATATCAAAATATCATGTGTACCCTCTAAATAAGTACAATTGTTGTGTATCAATTTTTAAAAAGTGAAAAGACAACCTACAGAATGGGAAAAAAATATTTGCAAATCATATATCTGATAATCGTTTAGTATCCAGAATATGTAACAAACTCCTACAACTCAACAACAAAAAAGACAAACAACACAATTTTTAAATGAGTAAAGAATTTGAAAAGACATTTCTCCAAAGAAGGTATACAGGCTGGTCTGAACATAGTGAGTTATCTCAGTTGATTGTTCAGTCAGTTATAGATCGAACTCCTTGTTCTACTCTTTCCCCCTTCTCACTACTGCACTTGACTACTCAAAAATAAAAAATAAAAAAGCAAAGAAGGTATACAAATGCAAATAGGCATATAAAAGGTGCCCAACATCATTAGTCATTAGAGAAATGCAAATCAAAACCACAATGATATACCACTTCATACCCATGAGCTTGCCTATAATTTTTCTATAAAAGGACAAGTATTGGTAAGGACGGAGAAACTGGAATCCTCAAACATTGCTGGTGGGAATGTAAAATGGCACAGTGATGATGGAAAATGGTTTAGAATTTCCTCAAAAAGTTAAATATACAATTGTCATATGGCCCAGCAATTTCACTCCTAGGCATATATCCCAAGTAATTGAAAATAGATACTCAAATAAGTACTTGGACACACATGTTCATAGCAGCACTACTCACAATTGCCAAAAGGTGGAAACAACCCAAATGTCCATCAACTAACAAATGGATAAATAAACTGTGTTTTATTTATACAATGAAATATTGTCCAGCCATAAAAAGGAATGAAGTACTGATACATGCTACAAGGTGGATGAGCCTCAAACACGTTATGCTAATGTTTTATAAATAAGACACGAAAGATCACATATTGTATTATTCCATTTGTGTGAAATATTTAGAATAAGTAAACCCATCCAGAAAGCAGATTGGTGGTTGCCAGAAAATGGGGAGAAGAGAGAATGGGGAGTGACTGCTTAATGGATACAGAGTTTTATTTTGGAAAGATGATAATGTTTTGGAACAGGCCGGGCATGGTGGCTCCCGCCTGTAATCCCTGAACTTTGGGAGGCCGAGGCAGGTAGATCACCTGAGGTCAGGAGTTCGAGACCATCCTGGCCAACATGGTGAAACCCCATCTCTACCAAAAATACAAAACCTTAGCCAGGTGTGGTGGCACTTGCCTGTAATCCCAGCTATTCAGGAGGCTAAGGCAGGAGAATCGCTTGAACCCAGCAGGTGGAGGTTGCAGTGAGCCAAGATCACACCACTGCACTCCAGCCTGAGCAACAAAAGCTAAATCAAAAAAAAAAAAAAAAGGAAAAGAAAAGAAAATCTTTTGGAACAAATAAAGGTGGTGTTTGCACAACATTTTGAATGTACTAAATGCCACTGAATTGTTCACTTTAAAATGGCTAATTTTATGTTATATTTCACCTCAATAAACTTGAAAATTTTTAATGAGTATGTATTAAATAAAGAAAATATTTAACTTTACTGAAGACATTCATAAAGATTTGAAAAAAATGCAAAAAATATAAGTCTCCAGTAAGTGTTAGCTATTTTTTAAATCTAAAGACTTTTTCTTTCTTTCTTTCTTTCTTTTTTTTTCTTTGAGATGGAGTCTCGCTCTGTCACCCAGGCTGGAGTGCAATGGCACGATCTCGGCTCACTGCAACCTCCACCTCGCAGGTTCAAGTGATTCTCCTGCCTCAGCCTCCCGAGTAGCTGGGATTACAGGCATGCGCCACCATGCCCGGCTAATTTTGTATTTTTAGTAGAGACGTGGTTTCTCCGTGTTGGTCAGGCTGGTCTCGAACTCCCTACTTCAGGTGATCTGCCTGCCTTGGCCTCCCAAAGTGCTGGTATTACAGGTATGAGTCACTGTGCCTGGCCATCTAAAGACTTTTTCTAATACACCACTGGAGTGGTACACTATAATTTAAAATAGAAATGGACTAGCAGGCAGGGCACTTGCTCCTCCATGCAGAGGATTCAGCCAATGATGCACATAAAGCTTCCTAAGTTCTGTTTCTTGAGTTTGGTGCTCTGTAGGTTCTGAGAGCACTTTCATCTGCAGTGCAAGAGTCATGAACAGAAGGCCAGGCACGGTGGCTCACGCCTGTAATCCCAGCACTCTAGGAGGCTGAGGCGAGTGGATCACCTGAGGTCAGGAGTTTGAGACCAGCCTGACCAATATGGTGAAACCGCATCTCTACTAAAAATACAAAAATTAGCCGGGCGTGGTGGCAGGCGCCTGTAATCCCAGCTACTCGGTAGGCTGAGACAGGAGAATCACTTGAATCCGGGAGACGGAGGTTGCAGTAAGCCGAGATGACGCCACTGCACTCCAGCCTGGGCAACAAAGAGAGGCTCAGTCTCACAAAAAAAAAAAAAAAAAAAAAAAAAAAAGTCATGCATAGGAAAACCCAGATATGGTAGACTCTGATGAGAAAGCTAGCTGTTGTTTGTTTCAAAAGCCAACTCAACCTTCGAAGAAGGAGAAATCTGATTATATGTAAGAATGAACAGAAGCTCTCATCCTTCTGCTACAGAAAACAAATTCTAGTCCTTAAGCCCAGCCACAGATATACAAAATACAAAAACAAAATTGAAAGAACATTGCAATTAGTCCAGAAACCAAGGTGTTTTTAGACATTTAATCCAGGAAAAGGGCAAAAAGGAATGATTATTGCATGAATGGAACACTTAGTTAGGTATTTAGGGGTAATTTTTTATTTTAGTTCTTCACCTGATATTGTGGAGCAAAATAAATTTCAGGTAGATTAAGCATTAAATGTAAAATAATGAGGGGTGGGGGAGAGATGAAAGAGTTTTAGGGGGAGGGTTTTTGTTTAATGTATGTGGATGTTCATTTGCTTTCTGAATGAGGGAATCTTTCTAAGCTTACGAGAAAAGAAAGAAATCATAAAAGAGATATTGTTACATTTGACTACACAAAAATGTTCCATTTTCCTAAATATCTTTTTAAATAACTGAGAAACATTTTTGCAATAAATAAGGCAAAAAGCTTATATCTTCCAACATAAAGAATTCAAATAAATCAGCTGGGCATGGTGGCTCCCGCCTGTAATCTCAGCACTTTGGGAGGCAGAGGCGGGTGGATCACCTGAGGTCAGGAGTTTGAGACCAGCCTGACCAAAATGGTGAAACCCCATCTCTACTAAAAATACAAAAAATTAGCCGGGCATGGGGGTGTACACCTGTGGTTCCAGCTACTTGGGAGACTGAGGCAGGAGAATCAGTTGAACCCGGGAGGTGGAGGTTGCAGTGAGCCGAGATGGCACCACTGCACTCCAGTCTGGGCAACAGACTGAACTGTCTCAAAAAATAATAAAAATAATAAAAAATAAAAGAATTCAAATAGAAAAAGAAATAAAAGGTTAGCATTTTTTTAAATTTATTTTTGAGACAGAATCTCGTTCTGTTGCCCAGGCTGGAGTGAAGTGGCGTGATCTTGGCTCACTGCAACCTCCACCTCCCGGGTTCAAGTGATTCTCCTCCCTCAGCCTCCGAAGTAGTTGGGACTACAGCCACGTGCCACCACACCTGGCTAATTTTTTGTATTTTTAGTAGAGATAGGGTTTCACTGTGTTAGCCAGGATGGTCTGGATCTCCTGACCTCGTGATCCTCCCGCCTCGGCCTCCCAAAGTGCTGGGATTTCAGGCGTGAGCCACAGCACCTGGCCAGCATATTTTTAAAATTCAACTTTGGGAATAATGAAAGGAATGAAATGTAAAATTAAAATACAGCATACTATTCTTCTCCTAAATAATTAAGAAAGATTAGAAAAACAGCACTTCCATTGGTGAAGATATGGAGAAATGATCCTTGTTCTCCACTGATATAAATTGACAAAACTTTCCCAGGAAGTATTTCACAATATTTATCAAATATTCATCCCTTTGGCTCAATGATTCATTTTCTATGAATATACTCTAGAAGGAATTAAACTGAAATGGAGGCAAAACATTCTCATTTTAGAAATTTTATAACAACAAAACAACATTAACCCAACAAGAGAATTAAGAAATTTTGCCATCTCTACCTAATAATACATTATGTGCCCAAAGGGTAGCTCATGCTTGTAATCCCAAGCATTTTGGGAGGCCAAGGCAGGAGGATTGCTTGAGGACGGGAGTTCGAGACCAGCCTGGACAACATAGAGATCTTACCTCTATAAATTTTTTTTTTTTAATTAGCCAAGTGTGGTAGCATGCACCTATAGTCCCAGCTACTTGTGGGCCTGAGGTGGAAGGATCCCTTGCACCCAAGAGTTGGAGGCTGCAGTGAGCTATGATTATGCCACTGTACTCCAGCCTGGGTGACAGAGCGAGACCTTGCCTCTAAAAATACATATACATATACTTTTATACATGTAAATATAGATATATATATAATGCAGACCTTGCCCAAGGTGGAGTTACCTGGAGAAAACCAGGGGAGATGGGCAGATTCACAGCCTCAATGCCACAGGAAGGAAATGTTGAGGGAGAGATGACAGTCCTGGGTGTGGGATGCCAGGTAATACCATCTGTTGGAGACATTTTATAGTTATTTAAACCACACTGTGTGGGAGGTGAAGTGGGCATTCACCCCAGGATGGAAATGAGGAGAGAAGAGGGCATTTGTGGGGACATGCTCTAAAAGGAGGTCCACTTAGTTTCTTATTTATGACTTTGGAATGCCCATGTGTTATTAAATATTTTGCTATGGGTTGTTTGGCAAAAGCTTTTGCAAGACAAACTCAAGAACTTAAACAGCATGGAATTATTATATAGCAAGCAAAATTATAATTATGCTTAGGGTGAAAATAGGTTCATCCTTGAATGTTGGAAATTAAAAGGATGTTTTCTCTGGTCTTCAAAGTCATCCTACTGAGCCTTATGCAAATTTATATCCCCAGTGCTTCCACGTGCCACATTGTAGGTGCTCAATAAATATTTTCTGAATGAATACTTGAATAATTTGATAGAAAACGTATAATCAACATTCGAGTTTACTTCAATACCCTATTATTTGTTTGAAAATATATGGACAGCTGGAAATATTAGAAATGCTTCCCTAAGAACACTTCCCTAGGGTGAGCTTTTATAGGCTTTGATAGAGACTGAGCCTTGATTTAACCTTAGAACTGAGCTTAAGTATAAGACAAGTCCTGCTCAGGGAGTGAACACCAGAAGACCGGTGAAATAAAAGATTCTTCATTCCTCTCAACACCTAAAACACATAGCCACTGAAGTTTAGGGGTGAATATGTTGCTTAGAAAGATATAGAACAGAAAAACATAGCGTCTTAGTGTTAAGTGCAACATTAAAAATGACCTAGGCTGGGCGCGGTGGCTCACGCCTGTAATCCCAGCACTTGGGAGGCCAAGGCAGGTGGATCATCTGAGGTCAGGAGTTTGAGACCAGCCTGGCCAACATGGTGAAACCTCATCTCTGCTAAAAAATACAAATATTAGCCAGGTGCGGTGGTGCGTGCCTGTAATCCCAGCTACTCCGGAGGCTGAGGCAGGAGAATCTCTTGAACCCGGGAGGTGGAGGTTGCAGTGAGCCGAGATCGCGCCACTACACTCCAGACTGGGTGACAGAGTGAGACTCCATCTCAAATAAAAAAAAATAAAAAAAAAAAAAAATCACCTGGTCCAAGAGCCTCATTTTATGATGAGGAAACAGAGAGGTAATTGATATCTCCAGAGTCACATTGCTACTTAACAGCAAATCTAGACATAAAATCCAGCACATCATCCCATAGCAGCTTTATAATTTTAAACATCAAAGTAACAGGAAAATGAAAGTGGAATAGAATGCAAACTAAATTCCTAAAACTACTGAAATAAAATACTGTAACTACAGGGAGACCTATGTCCAGAATTGAAGTTGTCTTTAGAAATTGTTTTTTTCTTTTTGGAGATGGATTCTTGCTTTGTTGCCCAGGCTGGAGTGCAGTGGCATGATCTCAGTTCACTGCAACCTCTGCCCTCCAGGTTCAAGCAATTCTCCTGCCTCAGCCTCCCGAGTAGCTGGGATTACAGGTACCTGCCACCATGCCTAGCTAATTTTTAGGGGTTTTGTTGTTGTTGTTATTGTTGTTGTTGTTTGGTAGTTTTAGTAGAGATGGGTGTCACCATGTTGGCCAGGCTGGTCTCGAACTCCTGACCTCAAGTGATCCAACTGCTTCAGCCTCCCAAAGTGCTGGGATCACAGGCATAAGCAACCGCACCCGGCCTCGGTGATTTTTTTCATTTAACCCACCTGAGTGGGAAAAATAAGTGAGATATTGGTTACTGATATTCCCAGCCCTTCTGATATGTGAAAGGTTGCAGTGATTTGTTTCTTGACAGCCTGATGCTCCTGCTCTTTCTGCTGTCTTTCTTTCTCTCCACCTAGGAGTCTTGGAGTCCAGTAAAATGTGAGCAGTGTCATTTTCAAATGTAAATTTTATGGCACAGTTTTTATATTTAGATGCATTATTTAAACTAACATGAAAATTCATACAATGGACCACTTTGCAGCACTGAGGATAAACAAACAACATCACACCATAACGTGGATGAATTTACCAGCAAAAAAAACTAAAGGAATGGGCAGCCGGGCACGGTGGCTTACTCCTGTAATCCCAGCACTTTGGGAGGCTGAGGCAGGTAGACCACTTGAGGTCAGGACTTCGAGACCAGCCTGCCCAACATGGTGAAACTCCATCTCTACTAAAAATACAAAAATTTGCCAGGTGTGGTGGCAGACGCCTGTAATCCCAGCTACTCGGGAGGCTGAGACAAGAGAACTGCTTGAACCTGGGAGGCGGAGGTTGCAGTGAGCCCAGATCACGCCACTGCACTCCAGCCTGGGTGACAGAGCAAGACTCCGTCTCCAAAAACAAAACAAAACAAAACAAAACCTGAAAACTAAAGGAATGGAGGAGGAATGGGAGATAAAAGAGAAAATACTGTGGGATTTTACTTTCATAAAGTTCAAAAATTGGCAAATGAATCTATGCCATTTGGAATCAGGTTAGTGGAGTCCCTTGGAGTGGGGTTGGGGATAGTGAACTAGAGGGGGCATAAAGAGAGCTCCTTGGGATCTGGTAATGTTCTATTTCAAGATATGGATTCCAGTTACATAGTGTAGTCATGTTGTAAGCTGTACGCCTATGATTTGTGAGCTTTTAAAATATATATATTATACTTTAATAAGTAGTTTCTTGAAAAAAATTGACAATCCATATCTCTTAACAAATTTTATTTGTAAAAAAAACTATCTTGTAAACATGATGCTTTAAAATACATTTGAAAAGTAAAACAAATATGAAATGTAAATATATACAAAATGTAAATATATTTTAGTGCCCCATGTTTATACAAGGTGGATAATACTGAATAATGGCTAAGATTCAGAATAATATATACTAGAAACTGCATGCATAAATTCCCTGGTCACCATTAACATTGTGTTTTTCTTAATGCCTGAAATAACATCTAAACAAGGGGCAGCTGCCTCAGGCAAATGGTACTTAGGTGATTTTAAAGACCTTAATGAGATCAGGTAATTGCTTGGTGAAGCTAAAAATTTTACCTTCAATTAACTGATCAACAGCACCATACATCATCATAACTTCTCACTCCCTTCCACCTCCGTACCATCAAGTCATTTCCTCTGGACGTCTGAACCTGCACTCAGGGTCCATTTTTTAAACATTTATTGAATTAGTCTGGTCTAATCTACAATTAATGGAAAGTCTGTAGTAATGCAGTTTCCATAAGCAGCTAAGGAAAGTTGAAACTTTGAAAGAGCATGTAAAGTAAACACTTTCTCTTCCTTCTACACTTCTTTGCAATTCATAAAATACTTTCAGAAATCATTTAAAAAATTTGGATTTCCTGCTTCCATTTTCTGAATAGATGATGCTGATAAAAATAGTAGTGATCACAGCCCATCCCAAATAGTGTCATTTTTTTTTTCAGTAAACTGGATATATTTTAAATAAAACTCTTGATTGAAATTGAGAAGTGTGAACTGGAAATTGAATGAAATTGCCAAGTCTGAAAGGGAAAAATGGCCAATAAAACCACAGAAGCACTTCCTCTTCAAATTTATGCTGGTAAAAAGATGGAAGAGAACATTTTCTTTTAGAGCTTTTTTAGGCTTAAACAGACCTAAATATGTCCTCGCCTCACCCGTGGCCCAAGTTGGCACCTGTCAAGTGTCTCTGTAGCACTTACAGCCCCTGCCCACTATGCTTTCTGCTGTGCTGCCAAAGCCATCCAGGCAAGCTATGTTTCTGGTGGCCAAGGAATAGGAAGTATAATGAGGGTGCGGGGCTTGGGGAGGGAGGGAAATGGCTCTCCTCTCCTTCAGGGAGGGCACATGGCTTTCACTTTCATTCTGTAGAACGATATTTATTAAAAGTTTACTGTAGGCCAAACATACTGCTGGATGCTGGGGACACAAATAGTAAGCTATCACACTGCTATGTTCAGAGTCCCTTGTGGAACATGCCTCAATGGGCCAGATGAGAAGCAAACTTTCATGTATATATATATATATATATATATATTTTTTTTTTTTTTTTTTTTTTTTTTCTTTTTTGAGATGGAGTCTCACTCTGTCACCAGGCTGGAGTGCAGTGGCGCCATCTCAGCTTACTGCAACCTCCGCCTCCCAGGTTCAAGCGATTCTCCTGCCTCAGCCTCCCGAGTAGCTGGGATTACAGGAGTACAACACCATGCTCGGCTAATTTTTGTATTTTTAGTGGAGATGAGATTTCACCATGTTGGCCAGGATGGTCTCGATCTCTTGATCTCATGATCTGCCTGCCTCGGCCTCCCAAAGTGCTGGGATTACAGACATGAGCCACCACACCTGGCCAACTTGTTTTTTTTAACGCTTTGAAAGATAGAAAGTGTATCTTATAATGCTCATTTCCCCAGAAAACTGAGAGGGAAATGGTACTTCACTCAGCTTATTAGTTTCCTAATGTAATAGAATAATATGTTACATACACAGAAATTGCTTATCCCTTATACTGTATCATAGTCCCTTCCAGATGTAATGCTAGATTTGAATCAAGGCAAAAGATTAGGTAAGATGAGCAAAAAACCTCAATTCTCTTCTTATAGCTAGAGTTAGACTTGATTTGATACCTTTTCAAGAATGCAACAGATTCAGTGAGGAAGTTCTCATTACAACATTGATCGGTATAGTAATTGAGGTTTTGGGCTTAATTTCTCGGTGACAGTTTCCTTATCTAGAAAATGGGGTTGATAACAGCCTCTACCTCATAGGGTCCTTGATGATTAAATGATATAAAGATATAAAGCAGGTGAAAGACTTACATAATATTTAGCAGCACATAGTACGTGCTCAGTAATTCACTAATTTAACATATGTTTAACAAGCACCTAATAGGTCAGGCTGAAGATACATAACAGTGAACATAACAGACAAAAATCCCTACCCTCATGATGTTCATATGTCAATAAGGAGAGACACATAATAAATAAGGCAGTAAAAATATTATATCCAATTGCATTAAGTGAAATAGAGAAAATTAAATTGTTGTTGGGGATAGGAAGAGGAGGTTGGCATTGTAAAAAGGTGGCAAGGGAAGGCCATGTCTGAAGGAGAGGAGGGAGCAAGCCATGAGGCTATATTTGGGGGAAAGAGAGTTCCAGAGAGAGGAAAGTGCCAATGCAAAAACAAAGAGACCTGTGTGGTGGGTAGAGAGAACACAGGTCCACAATCCCTCACTGAAAATTCTGAAATCCAAAATCTCTGGAGTCCAGTCATGCATACTCCCTGCCCTCTTTCACCTCCAGACCTGTGTACAGGATCATCCTTCTCCGTGGAACAGGCTTCCTTTTCCTTTTCTCTGGTTGGGAGTCCCTGGCAGACTCTGCCACAGCATCTGCTGTCCATCCCTTATTGCAGCATCTCTCTCTGTCAGCTCCATTACACTCCAGTGCTACTGAGCGCCTGGACCCTAGAGACACAGGGATTATTACTCTTCTATTTATGTTATTTTATTTTTTTATTTTTTATTTTTTATTTTTTTTGAGACGGAGTCCCACTTTGTCGCCCAGGCTGGAGTGCAGTGGCTCAAGTGATTCTCCTGCCTCAGCCTCCCGAGTAGCTGGGATTACAGGCGCCTGCCACCACACTCTGCCAGTTTTTGTATTTGTTTTAGCAGAGGCGGGGTTTCACCATTTTGGCCAGGCTGGTCTTGAACTCCTGACCTCAAACCATCTGCCTGCCTCGGCTTCCCAAAGTGCTGCGATTACAGGCATGAGCCACTGTACCTGGACTATGTTATTATTATTGCTTATCTTGGCTTAAAAAAAAAAAAAACTATCCCTGGCGGGATGGGAGCAACGCATTAGGACTCCAGCAACATTTCCCTCAAACAGGATTCTCACCTCAGCTAAAAGTTGAACATTTCTATAAATTTAAAGAAAATCTTGGCCCCAATAGTGACATCTAAAGAGTAGAGATTAGTCATTTTCTATTCTAAATGGGGAAGTAAACTGAATGAAGATGAGGAATCCTAAAAGGGAAAGGGGAAAAAAGAGAAAGGGAATGAATAAGGAAGGAAAAGTGGGGAGCAGAAGAAGGATGGAAGGGCATAAACCATGAAAGAAAAACATAAACAAGATTATGAGCATATCTTACTGCGAGCGTCTGCGAGCAGCAGGGGAGGGACCCTCTGCTGTTAACTGTTTCCCGTACTTGTTCATCTAAGAAGTTGTCTTCAGAGAGAATGAGATTTTTGAATACTTAAGGTTTTTCAAAGATACCAAATTCCCCCTCCAAAATAAAAGGGAGTCTAAGGAATGCTTAGAAAATACGTTTTAAACAAACGTTTTTTAAGTGGGAAGCGGCCTCATTGGCTTTCATGTGGAAAGTCGCCTGATATTGGCAGTGACTTTTTTTTTTTTTTTTTTTTAAAGCAGCGACGCAGGAAAGTGTTCGGCCGCTCGCGGCGACGGCCGGATGCTCCAAAGTCAAGATCCTCCGCAGACAGGAAATGTCTCTGCCAGCTCCAAGGTCCCCTCGCAGCAGCCCTCTGTGTTATCCAGAGAGATTTGTGTACATCCGACTGAAGAGGTTTCCCGCCTGCAACTGCGAACCCAAGAGCTGTCTCAAAAGAAGGGAATCACTCGGGGTGTCTAGCTTTTCTGACTGACACTCGGGGCCCACGGCGTGCCAGGGACGCCGCCTCCTCTCGGGGGAGCCACGCTCCGCTCTAGGAACTGAGGGACCGGAGGCTGAGGATGCGGGTGTCCCCCGGGGCCCCAGCCAGCAAGAGAGGGGTAGAGAGTTCCATCTCCCCTGCTGCTAGCCATGCTTGTATCCACAACGGGGTGATTCTGGTTTTCCTACAGCCACATGTGAAGGGGTAGCTGCTCCTCTGTAGACCTGGGGTCTCAGATCTTTGGGTGAGTGGGAGGAGTCTCCAAAGTGCTTCTTATTTGGAGTTATCAACAATACCAAAAAATACATATCAAGGGACAAAATTAGATTAGACATATACAGAGCCCAACTGGGACTTCCTAAAACCTCTATGGACTGAAAAATAAATGTCAGTACAACCTGATTACTTTGACCACAAAATACTGAACTCCTAATCATTTATTTTTTCTTTTTCTTTTTCTCTTTTTTTTTTTTTTTTTTTTTTTTGAGATGGAGCCTCGCTCTGTCGCCCAGCTGGAGTGCAGTGGTGCAATCTTGGCTCACTGCAAGCTCTGCCTCCCAGGTTCACACCATTCTGCCTCAGCCTCCCGAGTAGCTGGGACTACAGGCGCCCGCCACCATGCCCAGCTAATTTTTTGTATTTTTAGTAGAGACGGGGTTTCACCTTGTTAGCCAGGGTGGTCTTGATCTTCTGACCTCGTGATCCGCCCGGCTCGGCCTCCCAAAGTGCTGGGATTACAGGCATGAGCCACCACGCCCAGCCTTTTTTTCTTTTTTTGAGACACAGTCTCACGCTGTCGCCCAGGCTGGAGTGCAGTGCCATGATCTCCGCTCACTGCAACCTCCGCCTCCTGGGTTCAAGCGATTCTCCTGCCTCAGCCTACTGAGTAGCTGGGATTACGGGTACGTGCCACCACGCCCAGCTAATTTTGTAGTTTTAGTAGAGACAGGGTTTCACCATGTTGGCCAGGCTTGTCCCAAACTCCTGACCTCAGGTGATCTGCCCACCTTGGTCTCCCAAAGTGCCTGGCTTGAACTCCCAATCATTTAGAAGCATCCTGGGTGATTGTTTGGTATTCACATTCTGCCCCATATTGTAAGTAGTCACATAAGTATCTCCAATCACAGATTTAAAGGATCATTGATTATTAGATCTTGAAAAAAAATCAAAATCAGGAGCTTTTGGGTTCATCAGCTTCCACATGCCAATATATCTGGAGTGGGAATTTTAGTAAGTCTCTTCTGTCCCCAGCAAAATGCGTTTTCCCCAAGTCCAAATAAGTTTTCTTGAATCCCTGTCCTGCCCCCATTAACTAAGATGAATATTCACAGTAATGAAAACCACACACACACACAAAAGCTTGTCAGAAAAGTTGAAAGAGAAAAGGTACTTTCACTATCAGAGATGGTTTCCTCTTTTCCCACAAGATGTCTTATCAGCTTTCACCCTGAGAAAACCATAAAAAGTAAGAAAAAGAAATGTTATGCAATAGTTCTCTAAATAAAATACTACACAGTAGGCTAGTCATCTCTAAAAGTGATGTTGTTTAAAGAGTCAAAGTACATCATCCAACAAAATCAATATCATATTAAGTTAGAAAGGGTTCTGAATATCAAAGACCAATGAACTGAATAACTTAAAGTATAAGTACACGACCCAGGGGATTAATCACACACTGTCATGGTGAAATTAGGGCAATTCTTCAAATCATTAACGTTTTGCTTACAAAAATGTGCTTTTCTGTTTGTCTTTCTGCTAAATGATAACCGTTTTCAAGTTGAATCTCCTGATAAAAAGAGTTAAAAACAAGACAGGAGTTGTGCTGTAAAGGTCATACGTGCTGCTTCAACATGAAATAGCCAAAAGACAAACAAATGAAAAATGCCCGGATCGTAGGAGGAATTTCTAAATCTTCATTGGCAATTTGCAATGGGGTACTTCAGAAAAGTGAATGCCTACCTGTGTCCTGAGAATACTGCACCTCCTCCAGTTAACATGCTCTTGATTCTTAAGGACATGTTTAGATTCAGAATGGGAGCAACTTGGTGAGAGTTAGGATAAGCTTGAAATTGGAAAGCAGCCTGGTTTCAGGGAATTGTCAACTTTAAAACTAGATTTTACCCCTCAAGTTTTCTAGTGTGAATCAATACATTAGTCTGTATTTCTCTGCTGAATAGTCATGATACAGTTACTCTCAAGAATAAACATTAACTAGGGTTTATCTCCAGAAGCGAAACACACACACAGGTTTCAGGATTACTTTAATTCAATATTACATCCATAAGCCTCCCATTCTCCAAAAATCTGATATGGACAGTCCCATTTTCAGACGAGATGGATTATGACCTTTGAAACCTTGATGTAATCTTTTAGGCAGGGTCTGGAGCCTACAGCTGATGGGAAGGGAAACTCTCCCACTGGGTGGCCACTTTGGGTGCCAAGGCTGAGGAGACATGGGGAGTAGGGAGAACAATAAGGACGGCATGAACTGAGTTGGGAATTTGAGAGCTGGAAGGGGTTCATATGGTTCAACTAGACCATCTTCGTTCTACAAATGATTTGAGGCCAAGAACTAAAACACCAACCCAAATCTTCAAACTTCCAAGTCTATCCACACCTCTCTGCTTAAGGACTAGTACTGCTTTTCTCAGAAATCTTAATTCCCCTGCAATTCCAGGGGCCTTCTTAGAATCTAAGGAAGCCGGATGTGACAACTCCCTAACAGCAATGACTTTTTCACTGTCTTCATCTGAGTGTCCATATCTGGGGGCGCCACAGCCCTAGAAGCCAGGCCAGGGGTCGGGTCATTCCTTCACAGGTCCTTAGCCAGAAGTACCCAACTCTACAACTAGAGGCCTCCTCCATGGAGGCCAAGGCTAGAGAGAGATTTCCAGGCCTCTCCCCAACAGATCTCTGTCATGGTTTTCCTGGAATGTCAGAGACCTGATGGCTCAGCTAGGCAAGCAGCTGGCACAGACTAGCAATACCCTGAACAATCAGAAACCTGGGCCCCCACACCCACCTAACCTCAGCACCCCATTCTCCCTCCATTTCATGGTGCCCCTTCCTCCACCCTGCGCCCTCTGCTCAGCCATCAAACCTCACTCCCACTAGCCTGGATAAGCCCCTCGTTCCTCTGTTCCCCCTCGCCTTTCCCTCCTCTCAGCCCTCCGCCCCAGCCTCTTGCTGGCCAAAGTTACCCGGGAAAGCAGGTGGGAGGAGGAGTGCCGGTCCCACCTGCTTCTTCCGCACCCCGTGCGCTCACATCAGTGGTTCCCCAGGGGTGGTGTCCGGGCCCGCAGCTTTGGCGTCACCTCAGCTCTTGTTGGAAATACAAATTCCCGGTCCCAGCCCAGTCCAGTCCTAACAGATCAGAACTCCAGGAACAGGGCTGGGTTTCCACAAGCCCTGAAGGAGGTTCTGAAGTTCCCCGGGTTCGAGAACAGTTCTCAGCGCAAACCACCTCCCCGCTCCCCTCGGCCAGGGCCCCCCATCCCCCCACTCGGACTTCCCCACCCCGGGCCCCGCCGCGCGGAGCGGGTTCCCGAGCCCCGGCCGCCGAGGGATGACGCGGTGTTGACTCAGCCGGTCAAGGACGGCGAGGGCCAGCCCGGCTGCCGAGGAGAATCGATGGGGTCCGGACGGCCCCGCGCTTCACGGCGCAGCGGGCCTGGGCCTCGGCTCTTCCCGTCGCCTGGCGTGCCCGGGACTCGAACC
Source organism: Homo sapiens (assembly GCF_000001405.40). Taxonomy (NCBI): domain Eukaryota; kingdom Metazoa; phylum Chordata; class Mammalia; order Primates; family Hominidae; genus Homo; species Homo sapiens. The sequence goes on along the minus strand of NC_000010.11, from coordinate 92,695,875 downwards.
CATCAGGCTCAGAATCCGCCGGCAGGAGCAGAGCCCCAAGGCAAACGGCCCGGGAGAGGCCCCAACCCACGTTCCAGGCACCCACCCGCGGTCCTGGGACTCGGAACGAGAGCCCCAGCAAGATCCAGCCCCAGTCACTTCCTGTCCCCAGAGCCCAGCACCGCGCCAAGCACCCAGGAGGTCAAGAAAAGGTGTGCAGACTTTTTAAAATCAAAGAATTAGACTTGCAACGAGGTCAGTCGTCCCACGGACGGCTTTATTTTATAGTCAAGTTACTTATTAAAAAAAAAACACATTTTGGCCATTTTTTTTACAGTGAACAATTCTATATACACATTATAAACATTGTTTGATATAAAACAGTATCTACAATCTACTTACATTTAATTAACCTGTGACTTCTAGTTCATCTGCGATTAACTTTAGTCAGGTCAGTTTCTCTGCTTGAATTGGGAGGTACTATCCCCTTAACACCTTGGTCAAACAGGTACTAAGTGATAGTGCAAAACAAGCATTTAAGATTCTCATCAACCATATCTCTGACAAAAAGAACACACATCTCTGAGACAAGAGCTCTGAAATGTTTTTGGATTTGAGACAGCAGTATAAGAATGTCATATAAAAGTAAAGAATGTTTTCCTTTTAAAATACTCCAAGGCTGCCTGAAATGTAGGCACCTCTGGATTTGGGGTACCCCTTTGCCTTTCCATTAAGTGGGAGATAAACAGATTACAGAAAAGTCGTTCAAGAAGGTCCTATTAAAACCTTTAAAGCTATAACTTAAAAATTTAACAAAAAGTTCAAAATTAATTTTTTATAAATAGTGAAAACCACTAACTGTTTTTTTAAAGGGGGAAGAATTTAATCACTATAATGTCACTTTATCAAAACAACCTAAGAGCAGTACATAAACTATTTGTTAAGTCAAAATTAAGGTCTCCATGTAGGTTTGTTAATTGAGCAGTGCACCAAATATTTTTAGGTTTCCAGAATACCAGAGAATTGATTCCCTTTCTTATATAGCCTTCCAGTTCTTCTATGAAGATTTTCTGTAGCAAAACATTATTCCTAAATCCAGTTTTCTGAACATGCCAATGCCAGTGGTCATCATCCAGCATTAAAATAGCTTTTATCGCCCTCAATGTCCACTTCCTGATCAGAATCCTCTGAAATCTCTGATTCAAGGTCTTCCTGGGAGGCAGGGGAGGGCGAACATTGAGAGCTATCCAAAGAAGCACCTTTATTCTGTTCACTGGGCAAATCTTGCCTCTGATCACAGGAACTGTCCAAACTTTCCAGTTCTTCTTTTTTATTGCTTTGAGGGTTCTCCTGAATAAAGGAAATGAAAATGGAGATTGGAAGGATCATAAAATATGGATAGGTGAGAGGAATAAATCAAAATGTCTCTTCATCCTATTCCATCTTTTAATTTTTAGTTTACTGAGTGTTTTCAGTTTATAATCTTATTCAGGAGATACATACTTGTGCTTTTTGCTCACTTTGGAAGAAAAGTTTCTGTCATATCAAAGATTATATGCTTAAAAGATGAGAACCAGTCATGAACATAAGGGCAGATACATTATACCAATTGAACACAAATTCTGGTTACTTAACACCAGCCCAGACCCATGGTTTCAATATTCTCAAAAGTTTAAGGGGGAAAGAAAATCAGATCACTACAGATACACCTTAACTTCATTCTTTAAATATTTAAACCTTGCCAATTAACAGTCTTTCAGACATTTTAAAAATAAGAATGCTAACTGGTGAATTAAGAATAAAGTTTCAATTATTAGACTGGATCTTTTTTCATTCATTTTCTGGAGTAAATTTATAAACATCTACATGTGTAAATGTTTAACAAGTTACAAAATCATGGCAAAGAAAAAAAATGTGGATCTGGAAGAATGCTGCCAACTGAGAAGGTAGACAATTAGCTACAATTTACTTAAAATCTGGGGCAAATTTCTGGGAAATATCCCCATATTACATAGAAACCACTATTTTTAAGGTCTCTGGTAAACTAGAGTCAAGCCTTTGACCAAGAACTATTAAGTATATAAGCTAGTGAATTTTTAATCCTATACTTGTCTAAAATGCATATAAATACTACATAGAAATATTACAACATCTATTTGTTATATAGTTGCAAGCCTTATAGTCTCAACAAATAGATGCACACGGTCAGAAATTGAGAGTGGATCTGCAAATATTTAAATCACATTACAGTAATGAAGTTATGGGAATTTTATTTTCTATTTCAAAATATTCTTTGGGACACTTTCTTTTTAATGAAAAAGTAATGATCAATAAATTTTAAAATCCACTTTGCTTTAAATTTCTCCACTCATTGTTTCAAAGTATTTATTATAAACCGTATATACAATGACAAGTGAACAATTCAGCAATTATCAGATAACTTTGGAGAGTATATCCAGATTAGGACATCAAAAATGAATGTTTAGCTTTAAGTCAATAGACCTTCTTTTAAAAACTAAATTAGCCTTTACTTTTTATCACATATTGCGAAACAAGGTCACTGGAAGAAAGACTGTCAGAAAGTTTAAGCTACTTTCCAAACAGGCTTGAATATTTTCTTACAAGTTTTATATTTCATTTTAAGAGCTGGCATTAGATAGAAAATAATTTTTAAACTCCCTGACATTTAATTCTTCTAAAAAACAGTGCAAACAAGACTTAAAGGTGTTTGTTTCTTTATATTTACCCTTGAGTTCTGCCTGGTTTTATTATGGCTGTGTAAATAAAAGAAACAATTTTCTCCCAAAGATAACTGCTTAAGTCATTTACTGTCAATTACTTTATCTTTCCTGCGTTAATTAGATAAACAACATATGGGATTTATAAAACAATTAGCTGGGAGTTTTACTAGCCAGTGTGTGAAAACCCAAGCATAATTGATATAGGAACCCCATTAGGTGCTTTTAGCATTACTGCCACCTGAGCAACTCATCCTGAATTTCAGCAGGACTATTTGTCTTTTTAATCAAGGTGAAGAGGTTAAATAGTCTCTTAAATGACTTTTGCATACAACCCATAACAGCCTTGCACTGAGATAACGTGATAAAAATATTTATTTCCATAGAAACAGAACCATGTCCATACCTGTTTTAGTCTCCTCCATTTAGCGCGTCGATTCTGAAACCAGGTTTTGACCTACAGGAAAGAGAGAAAGAAAACTTGCAACGAGCCCGCGTCGGGACGTGCCAGAGGGCAGGGTGGCTCCTCGCCTCTCTCTCGGTGGCCCGGCGACCCCTACCCCAGAAGCCTTCCCTTCCCCGGAGGCGGCCCCAGGCCCCCCGCGAGCTCACCTGTCTCTCGCTGAGCTGCAGCATCTTGGCCAGACGCTTCCTCTCGGGCGGAGAGAGATATTTCTGCGTCTCGAATTTCTTCTCCAGCTCGATGGTCTGGTCGTTGGAGAATCTCACCTGGCCGCCTTTCCTTTTATGCAGAGGCCTCTGCAAGAAGGGGCTCCAGAGTAGAGGTTTGCCTGCGAGCGGGAAGAGCGGCGCTCACCCACTGCCCTGGAGCGGCCTGGCCAGACCCCAGAGCTGTCGGGCCCCAGGGATGACAAAGGTAGGCCAGGAGGCCACCCAACCAGACACATTCACATACACCCACCGGCACGTGGACCTAACACGTTCCCACCGACACACAAACATACCCAAAGTCACACACTGACACCGCAGATGCACACAGCCTTGTACACACACAGACAGACACACAGCCGTCACACCTAGAACTAAATCCAGACATACCTTTAACCCCAAAAAGAATGGGCACTACCGGCTGGGCTTACAATACCACGACCCTCTTTCCCCAGTGGCTCTCGGATTTATACATAACTTTTTGCCCCCTTGGATCTCCCTTGGTGAGCCGCACTTGCGAACACCGGGTGTGTGCGTGTTGGGGAGGAGCGGGGCTGCTGCACCGACAAGGCCTGGCTGCGCGGGAAGCGCTCGGGCCCGGACACCCGCATTAGGTTGCGCGAGGAGCCTCCAATCCTGGCCGGGGGAGCCGCGGCCTCCTCTGATTTCACACCCAGCCCGCGGGGGCGGCCAGTTAAAGCCACCCCATGGGCTATGGCAACATTTCCGTCAATGTGTTTCCTGTTGGTCTAGCTCGAAAAACTCTTTGCTTCCTCCTGCGCGGTCCCAGCAGTAACCCAAGGAAACTCAGGGCGCACTGTGAAAACGTTAGCCCCCAGGCCCGGCCCGGCTGAGGGTCCCGCTCCAGCCCCGACAGGCGACCACAGCCAGGCTCGGGCCGCATCATCAAACCCTCGAGGCTGGAATCAGACAGACAGGATAACAACTCAAAAACATAAAAAGATGAACTAAAAATACAATCCCCCTCCCCTGTTAACGGTGAGAAGGTAAGGTAAAGGGCTGAGCTAGAGCCCGCGCCGTAATAATGGAGACATTAAAATGCTAATTAAGACGTTAATTGTTTTCAGGGTCCCTACTGAAGCTTCCAATAACAGAGTTCATTTAAAACTCTAGAGGCGCCCCGTTTCCTTATTTACCCTAGGGCTCCAGACCTCGAAGGCGCCAAGGGTCACCCACAGCGCGGACCACGGGCGGCTTATTTGTTAGGCCGCACATTGAGGGGACAAGCCCCGAAGTTCTGGAATATATGCCCTATGTGTCCCTGCTTCCCTTCCTAACTGGCGACCAGGAGCTGCTGCTTCCTACTCCCAAAGTAGTGTCGGTCGGTCCGTCCGTCCGTCTGCAGGCCTGCACCTCAACGCTTTGAAAGCTAGCATTGTTTTTTCGAGATTTTGCTTGCGTCAGGCTTCAGACTGGTGCAAAACAGCCTCGAAAAAAAATAGGAAGCAACTGGTTATTTTAGCTGCCATAAAGTCACATCCCACACAGAGGAAATGAACAATATCAGAAAAACGGATCCCGGCTATCAGAAGTCGAGTGTTTCCTGAATTTGTCTGTATTGAGGATGTCGATAAAATAATCAGCAGCGTGCACTACTCCGGGGGAAGGGTCTGCTTCATGCAGCCAGGAAAACACTTAACAGCTTCTGAAACCAGATTTACTCCTATCGAGAACTCAAGATTTCCTGTATGAACGGAAAGGGTCAGGCTCTTTCACTGCACAAGCCTGTTGAACCAGGTCCAGCCCCGTAGCCACCCGGGCCCGGCTGCGATCCCTGCCCCACGGGGGCCGGCCAGGGGCGCCTCGACGCCCCTTTCCCCGTCCCTCCCGCTAAGGGAGCCCCACCCCGGGTAACACGCGCGGTCCACGGCTGCCCTCGCCGCGAGGTCTACCGCCGGCCCGCGCGCCCCGACGCCTGCAAGGTGCAGGAAAACCAATCTGAGTCACGGTGCGGTCAGCCCCGGCCGCGCGCCTCCCGTCCCCGCGCGTGCCCGACAGCTGCTTTTCCATCGCTTTTGCCACAGCCGTCTACCGCCTGCCCCCTTCGCCCCCTCGGCCTCCCGGGCGCTGCCACCTGCCGGGTGGCGCTTCCTCGCCCCCACCCTCGCCCGGCCGCCTTACCCAGGGGGTCGTGGCGGAGCAGGGCGTGCGTGTAGTCGTTCACCGTCCGCGGGAAGGGGTACAGAGGGCCCCCGAAGCCGCCGGGTCCGTAGGCAGCGGCCAGCGCGGCGGCGGAGTGGTGCGAGAAGGCTGGATGGATCGGCGTGGGCTCGTACACCGGGGTCCGGTAGGGGGACACGAGGCTGGTGAAGGAGGAGTTGGGGGACGGCAGCGTGGGGGCGGGCGTGGGCGCGGCGGGCCCGCGGCCCAGGATGTCCTCGATGTAAAAGGGCGTCGGGTGTGCGGGTTGCAGCAGCGGCGTGGGCGCGTACAGCGGCACCCCCACGGCGCCCGCCGCCGGCCCGGGGTGCGGGTACTGCATGGCTCCGCCGCGCTCCGGCCCCTCGCAGAGCTGCTGGCCCGCGCCGCGGCGCTACATTTATCCGCGCTCCGCGCTCCCGGCGATAGGCTCCGCCGGCCGCGGGGTGGGGCCGCGCTCGCTGGCCCCTTCCTGCCGCCGGGCCCTGCGGCCAATGGCGCGGGGCCCCAAGAGCAGCCGCCCGCCCCCACCCCGGCCCGCCCCGCCGGCCAAGCTCCCCGCCCCCGGGACGCGCTTGCTACCAGGCTCCGGGGAACTGGCGCCCTGGTGCCCCGCCGCGGCTGTCGCCCCTGGGGACTCCAGGCACCCCGGCCGAGGACGCCCTCGAGGGAAGCCCTGGGCCGCGTCCGTCGGGGGAGGCGCGAGGAAGACCGCCTTCTGGAGTGCGGGCTCCAGCGGCCCTGTCCGCGGCCCCGAGGCACCTCTGCCGAAATTCGGGGGCGCCGTCCAGGCCTGGGCCCGGGGTGGCAGCAGCTGTTTCCAGGCGGGGAGCAGCGGGACTCGGCGGGAGCAGAGGCCGCTGGCCTAAGACGCCTCCTCGGTGGGTGCGCTCCCTGGATTAACAGTGGCGCTGGCTGTCACACCGGCCGTTTCCCGAGCTCAGAGCGGGACAGTGCCCTGGGTTCCTAGGGCTGCTCGGCGGCCCTTAGCTGCGGCCCGGCGGGATTCGGATGGCTGGAGTTCAGGTGCTGCGGACTCTTGGCCGCTCCACCTGGTTTCATTTGGAGGCCTCGGACTCAAGCCACTTCCGCGAGGATGCTGGCAGAAGCCGCTGCGAGCAGCAATCAAGGGGAGGCCCGGGTCCTACAGCGCCGGGCAGAGGCTGTGCAGTCTTCAATCCAGTGGGGGCCGCTCCGTGTCTTTTCTGCTGGCTCTTGAGGGTCGCAGCTGTGCGCAGTCTGGCTCTCTGGTTTTGCACGTGTTTTCTATTGAAGCAGTCCGTACTGCTGGCCCGTATGGCCTCGGCTCTGTGCGGCTCCACTCGCCTCCGGGGCAAGGGGGCATTTTCTTGATTGACGCCCTCCTGCGGTCGTCACACCTCGCGGTGAGCCGTTTCTGCTAAGGTCCTCCATTAATCATGGAAATGGAAAGACTTCCCTGCTTTTTCTATTGAGACTTCTCAGGTTTTAAAGTTTATAATTTGGAACTATTTGTCCAAACACAGCGGGACCACAGTAGGAAGAGGCGTGGACTGTGAGCCTGACCGCCTGTTCGAGTTTCACTTCGCACATTTTTGTTGAGCAACTACTGTGTGCCAGCAGTGAAAAGGACAGATGTAGTCCCTCTCCTCATGGAGACAGGAAACAAATTTTAATATATGTATGTGCTAGGAAGGAGATGTACATAATGGTCTAAAACCTGTAACAAGGGGACATCACCTATCTGGGGGACATTAAGGAAGGGAAAAGCTTCCCAAGAATTGATGTTTGAAAAGTGAGTGGGTGTCAGCAAGCCCAGGGTGCTTGGACATTCCAAGTCCGGAGAATAGCATGTGAGCGTTGTTAGTTAATGCAACTTCCGTCAAGTCACCATCCCTGAGTTTTTCTCATCTGAAACGTTTGAGACTTGGCCTAAAGGCTCCTGATCTTTTTAGGGTATTGTTAATAGGTATCTTTCAGAATCTAATGACAGACAAGAGCTACAAGCCCAGACAAACTCAGAAGTGTACTACACTATCATTCGAGTTAAAGCATGTTGGGGGTAGGTAAGAATATAATTGCTCTATTATACAGTACATATAAATCATAAATTTTTATATTACTCCATGATATAAACTATCTCTGGAAGGATAACGAACATTGGCTGACTATGAAGAAAGGGGTGGGATTGGAGGGGGCATGTATAGCTGTGAATATCTGGAGACTTGCACTAGATGGATGTATGACCTATTCGTCGTATAAGTAAGTCCTTGAAGAAGTGGCTGATTCTAGATCTAGGGCAAGAAAAGTACAAGGTAAGCTCAAAGACATCTTGTGTCAGAAACCGTGAAAAGAAAATAGGGACCACCTTGGAGTGGTTTCCATCGGCAAAATTTGGGGTGATTTAAGCTTTAAAAATACATTAGGGATTATACCACTTTGAATATAACAATTCGTGAGTCCATAGTGGTACTCAGAGAGAGAAAGGTGCAGTGGATGTGAAAGCTGGAAGAATGTCAGCTAACAGATGTAGAAAAATTGGTACAATCGAAAAACGTAATAATTCAAGAAGAATCATCATCAACTAACACGTGAAATGTTGAGGATGAGGATTTTCACAAGGCCTCATATCATCCCAATTAACTGGATTCTGGATTTTAAAAAACTATAAAGGAGCCGGGCGCGGTGGCTTACGCCTGTAATCCCAGCACTTTCGGAGGCAGAGGCGGACGGATCACGAGGTCAGGAGATCGAGACCATCCTGGCTAACACGGTGAAACCCCGTCTCTACTAAAAATACAAAAAATTAGCCAGGCGTGGTGGTGGGCGCCTGTAGTCTCAGCTACTCAGGAGGCTGAGGCAGGAGAATGGCGTGAACCCGGGAGGCGGAGCTTGCAGTGAGCCGAGATCGCCCCACTGCACTCTAGCCTGGGTGACAGAGCCAGACTCTGTCTCAAAAAAAAAAAAAAAAAAAAAACTATAAAAGACATTGCTTTTTATTGGGGGGGGGGATAATGGGGACAAACTATGAAGTATATGTTAGTTGACATTATTAATCTTTTAGATGTGATTGGTATTGCAGGTTACTTTGGAAAATGCGATCTTGGGAGTTGCAAGCTAAAGTCTTTAGGAGTGATGGGTCATATGTGCAGCTTACTTTTAAATACTTCAGTATATACATATATGTGCATACACATCTACATGTATATTTATACACACATATCTATGTATATGTTCATATATGTATATATAAAGAGGGATATATCACAGGTTCAGTTCTAGACCACTTCAATAAATAAACATAGCAATAAAGCAAGTCACATGAATTATTTGGTTTCCCAGTGCATGTAAAGGAGGTTATCTTTACACTTTACTACATTCAGTGTGCAATGGCATTATGTCTTAAAAAGCAACGTACATACCTTAATTTAAAAATACTTTGTTACTAAAAAATTGCTAACGATTGGCAGGGAGTGGTAGCTCATGCCTGTAATCCTAGCACTTTGGGAGGCCAAGGCTGGCGGATCACTTGAGGTCATGAGTTGAAGACCGGCCTGCCAATATGGTAAAACCCTGTATCTACTAAAAATACAAAAATTAGCTGGAAAGTGCTTGAACCCGGGAGGCAGAGGTTGCAGTGAGCTGAGATCATGCCACTACACTACCAGCCTGGGCAATAGAGTGAGACTCCATCTCAAAAAAAAAAAATTGCTGACAATCATCTGAGCCTTCAGCAAGTCATAATCTTTTTGCTTTTGAGGGGTGTTGCCTTGATGTGGATGAGTGCTAACTGATCAGGGTGGGAGGCACAGAAGGTTGGGGTGGCTGTGGCAATTCCTTAAAGACAACCATGAAGTTTGCCACATCTGTTGACCCCTCCGTTCATAAAAGATTTCTCTGTAGCATGTGGTGATGTTTGATAGCATTTTTATCCACAGTAGAACTTTCAAAATTGGAGTTCATTTTCTCAAACCCTGTGCTGCTCTATCAAGTATGGTTGTGTAATAGTCTCTCTTTTTTGTCCTTTTTTTTTTTTCTTTTTTCCTTTTTGTAGAGAATGGAGTCTCGCTCCATTCATTGCCCAGGCATGTCTCGATCTACCGGGCTCAAGCTATGCTCCTGCCTCTGCCTCCCTAAATGTTGGGATTACAGGCATGAGCCATTACATCCAGCTATGTAATATTCTAAATCCTTTGTTGTCATTTCAATAATGTTCACAGCATATTCACCAGAAGTAGATTCCATCTCAAAAAACCACTTTCTTTGCTCATCCATAAGAAGTAACTCCTCATCCATTCAAGTTGTATCATGAGATTGCAGCAATTCAGTCACATCTTCAGGCTCCACTTCTATTTCTCTTGCTGTTTCCAGCACATATGCAATTACTTTCTCCACTGAAATCTTGAACCCCTCAAAGTCATCTGTGAGGGCTGGAATCAACTTCTTCCAAACTTCTGTTAATGATATTTTTACCTCCTCCCATGAATCATGGCCTCTGGAATGGTGAATCCTTTCTGGAAGGGTTTTACTTGACTTTGCCCACAGAGGAATCACTATCTATGGCAGCTATAGCCTTACAAAATATATTTCTTAAATAATAAGATTTGAAAATCAAAATCACTCTTTGATTCATGGGCTGCAGAATGGATGTTGTGTTAGCAAGCATGAAAACAACATTCATCTCTTTGTATATCTCCATCATAGCTCTTGGGTGACCAGGTGCATTGTCAATGATCAGTAATAATTTGAAAGGCATATTTTTTTCCTGGGCAGTAGATCTCAACAGTAGGCTTAAAGTGTTCAGTAAACCACACAGTAAAATGATGTGCTGCCATCCAGGCTTTGTTATTTTATTTATAGGGCACAGGCAGAGTAGATGTAGCATAGTTCTTAAGGGCCCTAGGATTTTCAGAATGGCCAATAAGCATTGCTTTAAACTTAAATGTCAGCTGCATTAGCACCTAACAAGAGAGTCAGACTGTCCTTTGAAACTCTGAAGCCAGCATTGACTTCTCACTAGCTATGAAAGTCCTAGATGGCATCTTCTTCCAATAGAAGGCTTTTTGGTCTACGTGTAGAATCAGTTTAGTGTAGCTACGTTCATCAATGATCTTAGCTAGATCTTCTGGGTAACTTGCTGCACCTTTTCTATTAACATTTTCTGCTTCACTTTGCACTTATGGTGATGGCCTCCTTCCTTAAACCTCGTGAACCAACCTCATCTAACATCCACCGTTTCTTCTGCAGCTTCCTCACCTTTCTCAGCCTTCATAGAATTGAAGAGAGTTGGGGCCTTGCTCTGGATTAGGCTTTCGTGTAAGGGAATGTTGTGGCTGGTTAGATCTTCTATCCAGACCACTTGCACTTTCTCCAGATCATCAATAAGGCTGTTTCACTTTTTAGCATTCATTTGTTCATTGGAGTACCACCTTAAATTTCCTTCAAGAACTCTTCCTTTGTGTTCACAGCGCTGTCTAACTTTTAGTGGATCTTAACTTTCTACATGGCCTCCTTGCTGAGCTTAATCATTTCTGGCTTTTGATTGAAAGAGACATGCAATTCTTGCTTTTCCTTGAACACTTAGGGGCTGTTGTAGGGTTATTAATTTGCCCAATTTCAATATTGTTGTCTCTCAAGGAATAAGGAGGCCCAAGGAGAGAAGGAAAGAGACTGGGGAACAGCCTGTGAGTAGGACAGTCAGAACACACGACATTTATTAAGTTAGCTGTCTTATATGGGTGCAGTTTGTGGTGCCCCAAAACGATTACAATAGTAACATCAAAGACCACTGATCACAGATCATCATTACAGATATAACAATAAATATTATGAGAATTACCCAAATGTGACACAAAGACATGAAGTGGGCACATGTTCTTGGGAAAATGGTGCCAATAGACTTGCTTGATGCAGGGGCGTCACAAACCTTCAATTTGTAAAAACTGCAATATCTGCAAAGCACAATGAAGTGAAGCACAATAAAATGAGGTATGCCTGTATCGAAAATTATTAATTGGTGAATTTAGGTGAAGAGTATACAGGTGTTTGTTGTACTATAATTTCAGAGTATACAAGTATTTGTTGTACTCTAATTTTAGCTTTTTTATAATTACACATAGCAATTAAATTACCATAATTCCTGTAGATTTGAAAGTTTTCAATATAAAAATGAGAAAAAATGAAAACACTGTTTCTTTTTTTAATCTCAAATTCCTTTTTACCATACTTTTTTTGTGTGTGTGTGTGAGACGGATTCTTGCTCTGTCGCCCAGGCTGGAGTGCAGTGGCATGATCTTGGCTCATTGCAAGCTCCTCCTCCTGGATTCACGCCATTCTCCTGCCTCAGCCTCCCGAGTAGTTGGGACTACAGGCGCCTGCCACCACACCCGGCTAATTTTTTTGTATTTTTAGTAGACAGTGGTTTCACCATATTAGCCAGGATGGTCTCGATCTCCTGACCTTGTGATCTGCCCATCTTGGCCTCCCAAAGTGCTGGGATTACAGGCATGAGCCACCGCGCCCGGCCTACCATCCATTTTTTTTAAAGGCATAATGTTTTGAATGATTTCTGAAGATTGCATACAATTTCAGGTAGTGCCTTGCCCCTGGAAACTATCAGTGAAGGGTTATTTGGGAATCATTGATCCCTCTGTGGGTCAGCTCCAGTGTTGTGCCATCTCCACCGTCATCATTCTCATCCCATGGCCTGATGAATTCAATGTGCTCTTCTGTGTTCCAAGGACAGAGACAAGCTCTGGGGACAAAGAAAGAACAGTTATTATATGAAGTTCAAACCTACCTTCACAAGTTATGTTTGGGTCTTGAAAGATTGGGACCTCAGTAAACTAAGCAGAAAACTGTGCTAATTATTTTTCTCACAAAATGTTTCCCCTTTGTTTTCATTGTGCACCTTTTTCCTGCCCCTTCTACTCTGCGAGTAACAGATGATGACTCCAATTCATTTAGTGCTTTCACAGTAAATCACTAGCCAGCCTTTATTACCCATCTTCAGAAACAGTATTAGTTTATGGTACTGGTTTATTCTGTGCATGATTCAGCCACCAGCCAAAAGATCTAAATCTACAAATATTTTAAATATATATATTAAAATGCTAGGGAAATAATCACTAGCATAGAGTTATTAAATAATCACTAATAAAAGAAGCATCCTCTCTTTCTTTGATTTAGCCACAGATCCTGGGAAGTAGATGGAGATCTTAAAAGGCATTGGTAAAACATTCCAACTCAGCTACATAATCCTCACTGGCAAACTGAAGCACTTAATTCTGTTAAGCTATATAACACTACCTTTTCTACATCCAATCGTCAGATCCATGTTCACTTAGCTAAAGTTAAAAAAAAAAATTACAACCACATTTGTGAATGTCACATTTATTGAACTACATAATTTTTAATATCACTTGTGTACGTTTTATAGTTTGTTTTATTGTTTTAAAAGTCATTTGGGGCCCTAAAAGAACTAGATTTTTCCAAAGTTGTCCTTATGATTTTTTTTCGCACAGTCAGAACTAATAAAACAAAACTGTTGTAGCTATTTAATTCAAAATCTCTCGGAGTTTCAATATTTTTTCTCTGCTGGATACTAAAACCAATAAAGCTCCATGAGATTTTAATTATATTCTGAATTAAACAAGACTTTCTCCAAAAATTTGGCCCCATTTATTTTAGCCATTGCTGTTGTGCAAAAGACCAAATTTGTAAGAAGAGAAGGTAGTTCTCATTTGTAATTTATCTAGAAGGAATTTAGGTAAACTTTTTGCAACTTACTTTTAATAAATGTATGTAGAGGTAAAAATTCAAGTTAGCTATAGCTTGAAAGCATCAATGGATTTTATTATAACAACTTGGTTCTATTTATACTTACACTAAGTTTTATTGTCTTCAACTGTTGGGATGACTAAATCATTTATTAAATTTCATATCAAATCATATATTTTTCAAATATTTGAGAAAATCTAATTAGTGCTTTAGTGGTTTACTAACTTACAAAATACTAATCTGATCAAATAGAGATGCCTCATCCCCATCATAAATGGAATCAGAGCCCAGAAATACATAAGCAGTAGGCATCATGACATTGCTTCAGTGACGTTCTTTTTCCAAATTTTTTTTTTTTTTTTTTGAGATGGAGTCTTGCTGGAGTGCAATGGCGTGATCTCAGCTCACTGAAACCTCCACCTCCTGCATTCAAGCAATTCTCCTGCCTCAGCCTCCCAAGTAGCTGGGATTACAGGTACCTGCCACCACACCTGGCTAATTTTTGTATTTTTAGTAGAGACGGGGTTTCACCATGTTGGCCAGGCTAGTCTTGAACACCTGGCCTCAGGTGATCCACTGGCCTCAGCCTCCCAAAGTGCTGGAATTACCCACATGAGCCACCACACCTGGCCTTTTTCCACATTTTACATACTACAAGGTGCCTCACATACCACTGTCATGTGGGTGAATTTTACTGACCATGGAGCTTTAGGTAGAGCTTTAGGTAACTGCTCAATTTAAAAAGTGATGATGAATTCAATAATAAAAAGAGCACCCAATTCTTTAAATGAGCTAAAGGTCTGAATAGATATTTCTCCAAAGAAGTTATACAAATAGCCAATAAGCACATGAGAAGATGTTCAACATCATTAGTCATCAGGGAAATGCAAATCAAAACCACAATGAGATACCACTTCACACCCACTAGGATAGCTATAATAATTTTAAAAACACAAGTGTTGGTGAGGATGTGGAGATTTAGAACCCCCCCATGCTTTGCTAATCGCAATGTAAAATGAAGCGGCAGCTTTGAAAAGCAGTCTGGCAATGCCTGAAAAGTTTAAACAAAGTTACCACATGACCCAATGATTCTACCCTTGGGTATATTCCCACAAAATGAAAACATATGTCCACACAAAAACTTGTTCACAAATGTTCACAGCAGAATTATTTATGATAGCCAAAAAGTGGAAACAACCCAAATGTCCCTCAGATGATGAAGGGGTATGTTAAAAGTGGTATATCCATACAATGGAATATTATTTGGTAATAAAAAGATACATCTGATACATGGATGAACTTTGAAAACATTTATCTTCAAAAGAAGTCAGACGCAAAAGCCCACAGATTGTATGTATCTTTCAAGCTTGTCCAGCCCATGGCCATGGGTCTCATGTGGCCCAGGATGGCTTTGAATGTAGTCCATCACAGATTCGTAAACTTTCTTAAAACATTATGAGATTTTTTGTGATTTTTTTTTTTTTTAGCTCATTAGCAATCTTTAGTGTTAGTGTATTTTAGTGTGGCCCAAGACAGTTCTTCTTCCAGTGTGGCCCAGGGAAGCCAAAAGATTGGACACCCCTGCTGTATATGAAATGTCCAGAATAGGCAAATCTGTAGAAATGAAAAGTGGAATAGTAGTTGCCAAGGCTGGGGAACTTGGGGATAAATGAAGGGTGACTGCTGGTGGGTACAGGGTTTCTTTCTGGAGTGATGAAAATGTTCTAACAGTTATTGTGGTGGTTGTTACGCAACTTTGTGAATAGCTTTAAAAAAACTTTTTTTTTTTTTTGAGACAAGGCGGAGTTCACTCTATTACCCAGGCTGGAATGCAGTGGTGCGATCTTGGCTCACTGAAACCTCTACCTCCCAGATTCAAGTGATTCTCCTGCCTCAGCCTCCCAAGTAGCTGGGATTACTGGCGTGTGCTACCACACCCAACTAATTTTTATATTTTTAGTAGAGACGGGGTTTCACCATCTTGCCCAGGCTGGTCTCGAACTCCTAACCTCAGGTAATCCACCCACCTCGGCCTCCCAAAGTGCTGGGAGTACAGGTGTGAGCCACCACACCCGGCCAAAAAAAACTTTAAATGGGTAAATTTTATGATATGTGAATTACACCTCAATACAACTGTGTAGGTTTGGTTTTTTGGTTTTTTTTTTTGAGACGGAGTCTCGCTCTGTTGCCCATGCTGGAGTGCAGTGGCACGATCTCGGCTCACTGCAAGCTCCACCTCCCGGGTTCACGCCATTCTCCTGCCTCAGCCTCCCGAGTAGCTAGGACTACAGGCACCCGCCACCATGCCCGGCTAATTTTTTGTATTTTTAGTAGAGACGGAGTTTCACTGTATTAGCCAGGATGGTCTCGATCTCTTGACCTCGTAATCCGCCCGCCTCGGCCTCCCAAAGTGCTGGGATTACAGGCATGAGCCACCGCGCCCAGCCTGTTTTATTTTTTGAGACAGAATCTCTCTCTGTCACCCAGGCTGGAGTGCAGTGGCGTGATCTCAGCTCACTGCAACCTCCGCCTCCCGGGTTCGAGTGATTCTCCTGCCTCAGCCTCCAGAGTAGCTGGGATTACAGGTGCCCACCACCATGCCCGGCTAATTTTTGTATTTTTAGTAGAGATGGGGTTTCACCACATTGGCCAGGCTGGTCTCCAACTCCTGACCTCAGGTGATCCACCAGCCTCAGCCTCCCAAAGTGCTGGGATTACAAGCACAAGCCACCTTGCCCGGCCATTTTTTGTTTTTTGAGACAGGATCTCTCTCTGTTGCCCAGGCTGGAGTGCAGTGGTGTGATCTCGACTCACTGCAACCTCCGCCTCCTGGGTTCAAGCGATTCTCCTGCCTCAGCCTCCTGAGTAGCTGGGATTACAGGCACGTGCCACCACAGCCCGGCTAGTTTTTGTATTTTTAGTAGAGATGCGGTTTCACCATATTGGTCAGGCTGGTCTCGAACTCCCGACCTCAGGTGATCCGCCAGCTTCAGCCTCCCAAAGTGCTGGGATTAGAGGTGTGAGCCACCACACCTGGCCAGTACTATTAATCTCAATGATAAACCAGGACTCATGCTGTCTGGACCACGGACACCTCTATTCAAGAGGAGCAGCCTGTTCCTCTTGATCCTGTGCCTCTTAATTTGCATGTTTTTCACCAACCAGGTGCCCTTCTCATCAGCACCGAGAAAGTAGGGGAAGAGGGACTTACTGCCAGAGAACTCAAAGTCTATTGGAAAACCTGAAAGCCAGTCCAAATTCTGTCCCTGTTTTTAAAATTTTCACAACGTCCTCTCAGATCATATGGCCACAAAATTCCACCATCCTTCACTTTAAGGAGCACTGTAAAGATTCTATTTTGAGAGAAGGAAAAGGCAACAAAATGTTGTGATGCGACATTTTGAAGTCGCAAGACCTGTGTTCTGCAGGGCTGTCAGAGAGAGCTTGGTTCAGACAGAGGTGGAAGGGAAGTAGTGTGGACTTTCTAAGTGTGGGGATCTATGAGAGCTGAGGATGGCCGCCTCCTAGAGAAACAGAAGCTTCATGGTAAAGACATTGTGAATTAACCTACAGGAACTCACTCTCCCGTTCCACAAGGACTTCATCTCAGTTCAAACATAAGCTGGCTTCCTGAGGACACGTTTCCCCCAGACGTGAAATGGGCCTGAAACACTGAATTATTTAAGATTGGCTTATCGCTGGCTGGGCATGGTGGCTCATGCCTGTAATCCCAGCACTTTGGGAGGCTGAGGTGGGTGGATCACGAGGTCAGGAGTTCAGGACCAGCCTGGCCAACATGGTGGAACCCCATCTCTACTCAAAATAAAAAAATTAGCTGGGCATGGTGGCACGCACCTGTAATCCCAGCTACTTGGGAGGCTGAGGCAGGAGAATGTCTTGAAGCCGGGAGGTGGAGGTTGTGGTGAGCCGAGATCGTGCCACTGCACTCCAGCCTGGGTGATAGAGCGAGACTCCATCTCAAAAAAAAAAAAAATGCTTATTGAAGAAGTCTGAGGTCATTCGGAGAGGTGTGAGAGTGGTAGGAGAGATTGCCCACGCCAAGGTTTGACCCAAAAAAGAACTCCCTGACTGAAGTTACAGGCCTCACCAGAAACTGATAACATTGGTTGCTCAAAAGGGGGAAGCTAGTTGGTGGTGTAGACATAGTGGTGGAGAGGGGCAGGGGAGAATGAAATGGGAAGTGGCTTTATGCTGCCATTTTTGTACTTTTTGAATTTTGAACCCGGTTTCTAAAAAGTGTCTGGCATATAGTAGCTGCAATAGATATTTTTGAAAAGCTGAATGAATGGAGTCAAATAAACGTGATTGTTTAAAACTTTTAGTTTCAGAGGTACATGTACAGGTTGGTTCTATAGATAAATCACATGTTGCAGGGGTTTGGTGTACATATTATTTTGTCACCCAAGTAATAAGCATAGAACTCTTTTGGGAGTTTTTCAATCCTCACCCTCCTCCTACCCTCCACCTTCAATTAGGCCCTGGCATCTATTGCTCCCTTCTTTATCTCAATGTTCAGCTCCTACTGATAAGTGAAAACATGTGGTGTTTGCTTTTCTGATCCTGCATTAGTTTGCTTAGGGTAATGGCCTCCATCTCCATCCATGTTGCTGCAAAGAACATAATCTCATTCTTTTTTATGGCTGTGTACTATTCCATGGTGTATATGTACCACATTTTCTTTATCCAGTCTACTTAGGATGGACATTTGGATTGATTCCTTGTCTTTGCTATGGTGAATAGTGCTGCAACAAACATGCAAGTGCATGTGTCTTTATGGTAGAATGAGTTCTATTTATTTGAGTATATACCCAATAATGGGTCAAATGCAAACATGATTTTGAATTCAAGTCCCACCAATTTTACTGTGTGCTTTGATTAGTTTCCTCTTTTTTTTTTTTTTTTTTTGAGATAGAGTCTCACTCTGTCGCCCAGGCTGGAGTGCAGTGGTGTGATCTTGGCTCACTGAAACCTCTGCCTCCCAGGTTCAAGCGATTCTCCTGCCTCAGCCTCCCGAGTAGCTGGGACTACAGGCGTGTGCCAACACGCCCAGCCAATTTTTTGTATTTTTAGTAGAGACGAGGTTTCACCATATTGGTCAGGCTGGTCTTGAACTCCTGACCTTGAGATCTGCCCGCCTCACCCTCCCAAAGTGCTAGGATTACAAGTGTGAGCCACCAAGCCCGGCCTGATTAGTTTCTTAACTTCTTCGAGCCCCAGTGTCCTTTAAGTAGCATAGGGATGGTAATATCTTTCTCATAATAGTATTGTGATGATAAAATGAGTTGTTGCATGTCAATCACTGGCATAGAGTAAGCACTTAATAAATGGTGGTTGCCATGGTAATGATAATAATGATAATACCAATGACAACTACAATAATGATAATGGAGAAAAGTAGCTCAAGGGGCTCTTCTAATTCTTTTATGGTAAACTAGAGCATTTCTCTAGCAAATATTACTTGAAATAAATGTGCCTTGTCTGGATTTTGGAAATCTGTTATTATAGGGAGATTTTCAGTTAGAAATTTATCCAGGGTCTATCATACTAGATATAAATATCTAGTGGAGAATATAAATATTAATAGGACAAGGCTCCTGCCCTCAAAGAGCTTTGTTATAATGGTATTGGTAAATGAATGTCCTGAGAAGCTCCAGACTATCTGATTTTTGTTGTTGTTATTGTAGTGGATTTAATTATAATGAACATATAACATGAAGATTCAAGAGCTGGAAATTCAATGAATCTAATACTCTAGATTCTGTAGTCACTAGTGTGGCAATGCGCCAAATATCACATGGACAATATTCTCATCTTCTTACCTTTGCTTAGTATCTGAATTTTTTGTACAGTGTTTATATATATATTCCTTAGCATCTGAATTTTTTATACAGTGTTTATATATATATTCCTGAATATAGAAGGTAGTGTTACCCAGTAGTTAAAAGTATGGACTTTTCTCTAAACTTCCTAACTCTGTGATGTTGGGCAAGGCATTTACTCTTTCTCAGCATGTGTTGTTTTATTGTTTTGTTTTGAGTTTAGCCTTTTTAAAAAAAGGCCGGCTAATAATCACACTCATATCATATGGTTTTAAAATGTTTAGCACTATGCCTGACCCAGTAAGTTCTCTACTTCCTTCTGTTTGAGGAGAGTAGAATAAATTTTGCCTGGTTGCAGAAAAATAGCTGTAGAAAAAACTAGTTCAGGCCAGGCATGGTGGCTGATGCCTGTAATCCCAGCAATTTGGGAGGCTGAAGCAGGAGGATCTTTGGAGCTCAGAAGTTCAAGACTAGCCTGGGCAACATGGTGAAACCCCATCTCTACAAAAACAAAAACAAACAAAAAAAAACCGAAAACCTTAGTTCAGCCCATCTTTCCTTCTCCCATGTTTAAGGGGGAACAATTTTTTGGTTGATTGATTTTTTAACTTCATAAATTATGCAAATGCTATGAGTTGAATGTATCCCACAAAGTTTTGTGTTGTAAATGTAATCCCTAATGCAACAGTGTTGAGAGATGGGATGTGGGGCTGGAGGAGCGGACGGGCCCCGCGGGGCCCGAGGGCAAGGAGCAGCCGCCTGCCTTGGCCTCCCAAAGTGCCGAGATTGCAGCCTCTGCCCGGCTGCCACCCCGTCTGGGAAGTGAGGAGTGTCTCTGCCTGGCCGCCCATCGTCTGGGATGTGAGGAGCCCCTCTGCCTGGCTGCCCAGTCTGGAAAGTGAGGAGCGTCTCCGCCCGGCCGCCATCCCATCTAGGAAGTGAGGAGCGCCTCTTCCCAGCCGCCATCACATCTAGGAAGTGAGGAGCGTCTCTGCCCGGCCGCCCATCGTCTGAGATGTGGGGAGCGCCTCTGCCCCGCCGCCCCATCTGGGATGTGAGGAGCGCCTCTGCCCGGCCGAGACCCCGTCTGGGAGGTGAGGAGCGTCTCTGCCCGGCCGCCCCGTCTGAGAAGTGAGGAGACCCTCTGCCTGGCAACCGCCCCGTCTGAGAAGTGAGGAGCCTCTCCGCCCGGCAGCCACCCCATCTGGGAAGTGAGGAGCGTCTCCGCCGGGCAGCCACCCCGTCCGGGAGGGAGGTGGGGGGGGTCAGCCCCCCGCCCGGCCAGCCGCCCCATCCGGGAGGGAGGTGGGGGGTCAGCCCCCCCGCCCGGCCAGCCGTGCCGTCCGGGAGGGAGGTGGGGGGGTCAGCCCCCCGCCTGGCCAGCCGTGCCGTCTGGGAGGGAGGTGGGGGGGTCAGCCCCCCGCCCGGCCAGCCGCCCCGTCCGGGAGGTGAGGGGCGCCTCTGCCCGGCCGCCCCTACTGGGAAGTGAGGAGCCCCTCAGCCCGGCCAGCCACCCCGTCTGGGAGGGAGATGGGGGGGTCAGCCCCCCCACCCGGCCAGCCGCCCCGTCCGGGAGGGAGGTAGGGGGGTCAGCCCCCCGCCTGGCCAGCCGCCCCGTCCGGGAGGGAGGTGGGGGGGTCAGCCCTCCGCCCGGCCAGCCGCCCCGTCTGGGAGGTGAGGGGCGCCTCTGCCCAGCCGCCCCTACTGGGAAGTGAGGAGCCCCTCTGCCCGGCCAGCCGCCCCGTCCGGGAGGGAGGTGGGGGGTCAGCCCCCCGCCCGGCCAGCCGCCCTGTCCGGGAGGGAGGTGGGGGGGTCAGCCCTCCGCCCGGCCAGCCGCCCCGTCTGGGAGGTGAGGGGCGCCTCTGCCCGGCCACCCCTACTGGGAAGTGAGGAGCCCCTCTGCCCGGCCAGCTGCCCCGTCCGGGAGGGAGGTGGGGGGGTCGGCCCCCCGCCCGGCCAGCCGCCCCGTCCGGGAGGGAGGTGGGGGGGTCGGCCCCCCGCCCGGCCAGCCGCCCCGTCTGGGAGGGAGGTGGGGGGGTCGGCCCCCCGCCCGGCCAGCCGCCCCGTCCGGGAGGGAGGTGGGGGGGGTCAGCCCCCCGCCCGGCCAGCCGCCCCGTCCGGGAGGGAGGTGGGGGGGTCGGCCCCCCGCCCGGCCAGCCGCCCCGTCCGGGAGGGAGGTGGGGGGGGGGTCAGCCCCCCCGCCCAGCCAGCCGCCCTGTCCGGGAGGTGAGGGGCGCCTCTGCCCGGCCGCCCCTACTGGGAAGTGAGGAGCCCCTCTGCCCGGCCAGCCGCCCCGTCCGGGAGGGAGGTGGGGGGGTCAGCCCCCCGCCCGGCCAGCCGCCCCGTCCGGGAGGGAGGTGGGGGGGGTCGGCCCCCCTGCCTGGCCAGCCGCCCCGTCCGGGAGGTGAGGGGCGCCTCTGCCCGGCCGCCCCTACTGGGAAGTGAGGAGCCCCTCTGCCCGGCCACCACCCCGTCTGGGAGGTGTGCCCAACAGCTCATTGAGAACGGGCCAGGATGACAATGGCGGCTTTGTGGAATAGAAAGGCGGGAAAGGTGGGGAAAAGATTGAGAAATCGGATGGTTGCCGTGTCTGTGTAGAAAGAAGTAGACATGGGAGACTTTTCATTTTGTTCTGCACTAAGAAAAATTCCTCTGCCTTGGGATCCTGTTGATCTGTGACCTTACCCCCAACCCTGTGCTCTCTGAAACATGTGCTGTGTCCACTCAGGGTTAAATGGATTAAGGGCGGTGCAAGATGTGCTTTGTTAAACAGATGCTTGAAGGCAGCATGCTCGTTAAGAGTCATCACCAATCCCTAATCTCAAGTAATCAGGGACACAAACACTGCGGAAGGCCGCAGGGTCCTCTGCCTAGGAAAACCAGAGACCTTTGTTCACTTGTTTATCTGCTGACCTTCCCTCCACTATTGTCCCATGACCCTGCCAAATCCCCCTCTGTGAGAAACACCCAAGAATTATCAATAAAAAAATAAATTTAAAAAAAAATACAAAAAAAAAAAAAAAAAAAGAGAGATGGGATGTGTAAGAGGTGATTAGGTCATGAGTGATCTGCCTTCATGAATGGATTAAGGTTGTTATCACGGGAGTGGGTTCATCGTCAAGATAGTGGGTTTGTTATAAAATCGAGTTCAGCCTTCTCTCATCCTTTCCCACCCTCTCATTTTCCGCCATGGGATGATGTGGCAGGAAAGCCCTCATTAGATGCTGGCACCTTCATATTGGACTTTCCAGGCTCCAGAACTTGAAAGTTTGGGAGCTAAATACATTTTCTTCTTTATAAGTTACCTAGTCTTCAGATATTCTCTTATAGCAGCACAAAATGGACCAAGACAGAAAACTGGTACCAAGAAGCAGGGCTGATGCTATAACAAATGCCTGAAAATGTGGAAGCAACTTTGGAACTGGGTAATGCATAGAGGCTGGAAGAATTTAGAGGAGCGGGCTAGAAAACACCTAGACTGCCATGAATGAAGCACTAAGGGCAATTCTTAAGAAGGCTCAGAAGAAGAGAAAAGCTGTCAGCAAAGTTTGGACCTTCCTAGAGATTACTACAGTGATGTTTAGAATGTTCATAGAAATATGGACAGTAGGCCAGGCGCGGTGGCTCATGCCTGTGATCCCAGCACTTTGGGAGCCCAAGGTGGGTGAATCACCTGAGGTCAGAAGTTCGAGACCAGCCTTACCAATATGGTGAAACCTCGTCTCTACTAAAAATACAAAAATTAGCCGGGCATGGTGGCGCACGCCTGTAATCCCAGCTAATTGGGAGACTGAGGCAGGAAAATCGCTTGAACCCAGAAGGTGGAGCTTGCAGCGAGCCAAGACTGCACCATTGCACTCCAACCTGGGTGACAAGAGTGAAACTCCATCTCAAAAAAATAAACAATAATAAAAAATAAATAGAATATCTAGTGGAAAAAATCTCTAAGATGAAAAATATTGAAGGAGCTTCGTGGCTACTTTTAACTGCATGTAGTAAGATGTGAGAGGATAGAAAGAATTCTTTTACCCCTACCAAAGAACTGATGAGAAATAATTAATTGTATTTCTTTCTTTTTCTTTTTTGAGATGGAGTCTGGCTCTGTCGCTCAGGCTAGAGTGCTATGGCGCCATCTCAGTTCACTGCATGCTCCACCTCCCAGGTTCAAGTGATTCTCCTGCCTCAGCCTCCCTGGTAGCTGGGATTACTGGCGTGCAGCACCACGTCTGGCTGATTTTTGTATTTTTAGTAGAGACAGGGTTTCACCATGTTGGCCAGGATGGTCTCGAACTCCTGGCCTCAAGTGATCCACCTACCTCAGCCTCCCAAAGTGCTGGGATTACAGGCGTGAGCCACCGCACCAGGCCTGATGAGAAATAATTTAAAGATTGAATTTATCACTAAAAGGAAAGCAGAGCAGAAAGATTTAGAAAATTCACAGCCTGGCCTGGTAAAGAGTGAAAAGGCATCTTTAGGAGAGCAAACCAAGGCCATAGCCAAGCAAAAATTTGCTAAAGAGATTGTAGGAATAGAGGAAAGCCAGGTTCCATTTATTAAGGCAATGGAAGGATGATCCCAGAGGCATTTCAGAGCTCTTTAAGACAAGCCAGGGCCTTGAGGGCGAGGTTTCCAGAGAGGCCCCTGTGAAACCTCAACATTTGCTGCTCTGTACTGACTCCTGCCCAGGAGTTCGAGGCTGCAGTGAGCTGTAATCATACCACTGTACTCCAGCCTGGACAACAGAGCAAGATGCTTGTCTCAAAGGAAAAGAAACACCCTCTAGCAACCTAGCCGCCCACCACACTACTGAAAACCAAAGAGAAAGAGAAAATTTTGAAGACGACCAAAAACAGAAGACACATTAAATGCAGAGGAACGAAGATAAGAATTATACCAGGTTTTTCATTAGAAACTGTGCAAACCAGAAGACAATAAAGTGACATTTAAAAAATATTGAAAAAACCCACTTTTAACCAGAGTTCTATACTCAATGAAAATACTTTTCAAAAATGAAGGCAAAATGAATACTTCTTTAGAAAACAAACCTAACAATTTATTACCAACAGTCCTGTACTATAAGCAATATTGGCCAGGCACGGTGGCTCCCGCCTATAATCCCAGCACTTCGGGAGGCCGAGGTGAGCAGATCACCTGAGGTCGGGAGTTCAGGACCAGCCTGACCAACATGGAGAAGCCCCATCTCTACTAAAAATACAAAAATTAGCCAGGCGTGGTGGTACATGCCTATAACCCTAGCTACTCGGGAGGCTGAGGCAGGAGAATCGCTTGAACCCGGGAGGCAGAGGTTGTGGTGAGCCGAAATCACACTACTGCACTCCAGCCTGGGCAACAAGAGTGAAACTCCATCTCAAAAAAAAAAAAAGAAAGAAAGAAAGAAAAGAAATGTTAAAGAGAGTTCTTAGGCCAGGCGCGGTCGTTCACGTCTGTAATCCCAGCACTTTGGGAGGCCAAGGTGGATCACTTGAGCCCAGGAGTTTGAGACCAGCCTGGGCAATATAGTGAGACCTTGTCTCTACAGGAAAAAGAAAAGAATTAGCCAGGCATGGTGGTGCACACCTGTAGTCCCAGCTCCTTGGGAGGCTGGGGTGGGAGGACTGCTTGAGCCCAAGAGGTAGAGGCTGCAGTGAGCTGTGATCATGCCACTATGCTCTAGCCTGGGTGACAAAGCAAGAGCTTGTCTCAAAAAAAAAAAAAAAAAAAGTTCTTTAAGCAAGAGGAATATGATATCACAGAATCTGGTATTATACACAAAGCAAAGAAATCTACACACAAAAAATGAAGATTTCTGGAAATGACTAAAATTAAATATAAAAACTTTTTTACTTTTATTTTTGATCTCTATAAAAATTATTGACTTTCAAAAAGAAATATAGTGGAATGTATTATGGGTTTATTGCACATTTATAAATAAAAACAATCATAGAAAAGATTAAAGAGAAGAATTTAAAGTGTACTGTTACTAGGTTCTTCTTTTTTTTGAGACGAAGTTTCGCTCTTGTTGCCCAGGCTGAAGTGTAATAGGGCAATCTCAGCTCACTGCAACCTCCGCTACCCAGGTTCAAGCGATTCTCCTGCCTCAGCCTCCCGAGTAGCTGGGATTACAAGTGCCTGCCACCATGCCTGGCTAAATTTTTGTATTTTTAGTAGAGATGGGGTTTCACCACGTTGGCCAGGCTGGTCTCAAACTCTCGACCTCAGGTGATTGCCCGCCTTGGCCTCCCAAAGCGCTGGGATTACAGGCATGAGCCACTGCGCCCAGCCAATAGTCTTTTTTTTTTTAATTAAAATTTTTTAAAAAAGAAAATAAGTAAATAGTGTCCTATCATATATTAAAGAGGCATCAATATTGTTCGTAGAATTAATTAGCAGATATGAAAAAGTTCTTAAATGTTACAATTTTAAAAATATTGTGCACCCATAAAATATAGCTGTTTACACTCCTTAAAAAAAGAACCTGGTATACGGGCCGGGCGCAATGGCTCACGCCTGTAATCCCACCACTTTGGGAGGCCGAGGCGGGCGGATCACGAGGTCAGGAAATCGAGACCATCCTGGCTAACACGGCGAAACACTGTCTCTACTAAAAATACAAAAAATTAGCTGGGTGTGGTAGTAGACGCCTCTAGTCCTAGCTACTTTGGAGGCTGAGGCAGGAGAATCGCTTGAACCCAGGAGGCAGAGGTTGCAGTGAGCCGAGATCCTGCCATTGCACTCCAGCCTGGGCGACAGAGCAAGACTCCATATAAAAAAAAAAAAAAACAAAAAAAAAAACCCTGATATACAAGGAGATAGCCCTTGATCCAAAACCAAGAGAAAAGACAGACAATAGAAAGAAAGAAAAACAACAACAACAACAAAGCACCAGTGCGGTGGTGGGAGAGGTACCGGCAGGAGCAGCGCTGCAGCCGGGGTCTGGGGTTGACCCGTCTGACTTCCCGTCCGTGCCAAGCCCACTCAAGCCGCAGCCATGTCTGGGGACGAGATGATT
Source organism: Homo sapiens (assembly GCF_000001405.40). NCBI lineage: Eukaryota > Metazoa > Chordata > Mammalia > Primates > Hominidae > Homo > Homo sapiens. Next base: position 92,669,722 of record NC_000010.11, on the reverse strand, counting down.
TTTGATCCTACTGTGAGCAAAAAGAAAAAGAAGAAAAAGAAGCCTTTTATGTTAGATGAGGAAGCGGATACCCAAACAGAGATAACCCAGCCTTCAGAAACAAAAGAAGTGGGGCCAGAGCCAACTGAGGACAAAGATTTGGAAGCTGATGAAGAGGACACTAGGAAAAAAGATGCTGCTGGTGATCTAGATGACTTGAACTTCTTTAATCAAAAGAAAAAGAAAAAAAAAACTAAAAAGATATTTGATATTGATGAAGCTGAAGAAGGTGTAAAGGATCTTAAGATTGAAAGTGATGTTCAAGAACCAACTGAACCAGAGAATGACCTTGACATTATGCTTGGCAATAAAAAGAAGAAGAAGAAGGTCAAGTTCCCAGATGAGGATGAAATACTAGAGAAAGATGAAGTTCTAGAAGAGGAAGACAGCAAAAAAGATGATGGTATCTCATTCAGTAATCAGACAGGCCCTGCTTGGGCAGGCTCAGAAAGAGACTACACATATGAGGAGCTACTGAATCGAGTGTTCAACATCATGAGGGAAAAGAATCCAGGTATGGTTGCTGGGGACATAAGGAAATTTGTCATGAAACCTCCACAGGTCGTCCGAGTAGGAACCAAGAAAACGTCTTTTGTCAACTTTACACATATCTGTAAACTATTACATCATCAGCCCAAACATCTCCGTGCATTTTTGTTGGCTGAATTGGGTACAAGTGGTTCTATAGATGGTAATAACCAACTTGTAATCAAAGGAAGATTCCAACAGAAACAGATAGAAAATGTCTTGAGAAGATATATCAAGGAATATGTCACTTGTCACACGTGCCGATTACTGGACACAATCCTGCAGAAGGACATGCGAATCTATTTCCTACAGTGCGAAACTTGTCATTCTAGATGTTCTGTTGCCAGCATCAAAACCAGCTACCAGGCTGTAATGGGCAAGTGAGCACACCACCGTGCCAAAGCTAACTAATTTGCTAATCACTGATTTTGCAAAGCGTGTTGTGGAGATGTGGCTGGACAGGTTTGCCATCAGAGTGGATATACCGTTGTATTAAAAACAAGATAAAAAACCTGCCAAGATTTTTGGCGAGTGGTTGATTGGTCTGAAGTCCTTACAAGACGCTGATGCTCAAGCTGTTGACATACTCATTGCCTACTTTAACACCTGTCAGAGAAACATGATATGAGGTAAGGAGGTGCTTTTTAAAAATTGTTCATAGATTTCTGTAAAATGCAAGATAAATTAAAGTTATTATAACTGTGAAAAAAAAAAGCACCATACAGCTAATGGAGTTGCAAAACAAGATTTTGAGACAGGGTCTTGCTCTGTATCTAGGCTGGAGTGCAGTAGTGTGATTATATCTCACTGCAGCTTCAACTCCTGGGCTCAGGTGATCCTCCCACCTCAGCCTCCCAAGTAGCTAGGACTACAGGTGCATGCCACCATACTGGTGTAATTTTTTAATGTTTTGTAGAGACGGGGTCTCCCTATGTTGCCCAGGCTGGTCCTGAACTCCTGGCCTCAAGCAGTCCTTCCACCTCAGCCTCCCAAAGTGCAGGGATTATAGGCCACAGCCACCAGGCCCAGCCCAAGCAAGATTTTTAAAAATTGAATTTTCAAAAACTTTAAAGACAAGATGGAGTACTTTGGCTGGAAACTATAAAAAGTAATCGGATGGAAATTCTAGAATTGAAAAATGCAAAAAATTACAAACGAGATGGATTTACTTACTGGCTAGTCAGTTAAAAAGAGAAAAAGACTGGGTGATAGTTGTAAGAAAATAGTTACAGTTGACCCTTGAAAAACATGGGCTTGAACCGTGTGGATCCACTTATAGATTTTCTTCCACCTCTGCTGCTCCTGAGACAGCAAGACCAACCCTTCCTCCTCCTCCCCCCCTCTTCTTCCTCTTCCTCCTTTTCCTCCTCCTCAGCATGAAGACCATAAAGACAAATACCTTTATGATGATCCACATCCACTTAATAGTAAATATATTTTCCTTATGACTTTTTAAATAACATCTTATTCCCTGTAGCTTACTTATTGTAAGAATACAGTATATAATACATATACAAAATATGTGTTAATGGACTGTTTATGTTATCAGTAAGGCTTCCAGTCAATAGTAAGCTATTCATAGCTGAGCTCTGGGGGGAGTCAAAAGTTATACACGGCTGGGCACGGTAGCTCACGCCTGTAATCCCAGCTACTCGGGAGGCTGAGGCAGGAGAATCGCTTGAACCCTGAACCCAGGAGGCGGAGGTTGCAGTGAGCCAAGATCATCCCACTGCGCTCCAGCCTGGCAACAGAGCAAGACTCCATCTTAAAAAAAAAAAAAAGTTATATACAAATTTTCGACTGCATGGGGTGGGACAGCACCCTAACCCCTGCATTATTTAAGGGTCATCTGTTACTAAGGCATGGGTAGGCAAAAGGATGAGAAACATAAAGAGGTTATGGTAAAGAAGTCTAACATACATGTAACTGGCATCTCAGAAAAAAAGAATGGGACTGAAGCTCTATGTATTAGTCAGCTCATGCTGCCATAAAATACCATAGAATAGGTGGCTTTTTTTTTAGATGGAGTTGTGCTCAGTCTGGAGCAGAGTGGCGCAACCTCGGCTCACCGCAACCTCCGCCTCCCAGGTTCAAGCCATTCTCGTGCCTCAGCCTCCCTAGTAGCTGAGACTACAGATGCGTGCTATCATGCCTGGCTAATTTTTGTATTTTTAGTAGAGACGTAGTTTCACCATGTTAGCCAGACTGGTCTCGAACTCCTGACCTCAGGTGATCCTTCTGGCTTGGCCTCCCAAAGTTCTGGGATTACAGGTGTGAGCCACCATGCCCAGCCAGAATGGGTGGCTTGAACAGAAATGTTTTCAAATTGTGGAGGCTGGAAGTCTGGGATCAGGGTGCCAGCACAGTTGGGTTCTGGTGAGAGCTCACTTCCTGGGTTGCAGATGGTGCTTTTTCGCTGTGTTCTTACATGGCAGAGTGGGATGCGGGGTAAAGGGCGCTCTCTGGTATTTCTTTACAAGCACACATTCTGTAGTATCAGAACCCCACCCTCAAGACCTCATTAAACCTTAATTCACTCCTTATAGGGCCTATTTCCAAATACATTCACATTGAGAGTTAGGGCTTCAATATGTGGATTGGGGGGTGGGGAGACACAATTAGGTCTATAGCACTGTATAAACCCTAAGCAGGATACATACAAAGTCACACTGAGGTGTATCAGAGAAAAACTGCTAAAAACCAAAGATACAGAAATATCTTAAAACTAACCAAAGAGCAGAGGCAGGTAGATTGCTTTGAGCCCAGGAGTTCAAGACCAGCCTGGGCAATATAGCAAAACCCTGTCTCTACTAAAAATACAAAAACTAACTGGGCATGATGGTGCGTGCCTATATTCTTAGCTACTCAGGAGGCTGAGGTAGGAGGATGGCTTGAGCCTGGGAGATGGAGGTTGGAGTGAGCTGAAATCGTGCCATTGCATTCCAGACTGAGTGACAGAGCCAGACCCTGTCTCAAAGAAAAAAAAAAGTAACCAAGGAGAAAAAGATTATTTTCATAGGAACAATAATTAAACTGACTATGATTTTGCAACAGAAAAAATTGAAGCAGACAATGGCATGATGCCTTCAAATAACTGAATGAGGTGAGGTCAGTAGGAGTGGTGGCATAAGGGCCTCTAAAAACCTATTCCTCCATAAAAGCAATGAGAATATTGAGATAACTTGTAAAATAAAAATGTTCAGAATTCTGAAATTAACCAAAGCTTTGCAACAACCCAAGGAACTTTTTTTTTTAAGGCTGTATCTCAGTAAGAATGGTGAGCTTTGTGGTGTTTTAACTTGCCTTATTCTCAACACTCTCCTCAACTCCTCATTAGTCTTCAAAACCAACAGTTCTACAATCATAGTGAAGACCAGTAGCCTAGCAGCCACTTGCTAGGACCGAATGGGTTTGGAGATCCCCAAAATAGCATTATTTAAGAACTGTCCTTATTTGGCCTGTCTGACAATTGCCTGGAAACCCTCATTCACAAGACTTGCCTTGGCCAGCCACGGTGGCTCAGGCCTATAATCCCATTGCTTTGGGAGGCTGAGGTGGAAGGATTGTGTGAGGCTAGGCGTTCAAGACCAGCCTGGGCAACAGAGTGAGACACTGCCCCTACAACAAATAAAAAAAAATTAGGTGTGGTGGCACACACCTGTAGTCTCAGCGACTCAGGAGGCTGAAGCAGGAGAATTGCTTGAGCCCAGGAGTTCGAGGCTTCAGTGAGCTATGGTCACACCACCGCACTCCAACCTGGGTGATAGAGCAAGACCCTGTCTCGAAAAAAAAAAACAAACAAATGTTTGCCTTTATTTGACCCAACTCAGACCCCACTCGGTGAGAATAGCCTTTCACCTGGGACATTTGTTGAAAATAATCAGTAGCATGGCTAACATGCAGCTAACTAAGGTAGTGGTAACATTTGAGGCAAACAAGCTGCCCCCCAGCCAAAACAAACAAACAAACAAAAAACCATCGAAAGAAGAGCTGGGGAATGAGGTGTCCATAGGAGGCTTTCAAGACTGCTGACATGACTGGGTGCAGTGGCGCACAACTGTAATCCCAGCACTTTGGGAGGCTGAGACAGGCAGATCACCTGAGGTCAGGAGTTCGAGACCAGCCTGGCCAACATGGTGAAACCCCATCTCCACTAAAAATACAAAAATTAGGGGCTGGGTGCAGTGGCTTATGCCTGTAATCCAGCACTTTGGGAGGCCAGGGCTGGCGGATCACCTGAGGTCGGAAGTTCGAGACTAGCCTGACCAACATGGTGAAACCCTATCTCTACTAAAAATACAAAAATTATCCAGGCATGGTGGCGGGCGCCTGTAATCCCAGCTACTCGGGATGCTGAGGCAGGAGAATTGCTTGAACCCAGGAGGCAGAGGTTGCAGTGAGCCGAGATTGCGCCATTGCACTCCAGACAGGGCAACAAAAGCTAAGCTCCATCTCAAAAAAACAAAAAAACTGCTGACATATTCATGGGACTCTAGAAGGCCATGCACATACATGGGCTTATGTGCATGCTCAAATCTGTCCACATGCCAGGAAAGACCTAAGAAGGTCCTAAGTTCTAACACAACATCTGGCTGACCTTGAGGCACTGCAAAAAAATGATGAAAGCTAAGTCAGCATTTTTAAATGCCTGCCTGAGTGTGAAGGGTGCCCCAACACAAACATACACAGAGCCTCTTGGAAATGGCTGGGAGGGGAAATAGATTCAGTCATTTAAGTAACTATCTAATCACTAGCTGACCACTAAGCTAAGTGAGCAGAGAATTCAGTGACAAAGAAGACATACTTCACAGATTCATTTGGAAAAGCCACTAAAAAAAAACCCAACATCAACAACAACAAAAAAACAACATCAACAAGTCCTTAGAAGGGGAAATACTTTGATTTCCAGAGTAGTCACATTGTATTATTAGAAATGTCAGTTTTTGGCCTGGTATGGTAGTTCATGCCTGTAATCCCAGCACTTTGAGAGGCTGAGGCAGGTGGGTCATTTGAGGTCAGGAGGTTGAGACCAGCCTGGCCAACATGGTGAAACCTCATCTCTACTAAAAATACAAAAATTAGCCAGGCGTGGTGGCACATGCCTTTAGTCTCAGCTACTCAGGAAACTGAGGCATGAGAACTGCTTAAGTCCGGGAGGCAGAGGTTGCAGTGAGCTGAGATAGCAACAATGCACTCCAGCCTAGGCAACAGTGAGACTCTATCTCAAAAAACAACAACAAAAAAGAAATGTCAGGTTTCTGTATAAAATTATGAGACAAGCAAAGAAATAAAGTATTGTTCTTACACAGGAAAATAGCAATCTATAGAAACTATACTTGAAGATATTTTAAATGTGTTCAAAGCATTAAAGGAAATCATGTTTTTAACAATGTTAAAAAGTGCAATAGCTGAAATTAAAAATTCACTAGAGGGACTCACAAGCAAATGTGATTAAGTAAAAACCAAGACTCAGCAAAAGTCTTTTTTGATCCATTGGATCTCTAGGAAACACCAGAATTATCAGTGAAGAATATATTAAATGGCTCAAGGCCTACTGTCAGGCATATTTATATGGCTTGACAGTAAAACTCCTAGACCTGGTTCCTGTTTCTGCAACGAGGTGTTCCTTTAGAGTCAACAATAACTCACAAACAAAACCTACAAGTTCATGCAGGAGGCATCTTGAAGTTCTTAAAAAAGTCAGTTGAAGAAAAATTGAAGAAAAGTCAATTGTGATTGTCTAGTCTGAGGAACAGAAAGGAAGAAGGATAAATAAAAATGAATAGAACATCAGAGACCTGTGGGACATTATCAAGTATACCAACATACACATAATGAGAGTCCTAGTAGAAGAGAAAAGGACAGAAATAATATTTGAAGAAACAATTTGCTGAAAAACAAAATAAATTTGCTGAAAAACATTTATCTCCATATCCAAGAAGCTCAATGAACTCCAACTAGGACAAACTTAAAAAGATCCACACCTATACACATCATCATAATCAAACTGTCAAAATCCAAAGAAAAGAGTCTTGAAGAAAGAGAAATGCAATTAATCATTTAGAAGAGCTCCTTCACATGATTAACAGCTGACTTCTTATCAGTAACCATGGAGGCCAGAAAGCCATAGGATGACATTCAAAGTGCTGGAAAAAAGACTGTCAACCAAGAATTTTATGTCCAACAAAACCAACCTTCAAAGATGAAGCAAAATGTAAGTCATTCCCAGATAAACAAAACTGAGACAATTTGTCATTAGCAAACCTGTCACACAAGAAATACTAAAGGGAGTCCATCTTGAAATGAAGGAACACGAGACAGTAATTTGAGACCACATGAAGAAATAAAGAGCACTGGTAAAGGTAACTAAATAGATAAATATAAAAGACCATATGAATATATTTTTGCTTATAATTCTTTTTTTCTTTTAAATGATTTTAAAGACTACTGCATAAAGTTATAATTATAAACCTGTGCTGATGGGCACACAATGTATGAAGATGTAATTATGACAACATTGCAAAGAAGGGGAAAGGGAACAGAGCTACATAGGAGCTAGATTTTGTATACTATTGATATTAAGTTGGTAGTAACCTAAACTAGATTGTTAAATTAAGTTGTTAATTGTAATCTCCAAAACAACAAGGGAAATGACTCAAAAATATACATAGTAAAAAAAAAAAAATGACAAAGGAATTAAAATGGTATATTAGAAAATATCTATTTAATACAAAAGAGGACAATAATGGAAAATAGAAAGGAAAAATGACATAAGACATATAGAGAACATAGCAAAATGGCAGACATAATTCCTTCCTTAATAGTAATGACTTGAAATTGATTAAACACCCTAGTCAAAAGTAAGAGAATGGCAGAATGGATTTAAAAAATGATTCAACTATATGTTGTCTTACAAGTGACACACTAGATTCAAAGACATGAATATGTTGAAAGTAAAAGGTTGGCAGCCAGGCGTGGTGGCTTACGCCTGTAATCCCAGCACTTTGAGAGGCCAAGGCAGGTGGATCACGAGGTCAGGAGTTCGAGACCAGCTTGGCCAACATAGTGAACCCTGTCTCTACTAAAAATACAAAAATCAGCCAGGTATGGTGGCATGAGCCTGTAGTCCCAGCTACTCAGGTGGCTGAGGCAGGAGAATTGCTTGAACCTTGGAGGCGGAGGTTGCAATGAGCCGAGACCATGCCATTGCCCTCCAGCCTGGGTGACAAGTGAGACTCCATCTCAAAAAAAAAAAAAAAGATGGCAAAAGCTATACCATGCATACAGTAACTCAGAGAGAACTGCAGTGGCTATTCTAGTATCCCACAAAATAGATTTTAAGGCAAAAATTGTTACCAGTTATAAAAAGGGATATATTTTAATGATAAAATATCAATTTATTAGCAAGGCATAACTACAAACATATGTAATTAACAACAGAACCCCAAAATACATGAAACAAAAAAATAACAGAATTGAAGAGAGAAACAGACAATTAAAAAATAACAGTTGGAGACTTAAATATGCCACTTTTACTAATAAAACAAATAGGCGGAAGATCAAGAGGGTAATAAAAGACTTGAACAATACTATAATCCAATTAGACCTAACAGATTTTTATAGAACATTCTACCAAACAACAGTATAAGATACATTTTTCTCAAGTGGGAATGGAACATTTCCAGGATAGACCATATGTTAGGCCTATGACATATGAGACAAATCTCAATACATTTAAATTGACTGCAGTAATACCAAGTATTTTTCTCCAACTATAATGGAACAAAATTAGAAATAAACAACAGAAGGACATTTGAGAAGTTCACAGATATGAGGAAATTAGACAACACACTCCTAAATAACCCGTTGGTTAAAGAAAAAGTCACAAGGGATATTATAAAATACTATGAGAGGAATGAAACAAATATACAACACACCAAAATTTATGGGATGTAACTAAAGCAGTGCTGAGGAAGAAATTTATAGTTGTACATACCTATATATATTATATAACTACACCTACATACATATATGTATGTATGTATGCATATGTGTATCAAGTGATCCTCCTGCCTTAGCCTCAGCTGGGACTACAGGTGTGTGTCACCATACTCAGCTAATTTTTTTTTTTTGAAATGGGATCTCACTCCATCACTCAGGCCAAGATGCGGTGGCACAATCTCGGCTCACTGCCACCTCTGCCTCCTGGGCTCAAGCAATCCTCCCACCTCAGCCTCCCCAAGAAGCTGGGAATAGAGACATGCTCCACCACCCCCAGATAATTTTTTCTATTTTTGGTAGAGATGGGGGTCCCACCAGGTTGCCTAGGCTGGTCTTGAACTCCCATGCTCAAGTGATCTGCCTGCCTTTGACTCCCAAAGTGTTGGATGAAAGGCGTGAGCCACTGCACCCAGCCAAATTTTTAATTTTTTTGTTTTCTAGAGATGGGGTCTTGCTATGTTGCCCAGGCTGCTCTCACATTCCTGACCTCAAGTGATCCTCCTGCCTCAGCCTCCAGAGTAGCTGAGATTATAGGCACAAGCCACCGTTTAAATTTTTCTAGTTTTACATGTGATTTCCTCTTTGATGAGTAGGTTTAGAAGTGTGTTGTTTATCGTTTCTCGGCCTTTTGGCTAAGATCAAGTGTAGAAGTGTGTTGTTTAATTTCCAAATATTTGGACATATTTGGGGAATTAGACTTGACTTAAAATTGAGTTAAACTTGAAGTCAATAATACATAGTTGGAAAATCCCCAACTATGTATTATTGACTTCAAGTTGTATGACTTGTATTGACTTCAAGTTGTGTGTATTGTTGACTTCAAGTTGTATGTATTGACTTCATACTTGTATGATTTCAATTCTTTAAAACTTGTGGAGTTGTTTTTTAATGACCCAGAATATAGTTCATATTGTTTGAATGTTTCAAGCACTTCACAAATAATATATTCCCCTATTGTTGGGTATATTGTTCTATAAATATTCATTAGGTCAAGGTGGTTGACAGAGTTGTCAGGTCTTCAATATCTTTATTGATTTTCTTTCTAGTTCTGTTACTTAAAATGCTCAAGTCTCTAGCTATAACTGTGGATTTGTTTATTTCTCCTTTCAGTCCTGTCAGTTTCTAGCACCTCTGTTGTTAGGTACGTACATATGTAGAATTGTTATACCTCTTTGTGAATTAACATCTTTATCATTATGTAATGTTCCTTTTTATCCTTGGTGACATTCCTCATTCTAAAGTCAACTTTGGTAGTAATATAGACACTCTAGCTTTCTTTTGATGAGGGTTTGTGTATCTTTCCCATCCTTTTCTTGTTTATCTGTATATATCTTTTCTATTTGAAGTGGGCTTCTTGTAGATAGATTATAATTACTTTTTATCCAATCTGATGATCTATCTTTTAGTTTATTTAAACCGCTTACATTTAATGTTATTGGGCTTAAATATATCCATTTGCTACTTCTTTTCTGTTTATTTTCTTTGTTCTTTGTCCCCTTTTCCTCATTTTCTGTAATTCTAAAATTAACTGAGTACTTTTATGAATCTGTTTTATATCCATTAAAATTTTTGCCTAGTTATTGCCCAAAGGCTTACAATATACATCATGAATTAACCATGGTCTACTTTCAAAAATTATTATACTGATTCATATATAGTGTAAGAACCCTGGCCAGGTGCAGTGGCTCCTGCCTGTAATCCCAGCATTTTGGGAGGCCGAGGTGGGTGAATCATCTGAGGTCGGGAGTTCGAGACCAGCCTGACCAACATGGAGAAACCCTGTCTCTACTAAAAATACAAAAATCAGCTGAGCATATTGGCAGGCGCCTGTAATCCCAGCTACTCGGGAGGCTGAGGCAGGAGAATCGCTTGAACCTGGGAGGCGGAGGTTGCAGTGAGCCGAGATTGCGCCATTGCACTCCAGCCTGGGCAACAAGAACAAAACTCTGTCTCAAAAACAAACAAGAAAAAGAGTATCACTCTGTCACTCAGGCTGAAGTGCAGTGGTGCAATCTCGGCTCACTGTGACCTCTGCCTCCCAAGTTCAAGCGATTCTCCTGCCTCAGCCTCCCGAGTAGCTGGGATTACAGGCACCCGACACCACACCTGGCTATTTTTTGTATTTTTAGTAGAGACGGGGTTTCACAATGTTGCTCAAGCTGGTCTCAAACTGTTGACCTCAGGTAATCCGCCCTCCTTGGCCTCCCAAAGTGCTGGGATTACAGGCTAGTTCCAACATATTTCCAACACCCCAGAAGAAAATCCCATACCCATTAAGCAGTCACTCTGCATTCCCCTCACACCAGATTTAACCACCACCAGTCTGCTGACTCTATGAATTTACCTATTCTGGATATTTCATAAAACTGGAATCATAGAATATGTGAACTTTTGTGTCTTCTTTCACTTAGCATAATGTTTTTGAGGTTTATCCATATGGTAGCCTGTATCTGTACTTCATCTTTATGGCTGAGTAATGTATCATACGTATATAATCATTTTGTTTATCCATTCATATATTGATGGGTTGTTTACACCATTGGGTCATTGTGAATAGTGCTGCTATAGCATCTGTGTATAAATTTTTGTGGATGCATGTTTTCTTTTCTCTTGGGAAGACAGCTAGGAATGGAATTGCTGGGCTATATGGTAATTCTGTTTATCTTTTCAGGAACCACCAAACTCTTTGTCTACAGTGGCTGAACCATTTTACATTCCCATGAGCAATGTACAAGGTTCCCATTTTCAGGCTGGGCGGGGTGGCTCACGCCTGAAATCTTAGTACTTTGGGAGGCCAAGACAGGTGGATCACTTGAGATCAGGAGCTCAAGACTAACCTGGGCAACATGGCGAAACCCCATTTCTACTAAAAATATAAAAATTAGCCAGAAAAAAAATTAGCTGGGTGTGATGGTAAGCACCTGTAATCCCAGCTACTCCAGAGGCTGAGGCAGGAGAATCACTGGAACCCAAAAGGTGGAGGTTGCAGTGAGCTGAGATAGCACCACTGCACTCCAGCCTGGGTGACAGAACGACACTCCATCTCAGAAAACAAGAAGGCTCCCATTTTCCAGCATCCCCAACACCACTTTTTTTTTTCTGTATTTTTTGTTATAGCCATCCTTCTGGATGTGAAGTGGTATCTCACTGTGATTTGGATTTGCATTTCTCTGATTGCCACTGTCTTTCTGCTTCCAAGATCCTCTTTTCAGTTTTGGACAGTTTATATATGTCTCGACATGGATCTTTCCTGACTTATCCTATTTGGAGTTCTGCAAACTTCTTGGATGGGTACATTCAAGTGTTTTCACAAATTTGAGGTGTTTGGGGCCATTATTTCTTCAAATATTCTTTCTGCCCCTTTCTCTCTCCTCTCCTTCTGAAACTCCTATTTTGCAAAGGTTGGTATGCTTGGTGGTAATCCATAGCTTTCTTAAATTGCTTCTTTCCTTTGTTCTTCTGCTCCTCAGATGGATAATTTCAATTGATCTACCTTCAGCTTCACTGATTCTTTCTACTGTCTGGCCATATCTGCTATTAGAACCATTTTTTCCCCCTTTTTTTTATTGCACTTTTCAGCTAATTTTTATGGTTCCTTTTTATAATTTCTTTGACAATCTCTATGAGACATTGTTTCCCTGTATTCCCTTAGCTCTTTGAGCACTTTTGAGACAGTTGATTTACAAATTTTGTCTTAAAGTCCAATGTCTATGCTTCCTCAGATAGTTTATTCTAATTTTTTCTGAGTGGGCTATACTTTCTTTGCATGCTTCACAGTTTTTTGTTGAAAGCTGAATATTACTTTACTATTAACTCTGGAAACCAGATTCTTCACTCCTCAGGGTTTTTGTTACTTGCTGTGGGTTGTAGTGGTTTGTTTAGTGACTTGTATATATTTAGAGACAAAGTCTCACTCTGTTCCCGAGGCTGGAATGCAGTGGCGCAATCATAGCTGACTGTAGCCTCAAACCCCTGGGCTCAATCAATCCTTCCACCTCAGCCTCCCAAGTGGTTGGGACTATAGGCCTGTGCCACCATGCCCAACTAATTAAAAAAAATTTTTTTTTTATAGAGACGAGTTCTCACTATGTTGCCCGGGCAGGTCTCGAACTCCTGGGTTCAAGTGATCCTCCCACCTTGGCCTCCCAAAATACTGAAATTACAGGCATGAGCCACAGCACCCGGTCCTAGTGACTTTTCTGACCTGTTTTTGTAAAGTTTCTGTTCTTTGACTTACACGGTCTGTAAGGTGTCTTCCTTTTGCTAGCGTTCAGCCAGTGTGATGAGATTTCTTTGAAAACTGGTTGCCCCAAAAATTGACAAGGGAAGAAAAAAACCCTCAGTTTTTGCTGATTGGCTGTGTTGGGACACACCTTCAGTGCCTATCCGGCCCATCTGAAATTGGCCTTAGCCTTTACTTCCTGCTTGCACTGAGCCTACACATCAGCCAGACATGAAATCTTGGGGTCTTCTCAGGTTTGAATGTGCAGACTGACCTGGGACTGTGCATGGCTTTCTAAATCCCCCAATATACATGGGTGCTTTTGAATAACCTAATTTCCCTAAGAAATTCTGCTGCTTTCCTCTCAGGCTTTAGGCACTCCTTTGTTTACCTCAACGGTAACTTTTTGCCTCAGGCGGCAGCAGGTTGTTCATTTGCCTTACAATATTTAGAGACAAACATGCCAATTTCACACCATGACTGAGTTCTGAGTTACACGAAACAAATGCAGGTGCCTTTTGTCAGTCCTTGAGGCTGCCAGACAGGTCAGAACAAACATAATCTTTCAAGAATAAAATCTCTGGGGCTGGATGTGGTGGCTCATGCCTATAATCCAAGCACTTTGGGAGGCCGAAAAGGGTGGATCACCTGAGATCAGGAGTTTGAGACCAGCCTGGCCAACATGGTGAAACCCCGTCTCTACTAAAAATACAAAAATTAGCAGGTGTCGTGGTGTGTGCCTGTGGTCCCAGCTACTTGGGAGGCTGAGGCACAAATTGCTTGAACCCGGGAGGTTGCAGTGAGCCGAGATCATGCCAATGCACTCTGGCCTGGGTGGCAGGGTGAGACTGTCTCCAAAAAAAAAAAAAAAAATCTCTCTTCTCCCTAGAAACCCAAGACCAGGACTCCACGCTGAGAATGTGTTCTGTGTCTTCAAGACTGTTGCAGAGCTGAGAATGGGGAAAGGGCAAGTAAAACACTGCCAAGCTTTCCTTCTTTCTAGGTTGCCTTTTTCTTGATTCAGCAAATGCTTGGTGCTGTAAACTATTTTCCTGGGTTCTGACAAAGTTGTTTCTGAATGTTTTTGCTTGATTTTTCAATGTTTCTGTGGAGGAAAAGGTCCTTGAAGCTACCTACTTGGCCATTTTTGCTGATGCTACTCTTGGTTACATTCTGAGGGCCCGACATTGTGTATGAAAATTGGTAGAGCTAATTTATGGTTCTGGATGTTAAAATTATCTGGAGATTTATTTTTGCTTCTGTGAGGCAGTGAAATTAGTTGCATCAGCATTCTCAGATAACTTAAACAGTCATGGAATGAGATGACTTAAAGCTGGACTTCAGGCTGTGTGAGGGCCTACTTCTCACTAACCTTGCACCTAGGATAGCCCCTTGGAGTGCAACTAAAAGCCTGCAAGTTTACTAGGCTCCTTCTTCTTTGGTGGTACCTGCATAGTTTATTTTGGGAATGTGAATGCAGCTTGCCTAACCCTCTAAATATACCCATTGCCAGATAAGAAATTATGGAGCAAGCAGGTTAATGTAGAAACCACATTTATTAACCATGGATTTACTGAGGGCAGTTTATTAGGTATTATCCATCGCTTATGCTGACATCTGATTTTGCAGAGAAATTATAGCCATTATTTTATTAAGATAATTCTACGAGATCAATTTAGTTTCTTGAAGTAGCATATATTCAATTCTTCAATAGGGTTTGGTTTAATTTAGCTATCAAAGTCAGATGTCTCTAAACTTTACACACTAAACTCATCGTGAGCAGAAAATTTATTCTTTGTACATATTCCTTCTGTTTTGGTTCTTCAAGCTGAAACATCTCAACTTCCAGAAATATGGTTGCCAGATCAAAAATACCAGAGTCCTAAGGGTTAAGATTTGAATCGAGAAAAAGATACATGTACACATTGTATTATATACAAACAAGCAACAACAAAAAGTTTCATCATGTAAACAAAAGAATATAAATTATAGACATAATTGGAAGTTTCAAACAGTCCTTAAATCATTGTGAGCTTCTCTAAAAGGCACAGGTCTTGGAGTGTGGGCACAGAGCCATTAGTCAGATGTCTGGGTGGTCTCCCATAATAGCAATGTATACTCTTAAGTGGGCTTTTTGTGAACTCTGTCAGGGTGAATGAGTTAGGCCTCTTAAAGGAATGAAATGCTTTCACATTTGGGGCAACAAGTGAAAAATACTGAAAGGAGGGATACAACTAGGGTTAGATTTATTGTTGACAGTGATTTTAGAAATAACCACTAAAAAGGTGTTAAAAGATTTCTAGATAAAATTCTGACTACTGAAAATAAGAAAGGATACCTTTTGTAGCTCTACAAATGGTTTGGTGAAAAATAAAAAGGGAGAAAGTGAGCCGAGGAGAAAGCGAAATAGGGAAGTCTAGGGAGGATGCAAGAAAATACACAAGTCATAGCAAGAAAAAAAACATGAGATGGTCCTTTCTAAGGACAGATGTTGGTGATATTTACCTATGTAAGCTCAAGCTGAGAAGAGTACAGTTCTTATATATTCATTACTTAATAATATACAAGAAAAATACTTTTCATTTGTTATAAAAGAACTACTTTATATGAAAACTAGAAATACGTATTTACATTGCAAATCCCAAATGAAACCCAATTTAATACAAAGTGAACTATAGGGATGACAGAAAAATGGGTAGATATCAAAATTCAACTGAATTTACAGTACTGCCTTATATCTTTTTTAAATTTTGTTTTTGAGACCGAGTCTTGCTCTGTTGCCCAGGCTGGAGTGTAGTGGTGTACCTTTGGCTCACTGCAACCCCGCTTCCTGGGTTCAAGTGATTCTCGTGCCTCAGCCTCCCCAGTAGCTGGGATTACAGGAGTGTGCCACCACGCCCGGCTAATTTTTAACAGAGACGAGGTTTTGCCACGTTGGCCAGGCTGGTCTCAAACTCCTGGGCTCAAGCAATCCACCCGCCTCAGCCTCCCAAAGTGCTGGGATTACAGGCATGAGCCACCGCGCCCGGCTGATATATATATTCTTTTAAAATCTATACACAAGGCTCAAGTTCTGGGGTTTCAGGTTTTATTTTTAAGTTTTCTTTAAAAATAAAATTGCCAACCCCCAAGTGAATTAAAGGTTGATCTGGGCTCGCAGAGGTAATCTGCTCTTTGTAACCAAGTGCTCTGTAGTTTCTTCCACTTTAGACCTCTCCAGTGTGTTAATGCCTCTGTTTTCTTTGTCTTTTCCATGTGATTTTTTATGCTGTGGATTTAAGGCGGGAAAATTAAGTCAATACAAAGTAACATTAGATACACATTAACTACACTCTATTTTCAAAGTTCTCTGGGTTATAGGCAAAAAAACTTAAGTGTAGAAAACCAAAAAAGGTTCAGCACAAGTTTGAGCCAACAATTTGGCAAGTAGCGCCAAATGCCTTCTTTATTTGATCACTAATGGAAGGAGTAGAGTGAAAGAAATATTAATTTTCTGTGTTATTTTCTAAGACATAGTTATAGATTTTACTCCAGGGTAGTGGTTCTCATCAGGGAGTGATTCTGCTGCCACAGGGGACATTTGGCAATGCTGAGAGACTTTTTTGGTGTTACAATCAGGGAGTGCTACTGGCTTTGAGTGAGTATTCACATAGTACACTGTTTTTCTTGTGTACCAACATAGTACAGTCCACAGGAAAGCCCATCACAACAAAGAATTATCCAGTTTAAAATGCCAATAGCACTGCTGTCAAGAAACCCTGCTCTAAGGAAACAAAGATTTGCTGTCATGCAGAAAAGCCAATTCTGTTTTAAGCAGAGAAACTGGTATATGGGCCACCTTAAAAACACTTTTACTTGTTTTTTAAAATTGTATTTTATTTTATTTGTAAAACCTATTTCATATTCCTCATTTGGAAGTTCTATTTCATTGGAATCCTACTTACCCATACAGAACATTAATGGACTGGTGACATTCATTGTACACTCAGTCATCAATGCTGAGACAAATTGTAAACCAACTTTTAAAGTTTTAAACGCAGAGAAAATCCCCACATCACACTGCTACTAGGGAAAAGATCATTTCTGGACTTCAGCTGAAGGTCTAAAACCCCATCCCAAACCCTTTCTGGTACTGTAGGGACTTCCTTGCCATAGCTGAATCACTAAGCCTAATTCAAAATGCCACAGATAATAATAATAAAACGATTTCTGACCAGGGATTAAGTAGTCACCAGGTTCTCTTATCCTTCCCCCTTTCCTAACTTTATAAGATAGAAGAAAAGGATGAAAACTGAAAGAAACATATTTATAGTTCTCTAATAGTAAGGAATAAAGCAAAAGGTGGCAAGAATTTGGGAATAAAATTGCCCAGAGGAAGACAGGGAGGAATTTATGAGAATCTGAGTTGGAACTTTGTTAACTGTTGAAAGCAGGGATGGAGAATCTTTAGACCTTAAGGGAAGGAGCTGTAGATCTATTAAAAAACAGTTACAGGCCGAGCGCGGTGGCTCACGCTTGTAATCCCAGCACTTTGGGAGGCCGAGGCGGGCGGATCACCTGAGGTCGGGAGTTCAAGATTAGCCTGACCAACATGGAGAAACCCCTTCTCTACTAAAAATACAATATTAGCCAGGTGTGGTGGTGCATGCCTGTAATCCCAGCTACTCGGGAGGATGAGGCAAGAGAATCGCTAGAACCCGGGAGGCGGAGATTGTGGTGAGCCAAGATCAGGCAATTGCACTCTGGCCTGGGCAACAAGAGCAAAACTCCGTCTCAAAAACAAAAAAACAAAACAAGACATACACACAAAAAAGGTACAAGCAGCCAGGCGCAGTGGTTCATGCCTGTAATCCTAGCATTTTGGGAGGCTGAGGTAGGAGGGCTGCTTGAGGCCAAGAGTTCAAGACCAGTCTGGCCAACATAGCAAGACCCTCTCTCTATATATATTTAAAAAAAAAAAAAAAAAAAAAAGGTACAAGCATATGCATCTCAGAAGTAGAACTTCAACTGTAAATGTAGATACCAATGTCCTACGTAAGGAAATTTTTCCTTCACACACTCTGTCTAGGCTTGTACCCTCAAATTAGAGGAAAAGATACCAGCACTTTATAGAGCCTCACTTGGAAGTTGTATTTCATTGGAATCCTCCTACTTACCCATAGAGAACATTAAGGGACTGGTGACATTGATTGTGTACTCAGTCATCAATGCTGAGATGAATCATAAACCAACTATGTTCTCAACAGTGTTAAAAAGTGGGTAGGAGGGGCCGGGCCGGTGGCTCACACCTGTAATCCCAGCACTACGGGAGGCCGAGGCAGGCAGATCACCTGAAGTTGGGAGTTCGAGACCAGCCTGACCAACACAGAGAAACCCCCTCTACTAAAAAAAAAAAAAAAAAAAAAAAAAAAAAAAAAAAAAAAAACAAAATTAGCCAGGCATGGTGGCACATGCCTGTAATCCTGGCTACTCGGGAGGCTGAGGCAGGAGAATCACTTGAACCCAGGAGGTGGAAGTTGCGGTGAGCCAAGATCGTGCCATTGCACTCCAGCCTGGGAAACAAGAGCGAAGCTCCGTCTCAAAAGAAAAAAAAAAGTGGGTAGAGGGCTGGGCACAGTGGCTCACGCCTGTAATCCCAGCACTTTGGGAGGCCGAGGAGGGTAGATAACTTGAGGTCAGGAGTTTGAGACCAGCCTGGCCCACATAGTGAAACCCTGTCTCTACTAAAAATACAAAAAAATTAGCCAGGTGTGGTGGTGCATGCCTGTAATCCTAGCTACCCGGGAGGCTGAGTCAGGAGAATCACTTGAACTCAGGAGGCGGAGGTTAAGTGAGCCAAGATCGTGCCACTCCACTTCAGCCTGGGTGACTCAGTCTCAAAAAAAAAAGAAGAGTGGGTAGGAGAGGTCACAGGATTTAATTACACTGGATTAGAGCAGGCAAGGTGCTCAGGAAACATGGGGCAACAGTTTACAAGAGAAGAGCCTCAGGCAGGAGAAATCACTAATATAACCTAAGAGGCCTCCAGTCTCTCAATCTTTTCAATCACTTTGCCTTCAAAGTCTGATTATGGGCAGAGATAGGTTCCAAGACTTACATGTCAAAGGTAGAAGGAAGAGAAATGACTGCTCTCAGTGTCTGAGTATATAGCAAGCAGAAAAGGAATAAATACAATAGCTAAAGATTATCAGCTAAGGATGTAGATTAAGTCAAATTCTGCCTTCATTTATTCTACAGAAAACCCCTTATCAATATCAGATTTTTGTAAATAATTCAAATCATAAGCGTTAACAAGCCATCCTAAGGAATAATTGAAAGGTTTTTGTTGTTCTGCTCACCACGAACAATACCTTTATAATGAATAGTAAATGAATGACTTACATCAGATGTGGAAGGGTTATCTGATATGACATACCTGGAAAAATGGAACCCCGCCAATTGATGAACAATCCACACCAGCATCTACAGATGGCTCTTGACTTAGAGGTTCTTCAGTATACTGCCCCAGAACTGCCTCTTCTACATCCACATCCTAAAAGAAGAAACTGGATGAGTGACTAAGTCCAAGGGCTTAAAAGTCATCACAAGAGTAACAGCAGCTTTGAGTATAACACAATGCCCATGGTATAATATAAAAGTTAAACCTCAACAAAATTATTAGAAAGTCTACAAATTAATGAAAATAATTCCTAATATATTTTTATAGAGAGTAGAGGTTCCTATATAACAATGTTACTAAGCACAATATTAAGTATTGGCTATTATTATCTACTAGCATAATTTAAAAACTAGTAAGATTAAAAGAAACAAGCCTAAGGGCTAGGCCTATCATTAATGAGAGGCGGGGTAAGATTGAGGGGTAAACAGTAAAATTCTTCACATGAAGTCAGCCACATCAAGAGTTCATAAAAGAGTTCTATTATAAAATATGATCCTTTAAATTTACCGGAATTGTCTCTTCTTTGTTGTTTTCTGAACAGTTTAGCATCATTAACAGCTCAGGCTGTTTCCTTTTCAGCTGATCAAGGAGATGTTCACGTGGTTCAGTTCTTACCAGTGTTGATGGGTATAAATAACTTTTCCTCTGTGGTGTCGTACCTTTAACGGACATTAGATAAGAGGTAAAAATTAAAGTATGAGATGTAAATATTTTTAAAAAAACCTAAAACTTCCTAATTAATCTTGTCTTCTAAAAATATAAAAATATAATTGCCATATATGAGGATCAGTCTTGCTACCTGTCAGACATTGTTTGCAACTAACAATACTTTCTAATTTGATGACAGACTTTACTGTTTTCAAGATTCATCCTACTCTCTAAAACATGAAGTTTACCATCTCTGAGGATATATAAAAGATGTGTTATAAGCTCTAAAAGGAGTTATAGTGTTCTGAAAAAAATGGCAGCATTATTGGAATGAGTAGATTTCCCAACATGATTACTTTGATAGGAGTAATCATTTCACTATAAATGTGGTGTGGTGGTTAAATATTAACTAGTTATATACATATACTATGTTGCCCAGGCTGGTCTTGAACCCCTGGGCTCAAACGATCCTCCTGCCTTGCCTCCCGAAGTGCTGGGATTATAGGTGTGAGCCACCGCATCAGGCCCCCAGTTATATTTCTCTGTAATAAGCTCATGCTCTCATGATTTACAAAAGTACTTGCCTTTTCACTCAACATTTACATTCCTAACTTCATTGAAAAGTAGACAGTAAATCCTACAGGTCTCTTGGGGAATAAATAAACCAACATTCTATGTAGCACCATCCCCTTTTAACAATTGCTTTTTAAATTAAAAAAAAAAAAGAGTTTTGTGATATAATTTACATACCATAAAACACTCATTTTATGTGTACAATTCAGTGGATTTTAGTGAGTTTACAGGGTGTGCAACCATTACCATAATCCAATGAAGAACCCAATTATTCATGCTGTGTAAAACAGCTTGTTACATCTCTTCCATGAAGACCTCCCTGAATCATTACAGCCTATAATGATCTTTGCCATATGTGATCTCTCAAAATGTTGATTCCTAAATGCTAATGGTCCATGGTGATCCCTGATCTCTTAAAACAGGGATTCCTAAATGGCAATAGTCTATGACAAAATGAGAGGGACACAGAACAAAATGCACAATGTGGTAAACTTTGCATTAAACTAGATTTAGTCAGTTACATCTCTCCCATATTTGTGGTATTAAAATGTCCTTTTACAAACAGTGCTAGGTTTGTATTTGTTTTAAAAAATCCCCTATTAACAAAGTCAACTCCCTGAAAGTATGTGAAATTATACTGAATTGTGATACCACCTGTATCATGACACTTGATTAAAACTATTTTAAGGTTCCAGTTTTCCCATTTTGAGTTGATTACAGTGAGATGTTAAATTTCTGTCAGGCAATGGCAGGACCTAATTTTTCTGAACATCTGACACTACATAGAGTTGAATTCGACTTCAAAAAATTTAACAATTCTATTTCTCTTTTAAAGTACCTGTTGGGATATCCAGTTTCAGATCCTGTTCCAGAAAGCAATTAAGCTTAGTCAAACCAATTTTTATGGTTTCATTAAGTTCTAGATTTTGTGCTATCAATTTATCTTCATCAATAGTCATCTGATCAAGAAAAATGTTATGCTGTTTCTCATGAGCTGCCTTACGTCCATCTGATTTCTCAGTGATGTCTGAACTTGAAGCCTCACAACATTGGCTTACAACCTGTAAATGATGCAAATAAATATTTATTACTAAAATTAAAGTTGCCAGTGTTTTATTCAACATCATATTTTCCCTTACCTTTTCCATAATTTTTTTTTTTTTTGGAGACAAGTCTCACTCTGTTGCCCAGGCTGGAGTGCAGTGGCATGAGTAGTGCTCACTACAGCCTTGACCTCCCAGGCTCAAGCCATCCTCCCACCTCAGCCTCCCAGGTAGCTGGGACTACAGGCATGTACCACCATGCCTGGCTAATTTTTGTATTTTTTGAAGAGATGGCATTTCACCATGTTGCCCAAGCTGGTCTCAAACTCCTGGGCTCAAGCAATCTGCCCACCTTGACCTCCAAAGATTACAGGCATGAGCCACCACACCTGGCCTTCAGTAATAAAAGATTTAAAAACACATACAAAAGTAGAGAGAACAGTATAATTAACTCCCTTGTATTCATTACCCAGCTTCAACATTTACCAACAAGTGGAGTACAGACATTTACCAACAGGACTGGCCACTCAACTCCTCCATAAACCCAGGATTATTTTGAAACAAATCCTGTATCATTTCATCCATTTACTTCAGCATGTATCTCTAAGAGGTAAGAGCACTTTAAGACCACTATCACATCTAAAAAGGTTAACACTGATTCCTTCCTATCAAATGTCTAGTCCATGTTCAAACTTCACCAGTCGTCTCAAATGTGTGTCACAATTGCTTTGTTTGAACCAGAATTCACCACTAGATTTGGTTCATAGGTCTTAAGTCGGTGACTATATAATTTATCATCCAAATTGGGACACCTTTTGGAGTGAAAGGGCCCATTCTTAATAATCATTCTAATACAACAATATCAACAAGGACTGTCTCAGGCAAACTAAGACTTAAGGACCTCTAGTCTTAAGTCTCTTTTGATATACAGGTTATTGTTTCTCATATTTTTTCCCTTGAAAAAAAAAACTTGTTGCTGAAGACATGAGGTCTTTACCCCATTGAACATCTCAAATTCTGGATTTGGTCAACTGCATTTCTATGCTTTATTTTCTACAAACTGGTTAGACCTAAAGGCTTGATTTAATTCAGGTTTAATTTTTTAGCAAGAGTATTTCATAGGTAGTACTGCAAGCACAAAATGCTTTGCTGTGTCTCTCATGTTAAGATTTATCAGTGAGTTCAGGTATGGTTAGCCTATTAATTATAAAGTTCCCCAACAGCTTTTGATCAAATGGTTTAAGCCATCATTAACATCCACAGGGGTTATTTTATTAAGAGTTGCATACTGGTGATATATTAATTCTATCATTTCTTCTCCATTTTATTAGCTTAGAGTCTAATGAAACACTTTTCTTCATTACCCTGCTAAACCAAGATATGGTTCTTTTAGGAAAGACAGATGGATGCTAAATTTTTTCTTCTTCTTTACCCATTTTCAGGACAATGTGTTGCTTCCCTAGCATGATCCAAAGGAGACCTATGAAATTTTTATGAGTTCGTAAGTTTTAATATATTTGATATGTTTTAATCCATTATGGCCATTATTCTTTTTGATGCTCAAATTATGCCACCTTTGAAGATGGGGAGGTTGGCTACTAAGACCTTTTGACAACCTCAGAAATCTTTAACAGCTTCCTTACTCTCTGGTATGACAAGATCTCTAGGCTCATATATTATACATTTCCTATCACAAATCTGAAATTAGCTATTTGTATACAAACTCTAGTTCCTTTTAGTGAAAACAGCTTATATAGATTAAAAATTTTAATTCTTTGTACCTACTTCCTGAGAATGTTAGTAAAATCCTATTAATGCAAAGAAAGAAAAAACCAAGTTACAAAGGGCTCATGCAAGCGTTAAGTTCAAGCAAATCCATAAACCTATCAAGTATCCTTTAGTTACCAGAACAATAACCTAAATACTTAAAATAATAATAGGTTTGAATGTACTTGGAGAAAAGTAAAAAGCAAAGATAGGCCGGGCGCAGTGGCTCATGCCTGTAATCCCAGCACTTTGGGAGGCCGAGGCGGGTGGATCATGAGGTCAGGAGTTTGACACCAGCCTGGCCAATATAGTGAAACCCCATCTCTACTAAAAATACAAAAAAATTAGCCGGGTGTGGTGGCAGGTGCCTATAATCCCAACTACTCGAGAGGCTGAGGCAGGAGAATCGCTTGAACTTGGGAGGCGGAGGTTGCAGTGAGCTGAGATCGTGCCATTGCACTCCAGCCTGGGCAACAGAGTGAGACTCCATCTCAAAAAAAAAAAAAAAAAAAGCATATATAAGTGGAAGGTATTACATATCAAAAGACAGGGTGCCCTTCTTTGAAGAAACTACTAAGTCAGAAACCAAGGATAAATACAGGAAAGAAACTGTACAAATGTTAAATTAATTCCAAGATTGAGAAGACATATAACAAAGCACAAAACGAGATCATCTGTAAGCATACCAAATATTATACTTAAAAGTTTAAGTCATTATAGCTTAAAATATCATTTGTTTTGAAATCTATTCTTAGCCAAGAATATTTAACTTTCTGATTATTATTCTCCCCAAAGTAAGTTCCACTTACAAAGTTATTACCTCCAATAAGTTGTGAAGTTCCTGTTCCCTTTCATTTAAGGAAGATACCCACTGTTCAGAAAAATAAACTGTTCTTGTGTTCAGAGATTCACATCTCTGTTCAGTCTCTTGAGATATTTTTTCCAGGTTGCCATTGAGTTTATCAGAGTGTTTCACAGATTCTTCAACCAATTTTGTACCTTCTTGGTTAAAATTTCTGAGTTCCTGTGAGAAGCCATCAGAATCAGCACAAAATTTTTGACTGTGAAAAGTCATTTTGTTGACTATATCCTTAGATTTCCTATAGGAAAAGAGAATGACACTGTTGAAATGGGGAATTAAGACTCAAAGGATATATAACTTCCCAAGATCACTCAGCTCTTAAGTGGCAGATCTGAACGTGGACAGTCTGGCTCCAGGGCCCGTGATCTTAGTAAATCTTCTGCATTGAGAATGGATGCCTTGGCCACTGTCTTTTCACAGCATTGCCATTAAATGACCTTTGAAAGGATCATCTTTGCTCATGAAACCTTTCACAACCCTCCTCCAGTTATGATGCTTTCAAAATCTGTCTACTTGTTTTATTCCTCTTACTAGGCAATGTTACTTCAGGGCATCTACTACAGCCTCTTGTCTAGTCCCTAAATTGGACAATCAGTCATTTATTCTGTTATTAAGCAGTTTCCCTTGCCTAGTATGTAAAACAAATCATGAACATTACAAATGTTATGTTTAAATTAGCTATAAAGCTTTCTAATAATTAAAATTATATTGGGGTGTGACAAATTATACATATAGAACAATGTAACATAAACTTGATATAATATTAATGTTGGTTAGACATACATTTAAAATTCATTGATAATTTCCATCTCGGTAAGTTGCCCTATAATAGCATTCCAAGTTATCTTACAAGATTTAAACCTTGTGGAATGAAGTGACTCTCTATTACCACTAGATGGTACACCACGTGGGTAAACCAAGTGAGTCAGCAAAGATGTTAAAAACCAAACCTACACGTGAAAGTCACAATGACTGAAAAAAGGGCAAGGCATAGTGGCTCACACCTCTAATCCCAGCACTTTGGGAGGCCGAGGCAGGTGGATCACCTGAGGTCAGGAGTTAGAGACCAGTCCGGCCAATATGGTGAAGCCCTGTCTCTATTAAAAATACAATAAATTAGCCGGGCGTGGTGGTGGGTGCCTGTAATCTCAGCTACTTGGGAGAGAGTGAGGCAGGAGAATTGGTTGACCCTAGGAGGCAGAGGTTGCAGTGAGCTGAGATTGTGTCATTGTACTCCAGCCTGGGCGACAGAGCAAGACTCTGTCTCAAATAAAAAAAACAAAACAAAATCTCACAACTTAATGGGAAGACGAGATTGAGTTAAAAGTACTATAAGCCATGACAATAAATGCCAAACGCAGTTATGTGCAGTGTGTACATAAACATCACCTAGATTCCTGGGTGATGAATACAAAGTCCCTAGACCATACTGGGAAACTCTGGTGTAGACAATAAATGTCAGGAAAGCAGGAAAAATGATTTGCATGGGCCTTAAGAAAGTATATCATACTTCCCTTCCTACTTCAATCCTACTCTAGTATTTCCTCCACGGCTATGGAATGGCCTAGAAATCCATCAGTCTAGATACTAGGAATAAAAAGTAGGACATACTTTTTTGATTCAGCATATAGGAAGAGTTCACAATGGAACATGCTATACTTAACAGGATCAAAAACAGGGTTGAAAAACAAATGACAGAAGTTAGGTAGGGATATATAAATGATAGCTAGAGTTCCAGAACAGCACTGTTCAACAGAAGTATAATAGAAGCCACATATGCAATTAAAAATTTCTGAGGCGGGCAATCACAAGGTCAGGAGTTTGAGACTAGCCTGGCCAATATGGTGAAACCCCCGTCTCTACTAAAAATACAAAAATTAGCCGGGCATGGTGGTAGGTGCCTGTAATCCCAGCTACTTGGGAGGCTGAGGCAGGAGAATTGCTTGAACCTGGGAGGCAGAGGTTGCAGTGAGCCAAGATTGCACCACTGCACTCCAGCCTGGGTGACAGACCAAGACTCCCTCTCAAAAAAAAAAAAAAAAAAATCTAGTAGATACATTAAAAAAGAAAATAGATAAAGCAATTCAAGTAACAATGTATTAGGTGTTTATTGCACATATAAACACCTAAGTAAAACATATGAAAATAATGACAAACGGGAAAGAGGAAACAGGAATATACTATTATAATGTCCTTTCACTACACATGAAACAGCAAATTATTTGATAATGGATTCAAATTATCTTAAAATGTATACAAATTCAAATTATCTTAAAATGTATACTTTAAATCCTAGACATACTACTAAAAAGGGAATATTTAAAAAGTATAAATAAGTCAATGGAAGAGATAAAAACATAAAAAGTGCTCAATTTAAATGAGGAAAGGCAGCTGGGTGCAGTGCCTCACACCTATAATCCCAGCACTTTGGGAGGCCAGGGCAGGTAAATCACTTGAGGTCAGGAGTTCGAAACCAGCCTGGCCAACATGGTGAAACCCCATCTCTAGTAAAAATTTAAAAATTAGCTGGGCATGGTGGTGTGTGCCTGTAGCCCCAGCTACTCAGGAGGCTGAGGCAGGAGAATCACTTGAACCCGGGAGGCAGAGGTTGCAGTGAGCCAAGATTGCACCACTGTACTCCGGCCTGGGCCACAGAGCAAGACTCTGTCTCAAATAAATAAATAAAAATAAAACATCATAGATTATAAATTTGATGAAAAAGCAAGACCCAACTACATGCTGTCTATAAGAAACCCACTTTAAATATAAAGACTTAGACCAAAAGTAAAGAGATGGAGAAGGATACATCATACAAATAGCAATCAAAGGAAAGCTAGAAAACCTGTATTCATTTCAGACAAAACAGACTTCAGAACAAGAGCTTATCAGAAATAAAAGTGGATATTACATAATGATAAAGAGGTCAATTCTCCAAGGAGATATAATAATCCTAAATGTATATGCACCCAACAACAGAGTTTCAGATACACGAGGCAAAAACTGATAGAACTAATAAAAAAAATAGATAAATCTACAATTAGAGATTTCAATACTCCTCTCTAAGTCACTGATAGAACAAATAGGCAGAAACTCAGTAAGGCCGTGGATGACCTGAATAGCACTATCAATCAACTTGATCAAAGTGACACATACAGAACACTTCATGCAACAAAAGCAGAATACAAATTTTTCTCATGTGGGTAGCACACAAACAAAGCATTATCAGAATAACACTGCAAGGGCTCTAAAAACTAAATTGTCAGTGGAACCACAGCCCATAAAAGTGAGCCTGGATCTGTATGCTAAGCCTAAACAGGGTGAATGCCAGCTAAAAAATACTTAAATAGGATCCTGAATCTCCTAACATAATACCCAAAATCTTCAAGGTACAATAGGAAATCACTTATCATATATCAAGAACCACAAAAATCACAAGTTGAATGAGAAAAGACAATCAATAGATGGCAACAACAAGAAAACTCAGATGTTGGAA
Source organism: Homo sapiens (assembly GCF_000001405.40). Taxonomy (NCBI): domain Eukaryota; kingdom Metazoa; phylum Chordata; class Mammalia; order Primates; family Hominidae; genus Homo; species Homo sapiens. The sequence continues at coordinate 92,642,107 of NC_000010.11, read as the reverse complement.
TTGTCTGGCAAGGATTTTAAAGCAGCCATCAAAAAATGCTCCAAAAAGAAATTAAAATACTCCTGGAAAAGAAAAAAATCCTAGCTAAGAAACAAGGTATAAAAAAAGCAAATGAAAATTATAAAACTAAAAATAAAAAAGCAATAACTGAAAAAACACCTCATTGAATGGGTTTAACAGTAGGTTAGAGATGACAGAAGGAGACTCAGTGAATATGAAGACAGATCAATAGAATTTCCCCAATGTGAACAACAAAGAGAATATATGTATCTATAAGAAATATATTCTACATATCTCCTGAGGGACCAAAATAAAAGATCTAACATTTGTGTCATCAAAGTCATAGGGGCAGATGAAAAAGAGTATAGGGCTGAAAAATATTCAAAGAATTAATAGATGAAAATTTCCCAAGTTTTGGTGAAAGGCATAAGCCTACAGATTCAAGAAGCTAAACAAAACCCAAATAGAATAAACTCAACGAAATATAAGTAGACAAAATATAATCAAGTTTCTAAAGACAAAAAAGTTTTGAAAGCAGCTATAGGGAGACTGCCTATAAGGGAACAATTACTTGAATGGCAGTGGATTTCTCATTTCATAGAGGCCAGAAGAAAATGGAAATATTTCAAATGCTGGAAAAAAATAATTGTCAACCCTGAATTCCACAGCCAGTGAAAATACCTTTCAGGAATGAAGGGGAAATCAAGACATTCTTAGACAAAGAAAAACAATTTCTGTCCAGCAGACCCACCCTTAAAGACTACTTCCCACCAAAGAAAGCTTGAAACTTTAGGAAGTTTAATTTCAGAATTAAATGGGGAAAAATAGGGTAAATATAGTATCTTTCTCCTCATGAGTATAGAATACTCAATAGGCAAAAAACTGAAACTTGACAAATCTCCTATGTTTTATAAAAATTTTTAAATGGATCATGAATATAAATGTTAAACCATAAAGTTATAAAATTCCTAAAAGAAAACATAGGTCTGACTGTAGTGTATGTTAAGTATGCGGAACTGGCAAGCAATGAGGCTACAAAGCAACATTAAACTCTAATACAGGCTGGGAGCAGTGACTCACACCTGCAATCCCAGCACTTTGGGAGGCCGAGGTAGGAGGATCAGTTGAGACCAGGAGTTCAAGATCAGCCTGGCCAACGTGGCGAAACCCCATCTCTACTAAAAATACAAAAAATTAGCCAGGCATGGTGGTATGTGCCTGTAATCCCAGCTACTCGGGAGGCTGAGGCAGGAGAATCACTTGAACTCAGGAGGCAGAGGTTGCAGTGAGCCAAGATCACACCACTGCACTCGCGCCACTGTACTTCAGCCTGGGCTACAGAGCAGGCTGTTTGTTTTTGTCTGAAAAAACAAAACAGAGCCGGGCGTGGTGGCTCACGCCTGCAATCCCAGCACTTTGGGAGGCCGAGGCGGGCGGATCACGAGGTCAGGAGATCGAGACCATCCTGGCTAACATGGTGAAACCCCTCTCTACTAAAAATACAAAAAATTAGCCAAGCATGGTGGCGGGCATCTGTAGTCCCAGCTACTCGGGAGGCTGAGGCAGGAGAATGGCGTGAGCCTGGAAGGCGGAGCTTGCAGTGAGCTGAGATCACTCCACTGCACTCCAGCCTGGGTGACAGAGCAAGACTCCGTCGCAAAAACAAAAACAAAAACAAAAAACAAAACCCTAATACAGGAATCAGCAAACTTTTTCTTGAAAAGCCAGATAGCAAATATTTTAGGCTATTGTTCAATGACCTGGATGCAATGACTCAACTTTGCCACTGCAGTGCAAAGGCAGCCAAAGACAACATGTAAACAGTGTCCAATGAAATTATTTGCAATAACAGGCATCCAGCCTGCTAGCCACAGTTTGCCAAACCCTGCTCTAGTTAGTATATTTTTCATCAGTAATATAGGTTAGAAATTGTGAAATTACTTAGTGTGTTTTCTAAGATTGAGGAAATTCGAAAATATATTGTGGGTAACAGCCAGGTTTTTCAATGTCTTAAAAGAGAGCACAAATACGCAATGAAAAGACATTTATATGCATGTATATATATACATACACACATACATAATAAAATATTAACAAAAGAGAAATTTGAAAGTACACAGAGGAATTATTTGTACTATTTAAAGCTTTTTCTTCTTAAATAATTTCAGACTTACAGAAAAGTTTAAGAGAATTTAAAAATAGCTTACTGCTGTATATTTTCCTGGACACTACTAAGTGGTTTCTGTATATTTTCACACTTTTCCTCCAAAGCACAGAATCTCTCTGTCCAAAGATTCATTAACTTGCAAAGTTCCTGTAAGAAAGGTGTGGGAAGTGAAGAGACTTAAAATTATGACACTTGAACATTTTTTATGACTGATAACAAAACAAGAAGTATTGTCCATAGGTGAGAATTATATAAATTCTTGACAAGAGATAAAGTTAACTTTACCTTTCTTCTACAGAGGAAAGCAGTGGAAGTGATATTAAAATGTAGGATTTGTTTTTTTTTTTAGAGACAGGGTCTCACTCTGTTGTCCAAGCTGTAGTGCAGTGGCACAATCAAGGCTCACTGCAGCTTCAACCTCCTGGGCTCAAGGGATCCTCCTTCCTCAGCCTCCAAGTAGTTGGGACTACACAGGCATGAGCCACCATGCCTGGCTAATTTAAACAAATTTTTTTTGTAGAGACGTGATCTCGCTATGTTGACCAGGCTGGTCTTGAACTCCTAGCCTCAAGTGATCACCCTGCCTCAGCCTCTCAAAGTGCTGAGATTACAGACATGAGCCATCACATCCAGCCAGGATTTTTTAAAAAGTAAATAATTAGCAAACTTTACTATTTTAGCTGTAAGTAACAAATTACTTTCAGTGTACCTCAAAACTAATCAAACAACCCATATATCACATTATGTTTAAGACCCACTTTGACAGATATATATAGTTGCTTTTTAACTGATAACACTGCTAGAAGGGAAAATTAATGTGATATACTAACGGGTCAAGCAATCCAAAAATATTATCAATTACTGGAGCTAAAAAATGTTACAGAACCTAGTTGGATCATATTAACAAAATGTAAATAGTCTTATCTTTGCTCATATTTTACATCTTTGAAAACAAGCTCTTATAGGCATATAACATGCTACATTGCAAAATGAAGAAGCCATCCTAATGACCAAAGAAGAGCTGAAAATGCATCCAACATTCTTATTCACTCTTCAGTCTGCTGGTTGGCCAGTATCTCTGAATAACACATCAGTTGACAATACATATCTAACATTCTGATTATGAATAAAGTCTGTCAGTATTTTTACTAGTCTCAAAGGTATTATCAGATTAATAATTTGAATGCTAATGCAGGTATTATATTTATCTATATGTAAATGTGTTCAAAGTTTTACATAATTATTTTAGTAGTGCTCATTTCAAGTTCTGGAAAACCTAAGAAATAGCTCACATACTGAACTTGCTTCCTTAAAGCCAGGAAAGCCAAACCATTCATGCTAAGATACTTTTCAGATCAGATTTTTTTGTATTGTTTTTTTAAAGAGCTGTCTAACAATTTTAAGCATTTCAAAACAGCAAATTTATAAAAAGGGGATCAGCCTTAGAATATACACCTAAAAAGTTCTCAACGGGTTTAAGGGAAATACCCTATGTAGATGTATGAGAAAATGCTGCAGTTTTAAGTTGCCAAAAAACACACAAAAGAGCCACTCAAACATGGATGCTTTTCAGGTAGTATGATCACTACCACCTTCTGCAAGATGATCTACATACTATTAGATGCTCACAGGGTCTCAGTTTCCTCATTAAAAATCTGACTAGTAATAGAATTTATATCTATATTGATGGGAGGAATAAACACAGTGAATTGCTCAATAAATGTTAACTATTATAAGAGTTCTGTCATATTATAATAAGCTCATTTAATAAAACTTTAGACAGTCATTATTAAAGTCTTAAGAATACCAGAAGCTGTTTTTCAGATATCTGATATTTACAGATTATGGTTTGAAGGCTTGGTTTTGGTTTAAAGCCTCATATAATGAGGAACAGTTTACAGGGAAGATAAATCATGAATTACATTTATAATCAATAAGAATTAAAAGTTGTATCGATTTACTATGTTTTAAATGTCTATCAGTGAGACAGAAATAAGAGAAAGTAGGACTTGGTTTATGAAAGACAACTATCCATGCCATCCTAGAAACAACTTAGCAGGTTTTAATGTAGATACATTTTCACTTTAAATGTTATAACCATTCTTCTCTAAAGGTATGTTTTTCCAGATTCATCTTTCATCTTGATGTGAGAAAAGGACTGTTTTGTCATATTGTGGTTCTGCATGGGGTTCTAGATGTAGCAAAACTTCAAATATTAAGAGAAGTATTCTCAATTGTTCTACAATAATTACTGTTATAAGCAACAGTGGCTATGGTATTTTCAGGTTTCAGCTTTTACAGTATTCAGATTGTGTAACATAGATTAATTATCAAGTCATATCAAATCATCCTAAAACTCTCTTTCTGTACTCCCCAAGTCCGCTAAACAACATACCTGGGAATGGGTCTGCTTTATTGTCTTCAGGTCTTCAGTTAGGTTTCCACATTGCTTTTGTGACTCAACCAAGGAACAAATGGTATTTTCTTGTAGTTCATGTAGATTGTTACACAGTATACTGAGAAAGCCATCTAGTTCCTTTTTTTGATCTTCTATCTTTGAAGAAACAAAAATGAGTTTCCTTCTTAAACAACACATCAATTTTGAGATATTAAGAACATAGCATTTGTTACCTTATCGGCCACTGTCAATGAAGTCTTGAAAATATGCTTTAGTTGACTATTGATTTTCAGTATAGACACCACAGTTGGGGATAAAATCATTTCCAGTGAACTTAGAAGATCAGTCTTGAGTACATTCTGGTTTCAGAAATAAACAAATAGGTCTTTAAAAAGAATATTTCCACTTCTGTAAACCTTTCTAAATGATATCTTAAATACTTTGGTAGCTAAACATTCACATTAAAATTTACATTTCCATTCTCCATTCTTTTTTTTTTTTTTTTTTTTTGAGACGGAGTCTCATTCTGTCACCCAGGTTGGAGTACAGTGGCAACATCTTGGCTCACTGCAACCTCTGCCTCCTGGGTTCAAGTGATTCTCCTGCCTCAGCCTCCGGAGTAGCTGGGATTATAGGTGTGAGCCACCACACCCAGCTAATTTTTGTATTTTTAGTAGAGATGGGGTTTCGCCATGTTGGCCAGGCTGGTCTGGAACTCCTGACCTCAGGTGATCCGCCCCCCGTGGCCTCCCAAAGTGCTGAGATTACAGGCGTGAGCCACCGCGCCCGGCCCCATTCTCCATTTTTTATACTCTACATAGATAAATCAATACAATAATACAATAATTTATTATATTACAATAAATATAATAATTTCTCTTTTTTCAAGCCCAGTGAAAACACAGAATTTCTTTTTTTCTTTTTTTGAGATATAGTTTCACTCTCGTGGCCCAGGCTGGAGTGCAATGGCGTGATCTTGGCTCACTGCAACCTCCGCCTCCTGGGTTCAAGCGATTCACCTGCCTCAGCCTCCCAAGTAGCTGGGATTACAGGCACCTGCTACCACGCCTAGCTAATGTTTGTATTTCAGTAAAGACAGGGTTTCACCATGTTGGCCAGGCTGGTCTCGAACTCCTGACCTCAAGTGATCCACCCACCTTGGCCTCCCAAAGTGCTGAGATGAGCCACCGCACCCAGCCAGAACTATTTAATAGTTTAATGAAATAGAAGTCAGAAGAATTCAAAAGAGGAAAATGACAGTTAATAAGATTTCAGCACTCCAAACAAAATAAATTTTTAAAAACCTACAGGTATATTTTAAGAAAATAAATTTCAAACAAGTTTAGGTTACCAGTCAAAAAGGCTGAGACCAAGTAGTCATCAAGATTAGCCCTTGGGCTGGAAGTACTTAACTTTGAAGATCTGAGATGACTTACATCCTATTGTATCAGAAGAACTTGTGAAAGATGTTGTTCTTGTCAAGAAATAGGGAAATTAAGAATGTAGTATAGATTGGAAATATTTATAAAAAGAAAAAAAATCCTGATCTAATCTCCTTTTGGTAGGATAGGGCTGAGGAAGTATAACAGAAATACATTAGTAAATACTTATAGGTCTACTGACATTCTTTTGGAAAGAAGAGCTAGCATACCAATTTCAACTAATTTTGTGAGAGCAACATGCCTCTTTTCTTTTAATTCAAGCAAAAATTGTAACTTGGTAAGTAGAAATGTATCAATTCAGGCATAGCTTATTTTATTGTGCTTCACCTTACTATGTGTCACAGATACCAAATTTTTACAAATTGAAGGTTTGTGGCAACCCTACCTTGAGCACGTCTATCAGTGACTTTTTTCAAATATCATGTGCTCACTTTCTGTCTCTGCATCACATGTTGGTAACTACTACAGTATTTCTAACTTTTTCATTATACACTGTGATCAATGATCTTTGATGTTACTATTGTAATTGTCTTGGGGTACCATAAACTGTACCCCTATAAGACAGCAAATGTAACTGATAAACGTTGTGTTCTGATTGTCCCACCAGGCGTGTGCTGGAATTACAGGTGTGAGCCACTGCGCCTGGTCAACATAACCTTTATATGCACCGGGAAAGCAAAAAATTCATGACTTGCTTTATTGTAATATTCACTTTATTGCAGTGGTCTGGAAGCAAACCTGCAATATCTCTGAAGTATGCCTATATATATACAGACCACCATTTAATGAATGAATCAATATTTGAAAAGTTAGTACTGACAGGATATCTTTTAATTTTGTCAAATTTGGGTGATTGAGAAAACCTATCAAATAATGTCATCTAAGCACTGAATTGAGGCAGAGGGTCAGCTAACATTTGTAGTATTTACTTGGAAAATGTTTAATAAATATTGTTAAGCTGAAAAAGGGAGGCAAAGACTCTGCACAAAGAAAACAAATAAATTATATGGCTAAGAACTTCCTAGACCAACCATACAATTATAAAATAAAGACTATATATAAATCAAGTATGAAGGAGGTAATATTAAGTGCAATTAGATGAGTGACTTCCATAGAACTCTGGAGAAAAGATTTATAGTTATGGCCCAGAAGGGGCCACACAGATCTAACCCTAAGAAGTGATATGTGTCCCCAGAATTCTAAGATATTTTTCTTGCACCATTATTACTATCATATATTACTGTAGTTTTAAAATCAGCTACCCAATATCCCCTTCTGGTTGGGTCCAGGACCCCTGGGGAAAGAGTGACTTGCCAATTTCTGGGCCAACTAACAAGTCCCTTGATATCATGTGGTGCTAAACTTGCCCTTTAGTCATTAGAAGCCTCACTAATAACTGCTACTCCTAATGTTACAAGACATGAGTGAAAAAGGTTTCAAAAGTTAGTTCCATACATTTGAAAATAATCTTTCTGGGAGAGAATAAACAGTGGAGAGATCTGTCTTTAAAAATATAAACGTACTCTCGGCCGGGCACGGTGGCTCACGCCTGTAATCCCAGCGCTTTGGGAGGCCGAGGTGGGTGGATTGCTTGAGGTTAGGAGCTTGAGACCAGCCTGACCAACATGGTAAAACACCATCTCTACTAAAAAAAAATACGAAAATTAGCCAGGCGTGGTGGCACATGCCTATAATTCCATCTACCCGGGAGGCTGAGGCAAGAGAACTGCTTGAACCCAGGAGGCAGAGGTTGCAGTGAGCCGAGAAAAGGAGAGGCTGAAAAAAATAAATAAATACAAATAAAGAAAAGGAGAGGCTGGCTGGGCACGGTGGCTCATGCCTGTAATCCCAGCACTTTGGGAGGCCGAGGCGGGTGGATCACAAGGTCAGGAGATCAAGACCATCCTGGCTAACACGGTGAAACCCCATCTCTACTAAAAATACAAAAAATTAGCCGGGTGTGGTGGTGGGCGCCTGTAGTCCCAGCTACTCGGGAGGCTAAGGCAGGAGAATGGCATGAACCCGGGAGGTAGAGCTTGCAGTGAGCCGAGATCACGCCACTGCACTCCTGGACGACAGAGCGAGACTCCATCTCAAAACAAACAAACAAAACAAAACAAAACAAAATATATATATATGTAGTCTCTCACAGTGACGTGTCTATGACTGTGTCTAGTAAAGCTCAGGAAGAAAGAATAGCAGTTAACATTGTTTATAAAGACTTATCAAATGTAACCCTTCAAAATATTTTATCAAATACTTATCAAATGCAACCCTTCAAAAATATTTTAAAGGATGTACTAACAATCAATTCCTGTAGTACAGTTTTACTTTCTGCTGCTAATGATTGTTCTTTTAGTATCATATTAAAAATCTGAGAAACATGAGTAGACACATTTTCTGGAATAGATGTGAGAGATCCAAGTGCTACTGTAGTAATGGTATCTAATGCAGAGACACTGGAAGACAGCAGATTACCTATAACAAACAAAAACAGAAAGATGTAAACTTTGACATAAATATATTAAATACCGTTCAAACCATTTCAAAGAAGTTGACAAAAGTATACCCTTGTTGTAGAATTTGTAATAACGAGCTTAAAAGAACTGGCTCACTACAAAGCAAGGAAATATTTAAATATACATTACAATTTTCTATAGTGCTCTGTAAGCCCTTAACATATTTGTAAGTGTATCAGACCCATAACTATAATTCATAGTACACAAAGAATTAGAATATTCTACAATTAATCTCTAACTAAAAATAATATACAGAATTATGGTAAGTTTACAGAAGAAAAAAAAAACTGGAAATCAATACCAAAAAGTATAGTGCTTGGCTTAGTGAGACTAGAGTCTAGATGATTTTTTAAATTTTTATATTTCTGAATGTCCAAATTTTCCATAATGAGGATAGTATTTCACACTAAATAAACATACTTTTTTCTAAAGGGAGATAATAGTTAAAAACAATGAGACACAAACATATTCTGACAATATAGCAAACCATCAAGATATATATGCCCCCCCCAAAAAAAGTTGCAGAATGTTTATGCACAAAAAATTTCCAGAAAAAGGCCCAAGAAATTTAACAATAACACCTATGGTCAATGACCCAGGGTCAGGAGCCGGAGTCAGGGAAAAAGAGGACTTCTACTTCTAACGTTTATATACTTAGTTACTTAATAAATGTAACATTTTATAGAAAACAGAAGGGAGGGTGGGGAGGGAAAAAAGATTTGTTTTAATTCAAAGACAATAAAAGCATTAATCTTCACCCTGAACAAATAGTTTGTGCATGGTAGAGAGTATTGGTGACACCGTCATCTATGTTTCACAAAATTATCAGTTTTGAAATCAACATTACACTTAACACATCAAGACTAGAACAGAACAGCCTGAACTTACCAAATAAGGTCTTATGTACTTCTAGCATGGCCTTTTGCTTTGAGCTGCCATCCTTAATTAATTCTTCCATATTATTAAACAGACTATTCAGGTTTTTGCCAAAAATATCCTGAGCTTCTGCATTGTGTTGGTCAACTGCCTTCTTACGATCCAGTTTGGAATGGAGACCAGATACATCTTTTGTAGTTTCTTCAACTGTGTTAAGCAGCTATATTTTTAAAAATAAGTGTTAGACAAAATGGATACGGTGAAAGGAATCTGATGAAAGTATCTACACAAGGATTTATCTTGATAAGAACTAGTAAATTTTCCAGCCTGGCCAACATGGTGAAACCCCGTCTCTACTAAAAATACAAAAATTAGCTGGGTGTGGTGGTACATACTTGTAGTTCCAGCTACTCAAGAGGCTGAGGCAGGAGAATTGCTTGAACCTGGGAGGTGGAGGTTGCAGTGAGCCAGAGATTGTGCCACTGCCACTCCAGCCGGGGTGACAGAGAGAGACTCTGTCTCAAAAAAAAAAAGTCAATTTTAGACATTGTATCAGAAGAAATGCTTTAACTCATGCTAATTTATCCAGATGCCCAGTAATGTTTATTTCCCTTCCTGTAGCCATCTACACAAGCAAGGAAAACTGATTTTTTCAGTTATTGCAATAATTATGCTTCCTCAGAAATTTTTTTCCTTCTATGTTCTACTATTTCCTCAGAAGTACACCTAATGGCCGGACGTGGTGGCTTACACCTGTAATCCCAACGCTCTGGGAGGCCTAGGCAGGTGGATCACCTGAGGTCAGGAGTTTGAGACCAGCCTGGCCAACATGGTGAAACCCAGTCTCTACTAAAAATACAAAATTAGCTGGGTGTGGTGGCAGGCGCTTGTAATCCCAGCTACTTGGGAGGCTGAGGCGGGAGAATCGCTTGAACCCGGGAGGCAAAGGTTACAGTGAACTGAGATGATGCCACTGCACTCCAGCCTGGGCTACAAAGCAAGAGTCTGTCTCAAAAAAAAAAAGTACAACTAATAAAAAATTAAAGGCCGGGCGCGGTGGCTCACGCCTGTAATCCCAGCACTTTGGGAGGCCGAGGTGGGTGGATCATGAGGTCAGGAGATCGAGACCATCCTGGCTAACAAGGTGAAACCCCGTCTCTACTAAAAATACAAAAAATTAGCCGGGCGCGGTGGCGGGCGCCTGTAGTCCCAGCTACTCGGGAGGCTGAGGCAGGAGAATGGCGTGAACCCGGGAAGCGGAGCTTGCAGTGAGCCGAGATTGCGCCACTGCAGTCCGCAGTCCGGCCTGGGCGACAGAGCGAGACTCCGTCTCAAAAAAAAAAAAAAAAAATTAAATACTTTCAACATCTTTCATCATCAGAACATACTAAATTCTTTTTTTTTTTTTTTCTGAAACAGAGTCTTGCTCTGTTACCCAGGCTGGAGTGCAGTGGCATGATCTCGGTTCACTGCAACCTCTGCCTCCTGGGTTCAAGTGATTCTCTTGCCTCAGCCTCCTGAGTAGATGGGATTATAGGCATGTGCCACCACGCCTGGCTAATTTTTGTATTTTTTTTTTTTTAGTAGAGATGGGGTTTTACCATGTTGGTCAGGCTGGTCTCGAACTCCTAACCTCAAGCAATCCACCCACCTCGGCCTCCCAAAGTGCTGGGATTACAGGCGTGAGCCACCATGCCTGGACAGAACATACTAAATTCTTAATGACTAATTAGGTTCAATCATCCCCACAAAGAAAAAGCATCACAGCATCACTATTCTAAATGTCTACAAAATATATTATAAAGTTATGTTCTATTTTCTTTTTTTTTTTTTTTTTTGAGACGGAGTTTCGCTCTTGTTGCCCAGGCTGGAGTGCAATGGTGTGATTTCGGCTCACCGCAACCTCTGCCTCCCGGGTTCAAGTGATTCTTCCACCTCAGCCTTCCCGAGTAGCTGGGATTACAGGCATGCGCCACCACGCCCGGCTAATTTTGTATTTTTAGTAGAGACAGGTTTCTCCATGTTGGTCAGGCTGGTCTCGAACACCTGACCTCAGGTCATCCACCCACCTTGGCCTCCCAAAATGCTGGGATTATAGGCGTGAGCCACCACTCCCAGCTAAGTTATGTTCTATTTTCAAAACTCCAGGAGCAGGAGTAGTTTTTTCATAAGTCGACATCTCCAGTGAGAAAAACATGGATGAAATAGTAAAATAATGTTTTTTAAATGGACAGAAATACCATTTGGGGTGAATAAACAGAATATTTAATGCTTAAGCACAGAAAATTTTTTCTACCCATTCTCTACTTAATATGAGTACAAATCAACACAAGGGACAAACCTTGCTGGCAGCATCATGAAGTTTCTCCTCAGTACTTTCCAAAGCTGATGTGATATATTCTTCTTTAACAAGTTGTAATTTAGTTTCTTGCAAATGTTTTTGAGTGGTTTCAAGTTCTTGTGTTTTATTTTGCAGGTCAGATTTACACTGGTCAAGTTCATTTTTATTATCCATAAACAACTCTGTAACCTAAATATAAGAATTTAAAAAACGCTGAGCTGGCTGGTAGGATATCTAGCTAGTTCATAAGATTAGAAAAATGAAACAAATTATTTCCATGCAAAAGTTGTAAGAAGTTACCCGGTAGGTTAACACAAATATGTCATCCTGTTTCTTTCTGTAATCTTACTCAACACTTTGAGATTAAATAATAGGTCTGGTGTAGTACTATTAATTCTTCAGTTTCCTTCAACATTGTCAATGGATTTGAATATAACAGTGTTAATGTGGCCTGGCAAGGTGGTTCACACCTGTAACCCCAGCACTCTGGGAGGCCAAGGCAGGAGATCACTTGAGCCCCATAGTTTGAGACCAGCCTGGGCAACATAGCGAGACTGACTCCATCTCTACAAAAAAATAAAATAATTAGCCGGGCATGGTAGTGCATGCCTGAAGTCCAGCTACTCAGGAGGCTGAGGCAGGAGAGTTGCTTGAGACCAGAAGTTTGAGGCTGCAGTAAGATATGATTACACCACTGCACTGTAGCCTGGGCATCAAGCAAGACCCTGTCTCTAAAAAATAATTAAAAATAAATAAATAAAGGTATTAATATGAGGGTGGCCCTGAAAGGTCAGGCCTCTTGCCTACCCTAGTTATATTACTTTTATTTAACATCCAGTCTCTCCCAATATCTGTATTCCTTCATCTGATAAACATGTTAACAAAACTGCTTCAGCATTCACTATTTTGTAGTTTCAATAACAAAATCAAACAATTCAGTTAATTTCTTGTAATGTTTTATTAATATAAGCTGTCAGCTTTTTTGATGTGATTAATGATAGTAAAAAATCATGATATAACTTACTTTCAGTATAAGGGTCAGCAAAATAAAATCTTTTTTTTTTTTCCAAAAAAATCTGAAGGAGCTGGGTGCAGTGGCTCACGCCTGTCATCCCAGCATTTTGGGAGGCTGAGATGGGCAGATCATGAGGTCAGGAGTTCAAGACCAGCCTGGCCAGCATGGTGAAACCCTGTCTCTACTAAAAATACAAAAAAAATTAGCCAGGCATGGTGGTGCACACCTGTAATCCCAGCTACTCGGGAGGCTGAGGCAGGAGAATCGCTTGACCCTGGGAGGCAGAGGTTACAGTGAGCCGAGATCACGCTATTGCACTCCAGCCTGGGTGACAGAGCGAGACTCCGTCTAAAAAAAAAAAATCTTGAAGGAAAAAATATTAGATCTTTCATTCTAAAATTTTCTTTCAATATTTGCTTTTCACATAACAGTAAATATCATTTTAAGTGCTTACCCTATTCAGCTCCTCCTCAACAGCACCAATTTTTTCAATCAATTCTACAATCTGCTCTTCTTGAACAGTTAATTTTCCACTCATGACTCTAAAATAAAGTTTAATATGAGTTTAACAGTTAATATTTTTTTCTAACTCCTATAAAATGTATTCTAACACAATTGTGACAGCTACACAAACTCATTTCCAACATTTATCACCATCACTTGATACCCAAGTGTCACTTGATACCTGTGTCAATAAGCAATAAATACAAATTACAAAGAACAAATTATATTCCTTGTCTTTGTTTTATAAATGAAATATTTTTCCCTTGCCCTCAATTCTGAAACTAAGAATCCCTACCTATGAGGGGAAAAGCATGTGTGTTCCAGATTTGAGAAGCTAGAAAGCTAACAGAGGACGGACTATAACTCAAAGTAGAGAGAGGAGGGAATGCAACCTAAGTGTCTATAATCAGGGATACAGAATATAAATATGCCCCACAGAATGCTGGAAAAATGTGGGACTTGAAGGCATCAGGTATCTTAGAAGGAAGGGGTAAGATTAGGGGTTAAAAACTGAGACTTAAAGTATGTATACAGAGCAATTACACCCCCTGCTGCTGCAACACGCACAAACACCACTCTCACCCCACCGCATAACCCTCATGAGAACAAAGGATTACTCTCTAGAGCAGAGTTTCTCAGCCTCAGCACTAGTGGATCAAATAATTCTTCATTGTGGGGATGTCCTGTACATTTTAGGATGTTCAGTACCATCCAAGTCATGATGATAAAAAATGTCACTGGACTCTGCCAAATGTCCTCTGGGGGACAAAACCACCCACCACCACCAGTCCCCCAACACCACTTCCATTGACAGCCACTAGTCTATAGGAATTGCAGCAGAATTTCCAGGTTCACTTTCACTAGACATCATGGACTGTAGAAGGTTTAGGGACTAGAAATGAGCATTTAAGTGTAAATCTACATACAAAATGATGGAATCCTCAGCCCCCTATACCCACTCTAATCAAAAAATAGCAGCAGCTAGAAAAATCTCCAAGCAAACTGGGCAAATCTTCTCAGAAAAGACTGAGGGCTAGAACAAAAGAAAAAAAATCCAACAAAGAATGATATCTGATGGAAGCCCAGACTTAAGACTGAGATCACCACTTTTTCATCTATAGTGAACTTACAGGTCCATAATCCTCACCCATGTACAAAGCTTCTAATCCATCTTAATTGCCAGCCAAAAATCACTAGACATTTGAAGAAAATAAATACAAATGACAGATATCACAACAGGGAAAAAAAAGATCCCAAAGGAAAGAAAAACATAAAAGAAAACTTTAATAACATTAATAATGTTTCTGAGATAAGGAATAGATCTATAAAATAAAAGGATGCTATATTTTTCAAAAGGAGAGACAGGGATGGCAGAAAAGAGTTTTTAGAAACTAAAAATTTCTAAATTCAACAAAAATATCAGAAGATGAAGTCAAAGTCAAAAGAAGTCATAAAAAGTAAAATAGAGAATGCTTTTCTCAAGCGCAAAGCTCACAGGTCTTCCAAACCCACTTTAATGGGTCTCTGATTTCTTGAGTATTAGTCAGTTTCAGAAATGAATGCCTGTATTTGCTCATCTAATTCTTTGATAACAACCAACAATTTTCTATTTCACATTATGCTTAAATGACAAAGATTCTTCCGTGAATACAAATTCCCTTAACGTATTAGCTAGAGATATTGTTGACTAAAGGAAAAGCTAGAAAAGAGCTGTAAGAGAAGAGTTAATTCTAATAGTCTTTTGATGAAATATATTAGCTTTTTATTAAAAATGGATCTTCTACAGCCAGGCGCGGTGGCTCACGCCTGTAATCCTAGCACTTTGGGAGGCCGAGGCGGGAAGATCACGAAGTCAGCAGATCAAGACCATCCTGGCTAACATGGTGAAACCCTGTCTCTACTAAAATACAAAAACAAAATTAGCAGGGCGTGGTGGCGGGCACCTGTAGTCCCAGCTACTCAGGAGGCTGAGGCGAGAGAATGGCGTGAACCCAGGAGGCGGAGCTTGCAGTGAGCCAAGATGGCGCCACTGCACTCCAGCCTGGGTGACAGAGTGAGACTCTGTCTCAAAAATAAAAATAAAAATAAAATAAAATAAATAGAAATAGATCTTTTATGTAAAACGGGATTATTTGAAATGCTTTTTTATAGTGAATGCCAAGGGGTAATACAACATTGTTACTGTATGGATGAGATGATTTTGATATGGTTTTAAAATGTCTATTAAGCTTGGCTTAAATAAAGCATTATCCTGTTTTAAATGTTGGCTGTAGTTTTTGTGATTCTTCTCTGACTGACACTGTACTAATTCCAAAAGCGTTTTCAGACAAAACTATCTCAGATTATGCCTCATGTGTATTAGAGAACAAACACCTAGGTTTTTTACAAGGGTTTTTAGTTTTAGGTTTTACATTTAAGTTTTTAATCCATCTTGAGTTGATTTCTGTATATGGGCGTTAAGGAAGGGGTCCAGTTTCAATATTCTGCACATGGATAGGCAGTTATCCCAGCACCATTTATTGAACAGGCAGTTTTATCCCCATTGCATGTTCTGTCGAAGATCAGATGGCTGTAGGTGTGTGGCTTTATTTCTGGGCTCTCTATTCGGTTCCATTGGTCTGTGTCTGTTTTTGTACCAGTACCATGATGTTTTGGTTACTGTAGCCCTGTAGTATAGTTTGAAGTCAGGTAATGCGATGCCTCCAGCTTTGTTCTTTTTGCTTAGGACTGCTTTGGCTATTTGGGCTCTTTTCCAGTTCCACATGAATTTTACAATAGTTTTTTCTGTGAAGAATGTCATTGGTAGTTTGAGAGGAACAGCATTTAATCTGTAAATAGCTTTGGGTGGTATGGCCATTTTAACAATATTGATTCTTCTTATCCATGAGCATGGAAAGTTTTTCCATTTGTTAGTGTCAACTCTGATTTCTTTCAGCAGTGTTTTATAATTCTTACCGTAGAGATCCTTCACCTCTCTGGTTAGTTGTATTCCTAGGTATTTTACTGTTTTTGTGGCTATTGTGAATGGAATTGCATTCTTGTTTGGCACTCAGCTTGGACATTATTGGTATATAGGAATGCTACTGATTTTAGTACAATGATTGTGTATCCAGAAACTCTGCTTAAATTGTTGATCAGATCTAGGAGCTTATGGACAGAGACTATGGGGTTTTCTAAGTATAAAATCATATACACCCAGCGGGGCACGGTAGCTAACACCTGTAATCCCAGCAGTTTGGGAGGCGGAGGTGGGCAGATCACTTGAGGTCAGGAATTCAAGACCAGCCTGGCCAACATGGTGAAATCCCATCTCTACTAAAAATACAAAAATTAGCCGGGCATGGTGGCAGGCACCTGTAATCCCAGCTACTTCGGAGGCTGAGGCAGGAGAATCGCTTGAACCCAGGAGGTGGAGGTTGAAGTGAGCTGAGATCGTGCCACACTGCACTCCAGCCTGGGCAACAGTGAAACTGTGTCTCAAAAAAAAAAAAAAAAGTGGGCAAATGATGTGGACATTTTTCAAAAGAAGACATATATGTGGCTAAGAAGCATATGAAACTATGTTTAACACCATTAATTGTTAGAGAAATGCAAATCAAAACCACAATGAGAAACCATCTCACCAGTCAGAATGGCTATTATTAAAAAGTCAAAAAATAACACATGGTGATAAAGTTGTGGAGAAAAGGGAACGCTTATATGCTACTAATGAAAATTAGTTCAGCCATTATGGAAAGTAGTTTGGCGACTTCTCAAAGAACTTAAAACAGAAATACCGGCAGGGCATGGTGGCTCACACCTGTAATCCAGCACTTTGGGAGGCCGAGGTGGGCAGATCACTTGAGGTCAGGAGTTCGAGACCAGCCTGGCCAACATGGTGAAACCCCATCTCTACTAAAAATACAAAAATTAGCCAGGTGCGGTGGTGGGTGCCTATAATCCCAGATACTTGGGAGGCGGAGGTAGGAGACTTGCTTGAACCTGGGGGGCAGAGTTTGCAGTGAGCCGAGATTGTGCCACTGCAGTCCACCCTGGACAACAGAGCAAGACTCCATCTCAAAAAAAAAAAAAAACCACACACACACAGAAATACTATTTGAGCCAGCAATCCCATTACTGGGTATATACCCAAAGGAATATAAATTGTTCTACCATAAAGACACATGCACACATATGTTCATCATAGCACTATTCACAGCAGCAAAGACGTGGAATCAACCTAGCTATCCATCCACAGCAGACTGGATAAAGAAAATGTGGTACATATACACCATGGAATACTACACAGGCATAAAAAAGAGCAAGATGGCTGGGTGCAGTGGCACATGCCTGTAATCCCAGTACGCCAGGATACCAAGGTGAGTTGATCACTTGAGGCCAGGAATTCAAGACCAGCCTGGCCAACATGGTGCATGGTGAAACCCCATCTCTACTTAAAAAAAAAAAAATTTGCTGGGCATGGTGGCAGGTGCTTGTAATCCCAGCTACTCGGGCAGCTGGGGTAGGAGAATCACTTGAACCTGGGAGGCAGAGGTTGCAGTGAGCCGAGATCACACCACTATACTCCAGCCTGGGTGACAGAGCAAGACTGTCTCGAAAAAAAAAAAAAAAAAAAAAGAATGAGATCATGTTCTTTGCAGCAACATGGATGGAGCTGGATGCCATTGTCCTAAACAAACTAACATAGGAACAGAAAACCAAACACCAAACGTTCTCACTTATAAGTAGGAGCTAAACCCTGAGCAGACATGGACATGAGGAAGGGAACAATAGTCACCTGGGCCTCTTTGAGGGTGGAGGGTAAGAGGAGAGCAAGGATTGAAAAGCTATCCATCGGGTTCTATGGTTATTATCTGGGTGACAAAATAATATGTACACCAACTCCTGTTACATGCAATATATCTATAGAACAAATCTGCACATGTACTCCTGAAACTAAAATAAAAGTTAAAAAAAAAGAGAGCAAACACCATATTTTCAATCATGGGACTAAACAAATGAAAACCAAAGTTACTTCTTAAGTTCAAAAATAAAATCAGAAAGATGAAAGCCTCCAATAATCAATATCATTTCTAAAGACTACAGGCCAGGATTGAGTGCCTCACCAATTATTTTTTACTTCTAAAGCATCAAAAAAAGAACACCTCCATTAGTGATGGTAAACTGTTCACTAACCCACAATCTTACATTGTTCTGATTCTAGGGCATCTTACACATTCATGGAATACATTATGACAGTTGGAAGTAACACAGAAAAAACTAAGTTTATTAAATGATTTATATACTATTAGAGTGTTAACATCTACAAAAAAGTTCAGTAAAAGATTATACTAAAATGCTTCTGGTTATTATTAGGTCTAATATCTTTTATCACTATTAACTTTTAAAAAATGCTCTGTGAAAGTCTTGCTTCCTAATATCTTCAAGGATAAACACAATCAGGAATTTTCAAGTTATAGTCCTTAGCATCCCACTTGCCTTCTTCCCCTTGTTTTCTCTGTTATTATTGTTGTTTTATACAATGGGCCTCAATAAAAGCTTTCCTTTGAACAAATTACTCCAGGGCTTTAAAAAGTGAACAGATTAGTGGTTGCCAGGGGTTAGGAATCATGGAAAAGATGAGGTGAGTGTGACTACAGTGAATTAGCAAGAAAGATCCTTGTGATGATAGGATAGTTCTGTATCTTGATTGCAGTGGTGGTTACACAAATCTATACAAGTGACAAAATGGCATAGAACTACTATATACACATCTTGATATGGTCTGGTTCTCTGTCCCCACTGAAATCTCATGTTGAATTATAATCCCCACATGTTGGAGGAGGGACCTGATGGGAGATAACCGAGTGATAAAGATGGACTTCCCCCTTGCTGTTCTCATGATAGTGAATGAGTTCTCACAAGATCTGGTTGTTTAAAAGTGTGCAGTGCTTTCCTCTTCACTTTCTCTCTCCTGCCGCCATGTGAATATGTGCTTGCTTCTCCTTAGCTCTTCTACCAGGATTGTAAGTTTCCTGAAGCCTCCCCAGCCATGCCTCCTGTACAGCCTATGGAACTGTGAGCCAATTAAACCTCTTTTCTTTATAAATTACCCAGTCTCAGGTGGTTCTCTATAGTAGTATAAGAACAAACTAATACACATATTGTATCAAGGTCAACTTCCCAGCTTTGATATTGTACTATAATTATTTTTTATTTATTTTATTATTATTTTTTCCTTTTTCTTTTTTGAGATGAAGTCTCGCTCTTGTTCCCCAGGCTGGAGTGCAATGCTGCTATCTCAGCTCACTGCAACCTCTGCCTCCCAGGTTCAAGTGATTCTCCTGCCTCAGCCTCCCGAGTAGCTGGGATTACAAGCACCTGCCACCATGCCTGGCTAATTTTAGTATTTTTAGTAGAGACGGGGTTTCACCATGTTGGCCAGGCTGGTCTCGAACTCCTGACCTCAGGTGATCTGCCTGCCTCAGCCTCCCAAAGTGCTGGGATTACAGGCGTGAGCCACGGCGCCCAGCCTATTTTTTATTTATCGCGCCTATTTTTTATTTATCTATTATTTTATTTACTTATTTTTGAGACAGAGTTTCACTCTTGTTGCCCAGGCTGGAGTGCAATGGCGCGATCTTGGCTCACCACAACCTCCGCCTCCCAGCTTCAAGCAATTCTCCTGCCTCAGCCTCTGGAGTAGCTATGATTACGGGCATGTACCACCACACAGGGTAATTTTGTGTTTTTAGTAGTGATGGGGTTTCTCCATGTTGGTCAGACTAATCTCAAACTCCCAACCTCACGTGATCTGCCTGCCTTGGCCTCCCAAAGTGCTGGGATTCACAGGTGTGAGCCACCACATCCAGCCTTGTACTATAATTATTTAAGAGATAACCACTGAGGAAGACTGGGTGAAGAATACATGAAACCTCTCTTGTACTCTTCTTGAAACTTCACATGAATTAATGATTTAAAAATTAAAAGTTAGTAAAAGATTTTTAAAAAGTGTTTGATAGCTACTTGTTAATGTCAAAACAAAATAGAAGCCTAGGCAGCATGGTGAAACCCTGTCTCTACAAAAAAATGCAAAAATTAGCAGGGTGTGGTGGCTCATGCCTATAATCCCAGCTACTTGGGAGGCTGAGGCAGGAGGATCGCTTGAGCCCAGGAGACTGAGGACGTAGTGAGCCAAGATTGTGCCACTGTGCTCCAGTCTGGGTGACAGTGCGAGACCTTGTCTCAAAAGAAAACACACACACACACAAAATGAAGTATTTATCGGCACTGGATATAAAGATTTTACTTACTGCTACATAAGTTTTACTTCAAATAGCCTGTTATCAGAAATGCTTATTCTTGGAAATTAACTCCATAGCCAAGGGCTTACCTAAAATTTTCTTCAGAAATATACACTCCATTTTTCTCACGGGCTGCAGCAAGATCTCGTTTTAAACGTTCTATCTCCTCCGTATACTCCTACACAAGAGGAATGTTGTAGGTGTCAGTTTAGTACTTTTTTCATTCAGTTTGGGAAGGACATGCAACAAATAAAATGTAAAGTTAGCCTTTTTATGTCTTTTAAAACTTAAAGAAGTATGATAAAAAGTTATAACCATACTTTTTAATCAATATTAATTTGTTTAGAAATAAAGTCTTTCAAAGCTCCTTTTTAAATACACTCATTCTAGAAATATGGACTTCCCAAGAAAAACCACAACCTCCAGTACCCAGGTTGGTAGGAGTAATTCACACTAAAATGAACCAGGATTCCTTATAAAAGCATCTGATTCCAGGACTGAGGCAGAAAATATTCAAGATGAATACGGAACATCTTGTCAAATAAGACAAGGAAATAAGCTAAGCAAAGCCTACTAGGTTAATCAAAAGGACTCAGTAAGCCACTTGAAGATGTAACCCCTTAATATGGTTTGGCTCTGTGTCCCCACCTAAATCTCATCTTGTAGCTCCCATAATTCCCACGCGTTGCGGGAGGGACCTGGTGGGAGATGACTGAATCGTAGGGGCGGATCTTTTCCATGCTGTTCTCATTACAGGGAATGGGTCTCACGAGATCTGATGGTTTTACAAACAGGAGTTTCTCCACACAAGCTCTCTCTCTTTGCCTGCTGCCACCCACGTAAGATGTGACTTGCTCGTCCTTGCCTTCCGCCATGATTATGAGGCCTCCCCAGACATGTGGAACTATAAGTCCAATAAACCTCTTTCTTTTGTAAATTGCCCAGTCTCGGGTATGTCTTTATCAGCAGCATGAAAACAGACTAACATACCCCTGGCCTAAGATGAGCCAATCTGAGCATCGGTGAGGAGAACAACTACAATGGGTTAACACAAATAGTTTAAATCTAGGAGTTTATAATGACACTAAGAAACCTAGGAAACCAACTCATTATTCTCAAAATTGGCAAATAAAGGAAATTAATCAAGCATGTGTCCTGCCTTTCCTATAAGAACTATACCTCTGGCCGGACGCGGTGGCTCACGCCTGTAATCCCAGCACTTTGGGAGGCCGAGGCGGGCGGATCACAAGGTCAGGAGATCAAGACTATCCTGGCTAACATGGTGAAACCCTGTCTCTACTAAAAATACAAAAAATTAGCCGGGCGTGGTGACAGGCGCCTGTAGTCCCAGCTACTCAGGAGGCTAAGGCAGGAGAATGGTGTGAACCCAGGAGGTGAAGCTTGCAGTGAGCCGAGATGGCACCACTGCACTCTAGCCTGGGCAACAGAGCGAGACTCCGTCTCAAAAAAAAAAAAAAAAAAAAGACAAAGAACCAGACATTACATACTTCTAAATGGAAGAAGACACTACTGCTTATGAATTAGTTTTGCCAAAAATAAATAAGACAAAACTTGAATTTAATCAAGCCTCAAGATTCAGCTACCGATTTACAAAGAAAATACAAAGAACAGAGGAACACGTCAAAAGATACTATGGTAAAACTCTACAGGACAAATATACAGATATTTCCCCAAATAAATTATAATGGGAAATAAATATATATATACATGTATATGTTATATATAAATATGCAATATATGTATATGCTATATATACATAAATATATAAACATCAAATAAGCACATTAAAAAGACACTCAACATCATTAGCCTTTAGAAAAATTCAAGTTAAAAACCACAATGAGATATCTATCACCTACCACACCTATCAGAATGACTAAAATAAAAAAGTTACACCACCAAATGCTGGTGAGGATGTGAAGAAATCAGATCACTCATACACTGTAAAATGATACAGCCAATTTGAAAAACAGGCAGTTCCCTAAAATAATAAACATTCAATTATTATACAACCCAGCAATTGCACTCTTGGGCAATTATCCCAGAGAAATAAAAATTTATGTTTACATAAATACCTATAAATGAATGTCAATAGCAGTTTTGTTTGTAATAGCAGAAAAACTGAAATTAGCTCATATGTTATTCAATAAGTGAATGGTTACAAAAACTGTATGTATGGTACATACTCACCATGGACTACTACTTAGTACTAAAAAAGAAAGATCTGCTGGGTGCAGTGGCTCAAGCCTGTAATCCCAGCACTTTGGGAGGCCAAGGTGGGTGGATCACAAGGTCAAGAGTTTGAGACCCAGCCTGGCGAACATGGTGAAACCCCGTCTCTACTAAAAATACAAAAAATTATCTGGACATGGTGGCAAACACCTGTAATCCCAGCTACTTGGGAGAGTGAGGAAGGAGAATCGCTTGAACCCGGGAGGCGGAGGTTGCTGTGAGCTGAGATCGCACCACTGCACTCCAGCCTGGGCAACAGAGTGAGACTCCATCTCAAAATAAATAAATAAATAAATAAATAAGGCAATCTCAAACGTTTACATAATGTATGATTCCAATCAATAACAGTCTTGAAATGATAGAGGACAGGTTACTGGGTACCAGGAAAGGAAGGATATGGTGGGAAGAAAAGTGGTTACAAAAGAGCAATATGAAGGGTCCTCGTGGTGATGGAACTGTTCAGTATCTTGATTGTGGTGGTAAATACATGAACCTATACATGTGACAAAACTGTCTAGAATTAAATACACATACACATGTAAGGAAAATTGGGAAAGATTAGTGGATTGTTATTAATATCAATATCCCCGTGGTAATATTCTATAGTTCAACAAAATGTACAAAGGATTTCTCTGTATTATTACTTTTTTTCTTTTTTTTTTTTTTGAGACAGAGCCTCACTCTGTCTCCCAGGCTGTAGTACAGTGGCTCGATCTCAGCTCACTGCAACCTGTCTCCCGAGTTCAAGCAATTCTCCTGTCTCAGCCTCCTGAGTAACTGGGATTACAGGCACGTGCCACTACGCTCAGCTAATTTTTGTATTTTTAGTAGAGATGAGGGTTTCACTATGTTAGCCAGGCTGGTCTCGAACTCCTGATCTAAAGCAATCCGCCTACCTCGGCCTCCCAAAGTGCTGGGATTACAGGCATGAGCCACCGTGCCTGGCCTGTTTTCTCTGTATTATTTCTTATAACTGCATGTGAATCTATAATCATCTCAATACTAAAAACTTTATTTAAAAAAAAAAAAAACATCAAGGAAAGGAAAAAGTAAAGCCAGACTGGGAGGAAATATTTGCAAATCATATCTCATTAAGGGCTTGTATCTAGACTACATGAACTCCTTACAACTTAATAAGACAAACCAATTAAAATTGGGCAAAGCATTTGAATAGACATTTCACCAAAAAAGATAAACAAATAGATAATAAGCACAAGAAAAGATGTTCAACATCATTAGTCATTAGGGAAATGCTAATTAAAACCATATTGGGGCCAGGCGTATTGGCTCACGCCTGTGATCCCAGCATTTTGGGAGGCTGAGGCGGGCAGATTACGAGGTCAGGAGTTCAAGACCAGCCTGGCCAACATGGTGAAACCCCATCTCTACTAAAAGTACAAAAATTAGCTAGACGTGGTGGTGCACACCTGTAGTCCCAGCTACTCGGGAGACTGAGGTCGAAGAATCACTTGAACCTGGGAGGCGGAGGTTGCACTGAGTCAAGATCGTGCCACTGCACTCCAGCCTGGGTGAAAGAGCGAGACTTCATCTCAAAAAAAAAAACAAAAACAAAAACAAAAAAACCGTACTGAAGTACCATTTTATACTCCTTAGAATGGTTAAAATTAAAAAGACCGACCATAACAAGTGTTAAAGAGGAGGTGGAGAAATTGCAGACCTCATAAACTGCTGTAGGAAATACAAAGTGGTACAGCTACATGGAAAAGTTTCTTAGAGCATAAACTTACTATACAACCCAGAAATTAAATCCCTAGATATCTACCCAAAAGAAATGAAAACACATCAACACAAAGACATGTACAGAAATGTTCACAATGGCATTAGTGGAAATGATCCAAATGTCATATTATCAGCATATAATTGAATACTATTCAGCAATAAAAAGAAATAAACTACTGATACATGTTATAAGTGGAACCCCAAATGGTTATGCTAGGCAAAAGAAACTAGATGCAAAAGACCAAATATTACATGATTCCATTTATAGGAAACGTCCAGAAAAGGCAAATCTGTAGACAGAAAGCAGGTCAGTGGCCACATGATTGTAAAGGAGCAAAGGGAAACTGGATAGTGATAACAAATTTTCTAAAACTAGATCGTGGTTATACTCCACAACTCTGTAAATGCACTATAAATCATTGAATTGTATGCTTACATTAGGTGGATGTTATGGCATGTAAATTATACCTCAAAAATGCAAATAAATAAATTTTGTAAATGTAAATAAATGAAAATTTTGCTAAGAGTACCAACTCAGTTGATAAAGTTGGTAAAGTCAACATACTAGCATTAGAAAAAAATATGTTAACATGTAAGACATTTAGTTTAAATCACTATATAAAAAGCCTTCCATGGGCAATTTAACAAATCTTGTTTAACTATTATCTCCCACTTCAGTTTCTTATTTTCACATTTGTCAAACAAGATTACATTACTCTACAAAAATTCACAGTTACCTTAATAAGAGCTTTTTTGGTGAGTTTCTGATTCACTTCAGGCTTATTCAATATGTTCTTTGCTCTATGAGCATATTCCAATGTACTCAGAGTTTCCTGTCATGGAAAGGAAAGGTCAATTACTGAAGATATTGTGAGAATAATGTAGTTCTGTTATCTAAAATATGTTATATAATAACTTACAAGTAATATTTTATAGTTATATCTAATTTTAAAATCTAGTCATTAAGACCACTATGCCCAACCTTTAAAAAGGAAGTTGTTCAATCCTTTTTTCCCTTCTCTTCAATTTTCAGAGTCTCGACCCTTAGGATAATTTCCTTTAGACTATTCTTAAACTCAATGATGGCTCACATTTGTAATTCCAGCACTTTGGAGGCCAAGGCATGAGGGTCACTTGAGCCCAGGAATTCGAGACCAGCCTTGGCAACATAGGGAGATCCTGTTTCTACAATAAATAAATAAATATTAGCTGGGCATAGTAGTATGTGCCTATAGTCCCACCTACTTGGGAGTCTAAGGTGGGAGGATCACTTAAGGCCAGGAGGTTGAGGTTACAGTGAATGTGCCACTGCACTCCAGCCAACAGAGAGGGACCTTGTCTCAAAAAAAAAAAACAAAAAAACAAAACAAAACAAAAAAACCACAAAGCTCAATCAATCTACCAACTGATGAATAAACAAAATGTCCTATATCAGCCGGGCACAGTGGCTCACACCTGTAATCCCAGCACTTTGGAAGGCCGGGGCGGGTGAATCATGAGGTCAAGAGTTCGAGACCAGCCTGGCCAACATGGTGAAACCCTGTCTCCACCACAAATACAAAAATTAGCCAGGCATGGTGGTGGCGCCTGTAATCCCAGCTACTCAGGAGGCTGAGGCAGGAGAATCACTTGAACCCGGGTGGCGAAGACTGCAGTGAGTCAAAACCACACCATTGCACTCCAGCCTAGGCAACAGAGCGAGACTCCATCTCAAAAAAAAAAAAAAACAAAAAAATCCCATATCCATACTATAGAATAATATTCACCTGTAAAAAGGAATAAAGTATTGCTGGTACAACACAGATGAACCTTGAAAACATTATGCTAAGTGAAAGAAGCCAGTCACAAAAAACTACCTATTACGTAATTCCATTTATATGAAATACCCAGAATAGGCAAATATATAGATGCAAAAAGCAGTAGCGATGGGAGTGGGGCAAATGGAAAAGTAATTTCAATGGGTACAGGCTTTCTTTCTGAGGTTATGAAAATGTTCAAAACTTAGATTTTGGTGATGGTTGGACAACTCTGTAAATATACTAGAATTATTAAATTAATATACTTTAAATCAGTGAATTTTATGGTATGTGAATTAAATCTCAACAAAGATTTTTTTTTAATGAAGGGGCAGTTGGACACCTTAAAAAAGCTTTTTTGTTTTTTTGAGACAGAGTCTCACTCTGTCACCCAGGCTTGAGTGCAATGGCGCAATCTCGGCTCACTACAATCTCCACCTCCTGGGTTCAAGCAACTCTCCCGCCTCAGCCTCCTGAGTAGTTGGGATTACAGGCGCGCACCACCATGCCCAGCTAATTTTTTGTATTTTTTAGTAGAGATGGGGTTTCACCATGTTGCTCAGGCTGGTCTTGAACTCCTGAGCTCAGATGATCCACTCACCTCAGCCTCCCAAAGTGCTGGGATTACAGGCGTAAGCCACCGTGCCTGGCCTAAAAAAGCTTTTTAAAATCCATTTAGGTCAAGTGAGGTGGCTCATGCCTATAATCGCAGCATTTTGGGAGGCTGAGGTAGGAGGATCCCTTGAGCCCAGGAGTTCAAGACCAGCCTGGGCAACATAGTGAGACCTCTGTCTCTATTTAAAACAAAACAAAACAAAACTTAGCCAGGCCTGGTGGCTCACACTTGTAGTACTAGCTACTCAGGAGGAGGCTGTGGTTGGGGGAATCACTTGAGTCCAGGAATTTAAGTTGCAGTGAGCCATGATCATGCTACTGTACTGCGGCCTTGGCAACAGTATGAGACTCTACCTCTAAAAGTAAAAAAATTAATAAATAAATAAAATTTCCACTTAAGGCAGATGATAGCAATAAAATAAGCGTACATTTTACCATCTTTGTTACTTTTCTTGGTTTTCCTCTCTGTTCTCACACATCCAACGCCATCTTCAGTGTTCTCTAAGCAGCCTCTACCACACTAGCGAGCATTCACTTGGCCTGCTTCTAAGTCCTCAATTAAATCTCCATACACCACCCACTGCTAATGACCACAGCAATTTTCTTTGAAGACTGTGTGGAAAAAGCCATTAAGAAACTGGCTTTTTAAGGTTAAAAACTCTGCCAGGAAGGAAAAAGATAACTTCTTCAGGAGTGTCCTCCTGTATATATTCATATGCAATGTCCAGATTCTTTTACATTATAGCATAGAATGAACGAAGCTAGGCTGAGTAGTGGCACACGCGTGTAATCCTAGAACTTTGGGAGACAAAGGCGGGCGGCTCACCTGAGGTCAGGGGTTTGAGACCAGCCTGGCCAACAAGGTGAAACCACGTCTCTACTAAAAATACAAAAATTAGGTGGGCGTGGTGGCAGGTGCCTGTAATCCCAGCTACTTGGGAGGCTGAGGCAGGAGAATCGCTTGAACCTGGGAGGTGGAGGTTGCAGTGAGCCGAGATCGCGTCATCGCACTCCAGTCTGGGGGACAAGAGTGGGATTTGTCTCAAAAAAAAAAAAATGAAGCTACTAAATGAACTTTTTTTCCCTACTATATGTGTGTGTGTGTGTG
Organism: Homo sapiens; assembly: GCF_000001405.40. Taxonomy (NCBI): domain Eukaryota; kingdom Metazoa; phylum Chordata; class Mammalia; order Primates; family Hominidae; genus Homo; species Homo sapiens. Next base: position 92,614,050 of record NC_000010.11, on the reverse strand, counting down.
TGTGTGTGTGTGTGTGTGTGTGTGTGTGTATACACATACTTTTCTTTTTTTTTATACACATACTTTTTTTTTTTTGAGATGGGGTCTCCCTCTGCCACCCAGGCTGGAGTGTAGTTGCATGATCTCAGCTTAATGCAACTTCTGCCTCCCAGGCTTAAGTGATCCTCCCACCTCAGCCCCCCAAGTAGCTGGGACCACAGTTGTACACCACCAAACCCAGCTAATTTTTTGTATTTTTGGTAGAGACAGGGTTTCGGCATGTTGCCCAGGCACTCCTAAGCTCAAGTGATCCGCCCACCTTGGACTTCCAAAGTGCTGGGTTTACAGGTGTGAGTCACTGTGTCCATCCTAGTAAATGAACTTTTAAAATATATAATAGCCAAATAAGAATTACAGCTACTACACTTGCAGCTTCCTTTCAAAGGGCTTACCTCAAGATTGAGAGATGCAGGAGAAATTGTTGCAATTATAGATGTTCTTGTACGCCCTCCAAGAGAATCCTGGAGGATTCTAGTTAGTTTAGATTCTCGATAAGGAACATGAGGTGTTCTTTCTACAAGGGCAGTAATGACCCTTCCCAAAGTCAACAGGGATTGATTTATATTTCCAGCTTCCCGAGCTCTCTTATCAACAGCTCCAGAACGGCCAATGTTTTCACTTCCTGCAAGATCAACCTTTAATTTTAAAAATAAAAATAAAAAGTGAGTCTATTGGATTTGGATTCAAAGACTTTCATTCTCACAGGATACATAATGTATTAAATCGCCAGCAAAATAATTTTTTCTGTAATTAACAAATTTCTTCTCCCACTACAAAGCTAATCACCCAGTGACCACAAAAATTTTGTCTCAAGGACAAAATTTCAAGCTGCTCTATAAGGTGTTTAAGAGTGAAACAGTAGTATTAAGGTGGATGCTTACCAAGTTCAACTTTCCGATTTTAACAAGCTCTTCTCCATCAATCGTAGTTTCTTTCATATGTATTGTAACAGAGAAAACTGAGTGGGAACGACTAGAAAACAATATCAAGTTGCCCAGTCATTATAATGTAAAATAGCATTTGCTGCTTCTGAAATACTGAAAACAGGAAAGAAGATCTAAATCCACATGAGTAGAGAAAGATAACATCAGACAGGAGATATCAAGAATATTTTGGAAGATAGGAGATAGATAGAACAGTGATTAGGATTTTGTTTTCTCATATCTACTGCCTGCAAAAGAGGCATCAATAAGAAGCTCTCTAAAAGACTTAGAATCCTGAGGCACCTCTGAAAGCTGGATGTGGGTGGGGTCGAAACAGTTGCCTGGTATGTCAAGAAGAGATGGCTTGTAATCATCTTCTATTCATAAGAACCATTTGAAATATGTCATTACCATAAATTCAAATGGTACCAGGTAAGGCATTAGTTTACTCTTCCACCTTCCCATCCATGTCAGCTGTTGTGTACATGCACAAGTACACTTCTCTGCTTTGAGACTGTCATCAGAAATAGATGACTCCTATCCCCTAACAGCAGAAATAGTAAACAGCATGATTACTAAAACACTACAAGATAATCACTGCTAGATTATAAAATGTTCAAAAGTCTACCTTATGCTAAATACTGATATTCAGGCCAGGGGTGGTAGCTCATGCCTGTAATCCCAACACTTTGGGAGGCCAAGGTAGGAGGGTCACTTTAACTCAGGAGTTCGAAACCAGCCTGGGCAACATAGTGGGACCATCATCTCTACAAAAAAATTTAAAAATTAGCTGGGCGTGGTGGCACGCTCCTACAGTTCCAGCTACCCTGGAGGCTCAGGTGGGAGGATCACTTTAGCCCAGGAGGTCAAGGCTGCAGTAAGCCATGATTGAGTTACTGCACTCCAGCCTGGGTGACAAAGTGAGACGCTGTCTCAAAAAAAAAAATCACAAAAAAACAAACAAGCAAACAAAAAAACAAAAAACAAAACAAATACTGTGCTTTTTATCTTAGGGGGAAAAAAAATTATACAGATGACCAAAGACATTCTTTCTGTATCCAATGGCATTTGGTGAACATTATTATGTTTGTTAATATCACTGACAATTGACAGAGAATCTGGTAAGTTTCAATTTTCTTCTTTGTACTTTCATGTTACTTAAAAAAAAAATTAAGTATCTTTTTTAATTATTTATTTATTTGAGACTTATTGCCCAGGCTAGAGTGCAATGGCATGATCTCAGCTCACTGAAACTTCTGCCTCCTGGGTTCAAGCAGTTCTCCTGCCTCAGCCTACCGAGTATCTGGGATTACAGGCACACGCCACCACACCAAGCTAATTTTTGTATTTTTAGTAGAGACGGGGTTTCACCACGTTGGCCAGGCTGGTCTTGAACTCCGGACCTCAAGTGATCCACCCACCTTGGCCTCCGAAAGTGCTGGGATTACAAGCGTCAGCCATCGCGCCCAGCCAAGTATCATTTTTATAAAATTATTTAAATTATTTAAAATTACAGAAAAGGAGGAAGACCTAAGGAAAAACATAAATGTAAACTATAGATCTGAATTATAATATTCATCTCCACCGGGCATGGTGCCTCACGCCTGTAATCACTTTGGGAAGCCGAGGTGGACGGATCACGAGGTCAGGAGATCGAGACCAACCTGGCTAACACAGTGAAACCCCGTCTCTACTAAAAATACAAAAAATTAGCCAGGCGTGGTGGTGGGCACCTGTAGTCCCAGCTACTCAGGAGGCTGAGGCAGGAGAATGGCGTGAACCCGGGAGGCAGAGCTTGCAGTGAGCCGAGATCGCATCACTTCACTCCAGCCTGGGGGACAGAGAGAGGCTCTGTCTCAAAAATAATAATAATAATAATAATACTATTCATCTCATGTTTTTCTACCATTATCTACCCATTCCTAATCCAGATTAGGCAATTAATACAAATAAGCATTGAAGTTAGCTCTAATTTGGGAAAACTGAATTAATTAGCTTCTCCTCTTTGTCACATACCTTCATAAAAAGTGACCTTTATACAAGTCTACATACAAGAAAAAAGGAAAAATAGAAATTTTATACTTTAGTGAAATGTACCTAAAGAAATTTTACCTAGTCTTTAGTTCAGTTCTCAAAATTCTACATGAAATTAAGTTATAATCAACCACAGAATAAAATTTCCATTTTATTGGAAAGCCATTAAGTGAAAATTTAATTAAAATTTTGAAATCATCCAAAATTCCATGATCTTAATCACTTTTATGTTATATTTTTCTTCTTTCTTTAAATGCAAACTTTTTTAGAGTTGCAACTGTAATTGTTATGGCATTTTATAGAAATTTTCAACTACAAGCCAGAAAAGAAATAAGACTTCTAATCCTAACAATAATTTTGTAGCTCAGAGAAACTGATAAGCAGATAAATTCACTTATTTACAAAAAGTCACATACTGAATTAACCGCGAAACTGAGACTACACGCAAATATCTAATTGCAATCCATTGCTTTTTCTATTACATTCTGAGGTTTAAAGACCACACACACACACAAAAAAACCACTTCTGTTTTAGTAAACTATATCTGTAGAATTTGGAATTTGTCCTGTACGGGTCTTTACAAGAAAAAAGGAGTTTCTAACTTACGTAAATTTATGACAGGGATTTTATATCTCAATGAATAGAGTGGTAAGAGAGGAAAATAAACAATTTTTTAAAAAGGAATTTTATATTTCGGTAAAAGATATTTAGAGCGAAAAAAATCATCCCTTTCACCCCATGAAAGCCAGTGTTAGTGACCATCTGTCTCCCACACTAAAATAAAGCCATTTTAAAAGACCTAACTTCTAATCCTTATTCAATGCAAGGGTTTTCAAACTATATTCTAATATCAGTAGGGGGCTCCACAAAAGTGCCTCAGGGACCCCTTCATAAGGCTAAGGAGGTAAGCCTCAGAGCGTCCCATTCCAAAATCAACTATAGCAGCCACATTTTATCCTGGGCTTCCATATATCATGTTACTAGAATAAAAGGATTCTTCTACTTTAAAAAAGTTTAGGCCGGGCGCCGTGGCTCACACGTGTAATCTCAGCACTTTGGGAGGCCAAGGCAGGTGGTTCACCTGAGGTCAGGAGTTCGAGACCAGCCTGGCCAACATGGTGAAACCACATCTCTACCAAAAATACAAAAATTAGCTGGGCGTAGTGGCAGACACCTGTAATCCCAGCTACTCAAGAGGCTGAGGCAGGAGAATTGCTTCAACCCGGTGGGCAGAGGTTGCAGTGAGTCAAGATCGCGCCACTGCACTCCAGCCTGGGTAACAAGAGCGAAAATTCGTCTCAAAAAAGAAAAAAAAGTTTAATACTTCAGCTATGGTTCAACTTATCTTTGTTCTCCTTTCAACATTCTTCCAATATTGGTTCCTTCCATATAAATCTCAAGCCAATTACCAATGACCCCTCCTTATAACACAAACTCTAGGTACGTGACCCACATACCCTGACCCACCCCAATTTGACTTTCTCCAAGTTCCTAATTCTTCTTAAAAGAAAATGGGGCTAGGGAAGAGACTATGGCTTTCTTACCTAGAGTATGCATTCATCAGAGTAGCTGCAGTTGTCCTTTTTGCTGCCCCCTTTTCTAAAATTTGATAGACTTCATCCTTGTTGTGTACTGTAATTTCTTCTAAACCTTTAATTATCACTCCTCTCTGACCAAAATACCAAAAGAACATCCATTAGATTGGTTAAAACACACACACACACACACACACACACACACACACACACACTCTCTCTCTCTCTCTCTCTCTCTCTCTCTCTCTCTCTGACTTCTCAAAGCCTCACACATTAAAATTCAGAGACATTTCATTCTCAAAGACTGAATTACCTTGTTACGGGGATCATCAAACATCTGTAGTCTCTCAGAAACATCAGATGATGGATTAAGAAGATCAAAAAGCTCTTCATTATAGATCTCCAACAGAGACACTTTGACTGAAAATTCAGTACCATTATCAGTAAGTTTCTCAAAAATTTGATGAAGGGTACGTGGAATTATACCAGCCAAGGGATCCTGAAATTATAATAAGGACTAATATAAAGGAAGAATGCCATTTACTGTGGCAGTTAAAATACATGGGCCTCCTTTATAATATATTTAAACATAAGTATGGCAAAGCAAGTTAAAACAAAACAAAAAAAGAAACAACTAACCTAATGTTAGAGAAGTCATTTACAACAGTCTGTTCTACAGTAGTCTTCACACCCTCCATAAACCTGTCACACTTCTTAGCCATCTTCATCCCTGAGCATTACATAGAAACCAATGGAACCTATCTACTTAAAAAGCCAAGTTCGGCCAGGCACGGTGGCTCACGCCTATAATCCCAGCACTTTGGGAGGTCAAGGCAGGTGGATCACAAGGTCAGGAGATCAAGACCATCCCGGCCAACACGGTGAAACCCCATCTCTACTAAAAATACAAAAATTAGCCGGACTTGGTGGTATGTACCTGTAGTCCCAGCTACTCAGGAGGCTGAGGCAGGAGAATCACTTGAACCCGGGAGGTGGAGGTTGCAGTGAGCCAAGATCGAGCCACTGTACTCCAGCCTGGGCGACAGAGCGAGACTCCGTCTCAAAAAAAAAACGCCAAGTTCAATAATTCTGCCCAGCGAAACTATGCTTTAAGCCTATTCCATATCTCCTATGGTAACAATTTCATAACTTTATTATCTATATATGTAAAGTAAGTTAATGACTCAATTATGTAACCACTAGAAGAAAGGTTCTACCCAACTGTCAATAATTTGGAAAATTAGCTGGGCAAGGTAGTATGTGCCTCTAATCCCAGCTACTCAGGAGGCTGAAGTGGGAGGACTCCTGAAGCCCAAGAGTTCAAGACTGGCCTGGGGAACACAGTGGGACCCCATCACTTTAAAATTTAAAAAAAAAAAAAAAAATTAAAAAAAATTCTTTTTTTTTTTAAATTAACTAGTTTTTTGGTTTTTTGTTTTTTTGTTTTTTTTTGAGACAGAGTCTCGTTCTCAGGTAGCTGGGATTACACGTATGCACCACCACACCCAGCTAATTTTTGTATTTTTAGTAGAGACCGGGTTTCACCATGTTGGCCAGGCTGGTCTCGAACTGCTGACCTCAGGTGATCTGCCCGCCTCAGCCTCCCAAAGTGCTAGGATTACAGGCATGAGCCACCGTGCCCGACCAATTAACTAGTTATTAAACTCATTTAAATTTAAACACATTACTAAATTTAAAACTAAACTTTTTTTTAAAAGTTTTAACACTTCAGCTCTAGTTCAACTTGTCTTGGTCTTCTTTCAACTTTCTTCCAGTATTGGTTCTCTCTCTTAGTTATTAAACTCACTTAAATTCATGGAAATCTTTGTAAAACATAGTATATGCTTTCTGCAATATTAAACAATACATTCATCTTAATTTCTTGAACACTTAGGATCATCATGAATAAAGTACTATACTTCCCCTGGCCATGCTAACTTTCTGAGACCCATTCCTTCAATACAAAGCCCTCCCTGCCTTCAAGCTTCACTCATATTCCAACTTTTCTACAATATTCTGCTCCAACCATTCTGTCATAAATAGACTCCTCTTTTATCATATAACTGTGCCATATATATTGGTCCTTCCTCTTCCATTGAGGCTGTTTCTTAAACAGGAGTCATACCATGCACTTTAATTTTACTGTAGTAGTGGTTTATCCTAAGTTCATTTTGACATAGGTACTCTGATCTCTATTCCAAGACAGAGGCCCTCAAACAAGTTTTATACAGTTAAATTTCAGTCACATTAGAGATAAAAGTATGTTATAAACAATAAATACCTCTTCCCAGGTATACTCTTCATTAGGTGACCTTTCACCTTCCATTGTAAAAGTTTTTCCAGTGCCAGTTTGGCCATACCTGTAAAGATTAACAAGTGTTAAATCAAAAAGAAACATGCACCCATATGACTCTTAGTGATAGACTAGAAAAACAAAAAACAAGCCAGGCACAGTGGCTCAAGCCTATAATCCCAACACTTTGGGAGGCCGAGGTGGGCGGATCACCTGAGGTCCGGAGTTCGAGACCAGCCTGGCCAACACAGTGAAACCACGTCTCTACTAAAAATACAAAAATTAGCGGGCATGGTGGCAGGCAGCTGTAATCCCAGCTACTTGGGAGGCTGAAACAGGAGAATTGCTTGAACCCAGGAGGCAGAGGCTGCAGTGAGCCGAGATCGCGCCATTGCACTCCAGCCTGGGCAACAAGAGTGAAACTCCGTCTCAAAAAACAAACAAACAACAACAAAAAACACAAGCATTTAAGCTTTTTCATAAATCAGAAAAAACACCCTTTTACTTACGCAAAGATAGTGCAATTATAGCCCATAATAACTTCATCCAGAATTGGACAAACAACACTTCGGTAAACATCAATCTGTTTAGTAGATGCTCCAAACACCTAACGAAAAAAATTAAAAAAAAAAAAATCAACCTCAAAATTACTCATTTTAATAATTTTGTTTTTCGTATGTTAACTAATTCATAATTCAGCCCACTAGAAGCCATCTGACAATTCAGAGACAACTGAAATTTCTAAGTATACACCATTTTCCAGGTAAAATATGTATATTAAAATTATTTTACATTAGTGGATAATAAAGAAATTGCACCATATGTTACCATATCAAAAGTGTATGTTTTCCTTGAGCTCTTGTCAGCCAATCCTCCAGTTCGTACACTAACTTCTTTTCGTACAGGATCACATTCTACTATTGAATGGGCGCTAGCTTTCCGCTCTGCCAAATTAAATGGTCTATAAAAAGAAATACACAAAGTCATTCAAGAGCTCTTAGTTCTCAGGTTATCAATGACATTTTCACTAACTACATTTGTCAAGAAAAATGCGAAATTTTGACCACATTGTTGGTGATGGAGATTAAATCAGGACTAAGTGATATTGCTAAAGCAGACAGTAAAATTATAAGTGTCTCAAGTTTCACAAATATAATTTTTTAAATGTTCAAAGATATGTTAAGACATTACAATTCTGGCAGCTTCTTAGAGCAGATACGAATAGATTTGTTTTGTTTTGATGGTAGAGATGGGGTCTTGCTGTGTTGCACAGGCTGGTCTCAAACTTCCGGGCTCAAGTGATTATCCCACCTCAGCTTCCCAAGGTGCTAGTATTACAGAAGTGAGACACTGTGCCCAGCCACTAACAGGTTTTAACTTGTAAAAATGCCAAACTTATTTTTCAGAATTCCATTTCTCCTATTCTTAAAATCTGATCAAGGCTGGGCGCAGTGGCTCACGCCTGTAATCCCAGCACTTTGGGAGGCCGAGGCAGGCGGATCACCTGAGGTCGGGAGTTCGAGACCAGCCTGACCAACATGCAGAAACTCTGTCTCTATTAAAAATACAAAAGTAGCTGGGCATGGTGGTGCATGCCTGTAATCCCTGCTACTCGGGAGGCTGAGGCAGGAGAATTGCTTGAACCTGGGAGGTGGAGGTTGCGGTGAGCCAAGATCGCGCCATTGCACTCCAGCCTGGGCAACAAGAGCGAAACTCCGTCTCAAAAAAAAAAAAAAAAAAAAATCCGATCAAATTAGGTTATGATGTAGTAGAAAAAAACATGTCAAATTTGTGTTCAAAATACTAATCTGCCAGTAGATACCTGGCACAAAATAAAAAGTACATAAAAATAATGACTAATAAGTTGAGTACTTACTATGTGCCAGGTACTTATTGTTTCAAGTGCTTTGCATTGTGCTCACTCAGTTTGTCCACACAACACTGTGAGGTTGGTAATATTATTAGCCCCATTTTTAAATGAGTGAATAGACACAGAAGGTCTACACTGCCGACTGGATCAAGAGTCCTCATTCTACGGAAATGCCTGAGTAGGTATTTAGTTGAAATGATTATTTCCTCAGGAAGTCCTTTCTATCCTATGTGCCTCCCCCACCTGCTCCAACCAAGACCACATTAAATGTCTGCTATATATTCCTACAGCACCCTTTATACACCTTTTCTAAACATCACCTCTCTTATCTTTTTTTTTTAATGTGTTACCCACTAAACCTCAGATCACTACAGAAAGAAATACTGTCTAGTTTACTGTTTCCCCAGCAACAACTACCATGCTTAGCACACAGTAGGTTCTTAAATATCTGTTAAACTACATTGCCTAATAAATGTCATCCTAAGAGGAATTATGGGAAAACTAATATCACAGTCCACAGAGTAGCATCAATAAGACAATTATATACTCAATACATGTCTGGGCCAAAGGGAGAGACATAATCTTGACCTGAGTTCATTTTTCCCATTGAGTATCATATATTTTGGAGAAAGTGCCAAACAGGAAATTATTTCCCCCTTATCACTAGATAAACCAAGTTGCTACTTATTTAAGAAGGATACCTCAACTTCCCCTGGCACAGCCCACTCTAAGTATACTTCCAAGTGATCAGAAGACCAAATCTGTGATCCTAGGAAACTTAACTCCCAGGTAGTATCTGGTAATGCTTTCATTTGCCAACTATACTAAAACTTACACAATGCATATAACCAACATGAATGTACAGTATTATTAAAACTTCAACAAAACTAAGGTAGAACCAACTTATACTGAGGTAGGCCAAGAGCATCAAGTGGAGTGAATTGCTCTCATGTGGCTAAAGCTTTTCCAATTAGTCTATTATTTTTGGCATCCCCTAAACTAGTATCTTGCCTGGACGTATAAAATTAAGTTACCAAATGAATACCATTCACATTGTCAGGACTAAGTGATAGGAAATTCATACAGATCACACATTCCTCAAAGTTATCAAAATTCTCAGAGAAGCTTTAGGGACTATGTGTACTCTAAGAAAGAGTACTGCCAAGTCATTAGTTTCCTACCCAGACTTCTCTAACTTATTAGAAATTGCAAAGTTTCGGCTGCTCACACTAACAAATCCATCAATTTGTTGGCTTCACCATAGTTATATAAAAATTCAAACAATCAAAATGGTGAGGGAAGGGAGATTGAGGATTAAAAAAACCTAAGTCCTATCCTGTGGAGAAGTGCTAAATTAACTCATTCCACAAATATTCATCAAGTACTTACTATGTGATAGGTAATTTTCTAGACACTGGAGATACAGCAATGAACAATACAAAGTTAAAGGAAAGAAAAAAACACCAAAATCCTGTGCTCAGGGAGCTTTTAACTTAGTTGAAGGAAGAGATGACTATAAAATGAATAAATATATTAGATGCTGATAAATTAGAAATGAAAATAAAGCAGGCCAGGCACAGTGGCTCACGCCTGTAATCTCAGCACTTTGGGAAGCTGAGGTGGGTGAATCACTTGAGGTCAGGAGTTTGAGATCAGCCTGGCCAACATAGTAAAAACCCATCACTATTAAAAATACAAAAATTAGGCCAGGCACAGTGGCTCACACCTGTAATCCTAGCACTTTGGGAGGCCAAGGTGGGCAGATCACTTGAGGTCAGAAGTTCGAAACTAGCCCTGGCCAATATGGTGAAACCTCATCTCTACTAAAAATACAAAAATTAGCCAGAAATCACTTGAACCTGGGAGATGGAGGCTGCAGTGAGCCGAGACTGTGCCACTACACTCCAGCCTGGGTGAAAGAGTGAGACTCCATCTCAAAAAAAAAAAAATTAGCCAGGCATGGTGGCAGCCACCTACAGTCCCAGCTACTTGGGAGGCTGAAGTGGAGGTTGCGGTGAGCCAAGAATGCGCCACTGCACTCCAGGCCTGGGCAACAGAGCGAGACTCTGTCTCAAAAAAAAAAAAAAAAAAAGAAAAGAAAAGAAAGCAGTTTAAGGGGGATAGGAAGTGTTGAGGGTGGAAGATAGTTGGTTGCTATTTTAGGGTAGTTAGGGAATGCTTCTACGCAGGTGATATTTAAGCAGAACCTAAAAAGCAAGGGAGCCAGGCCCTGTAGATATTTTGGTGGAAAAAATTTTCAGGCAGAGAGAACAGAAATTGCAAAGATTCTGAAGTAAAAGCAGGTAGATGTATTTTTTAAATGTGTGTGTGAAATTAGCCAGGCGTGGTGGCAGGCGCCTGTAATCCCAGCTACTCTGGAGGCTGAGACAGGAGAATCGCTTGAACCGGGAGGCAGAGGTTGCAGTGAGCCGAGATCGCGCCATTGCACCCCAGCCTGGGCAACAAGAGCGAAACTCAGTCTCAAAACAAACAAAAAACCACACACACACACACACACACACACACACACGTGTGTGTGTGTGTGTGTTTAAGTAACCAGGGTTCAAAGACATCACAAGGAAAATTAGAAAATTTTAGAGATTAATGAAAATGAAAATACAACATACCAAAACTTACGGGACACAGCAAAAGCAGTGCTAAGGGGGAAATTTATAGCTATGAATGCTTACATTAAAAAGCAAGAAAGATCTCATATCAACACCCTAACTTTACAACTTAAGGAACTGGAAACAAAAGAACTAGTTATTTGTGTCTTCTCTCTTATTGTTGAAAGAGTATTTTCAACAATTGTATGCCAACAAATCGGATAACCCAGCTGAACAAATTCCTAGAAACACAATACTTACAAAGACTAAATCACAAAGAAATGGAAATTCTGAATGGAGCTATAACCAGTAAAGAGATGGACTCACTAACCAAAAATCTCCTGACAAAGAAAAGCCCTAGATCTGATAGTTTCATAGGTGAATTCTATAAAACATTTCAAGAAGATCTAATACCAGTTCTTCTCAATCTTTTCCCAGAAAAAATCTGGCAAAGGAGAGAACACTTCCCAACTCATTTTGTGAGGCAAGCATTACCCTGATACCAAAGCCAGACAAAGGCAACTACAAGAAAACTACAGATCACTATCCCTTATGAACACTGATAAAAAAAAATCCTCAACAAAATACCAACACATTGAACTGAGCAGCACAAGGATTATACACCATGACCAAGTGGGATTTATTCCTGGAATACAGGGATGGTCCAACATGTAAAAATTGATCAATGTAATATACCACATTAACAGAATGAAGGAAACCACAGAATCATGTCAATCGATGCAGGAAAAGCATGTGACAAAATTCAAAACCCATTAGTCATAAAAATGCTCAACAAACTAGGAATAGAGTGAAACTACCTCAACAAAATAAAAGCAACATATGAAAAACCCACAGCAAACATAATTGATGGTCAAAGACTGAAGAATGTTCCTCTAAAAACAAGAACAGGGCCAGCACAGTGGTTCATGCCTGTAATCACAGCACTATGGGAGGGTAAGAGTAGAGGATCACCCGAAGCCAGGAGTTCAGGATCAGCATGGGAAACATAGCGAGACCCCATCTCTAAAAAAAAAAAAAAAATTATTTTTTTAATTAGCTGGGTGTAGTAGTGTGTCTATAGTCCCAGCTACTCAGGAAACTGAGGCAGGAGGATCTCAAACAAACTAACAAATAAAAGAACAGGAGCAAGACAAGGATGCCCAATGCCCACTTTTGCCACTTCCATTCGACATAATACTGTAAGTTCTAGCTAGAGTAATTAGGCAAGAAAGAAAAACAAGGGCCGGGCATGGTGGCTCACGCCTGTAATCCCAGCACTTTGGAAGGCTGAGGCAGGCGGATCGCGAGGTCAGGAGATCGAGACCAGCCTGGCTAAAACGGCGAAACCCCGTCTCTACTAAAAATACGAGAAAAAAAAAAAATTAGCTGTTTATGGTGGCACATGCCTGTAGTACAAGCTACTCGGAAGGCTGAGGCAGGAGAATCGTTTGAACCCAGGAGGCGTAGGTTGCAGTGAGCAGAGATTGCACCACTGCATTCCAGCCTGGGCAACAGAGCGAGACTCCATCTCAAAAAAAAAAGGAAGAAAAATAAAAATAAAAGGCATCCAAATTGAAAAGGAAAAGGTTGAGGGCCAAGAGCGGTGGCTCATGCCTGTAATCCCAGCACTTTGGGAGGCCAAGGCGGATGGATCACGAGGTCAGGAGTTCAAGACCAGCCTAGCCAAGATGATGAACTCCCATCTCTACTAAAAATACAAAAATTAGCTGGGCGTGGTGGCATGTGCATGTAATCCCAGCTACTTGGGAGGCTGAGGCAGAGAACTGCTTGAACCCAGGAGGCAGAGGTAACAGTAAGCAGAGATGGCGCCACCGCGCTCCAGCCTGGGCGACAGAGCGAGACTCCATCTCAAAAAAAGAAAAAAAGAAAGAAAAGGAAAAAGTAAAATTATCTGTCTGCAGATTATATGATCTTTTATATAGAAAATCTGGCCGGGCGTGGTGGCTCACACCTATAATCCCAGTACTTCAGGAACCCCAAGGGGACTTGAGGTCAGGAGTTTGAGACCAGCCTTGCCAACATAGTGAAACCCTGTCTCTACTAAAACTACAAAAACTTAGCTAGGCATGGGCGCATGCCTGTAGTCCCAGCTACTCGGGAGGCTGAGGCAGGAGAATCGCTTGAACCCAGGAGGCAGAGGTTGCAATGAGCCAAGATTGTGCCACTGCACTCCAGCCTGGTGACAGAGCGAGAGTCTGTCTCAAAAGAAAAAAAAATAGAAAAGAAAGAAAACCCTAAAATTCAGTGGGGCAAAAGGAGCTAGAGCATCAAGAAGAATAGCTAGTGGATGCTGGGCTTAATAGCTAGGTGATGGGTTGATCTGTGCAGCAAACTGTGATGGCACAGGTTTACCTATGTGATAAACCTGCACATCATGCACATGTACCCCAGAACTTAAAAGTTGATGAAAAAAATAATAAAAATAAGGCCAAGTGCAGTGGCTCACGCCTGTAATCCCAACACTTTGGGAGGCCGAAGCGGGCGGATCACGAGGTCAGGAGTTCAAGACCAGCCTGACCAACATGATGAAACCCTATCTCTACTAAAAATACAAAAATTGGCCGGGCATGGTGGCGAGCGCCTATAATCCCAGCTACTCCGGAGGCTGAGGCACAGAATTGCTTGAACCCGGGAGGCGGAGGTTGCAGTGAGCCGAGATCACACCACTGCACTCCCGCCTGGGCAACAGACCGAGATTTCATCTCAAAAAATAATAAATAAATAAATAATAATAATAATAATAAACAGAAGTTCAATAGTTAATTAAAAAAAAAAAAAAGCCAGGCACAGTGGCTCACGGCTGTAATCCCAGAACTTTGGGAGGCTGAGGCAGGTGGATCACGAGGTCAAGAGATCGAGACCATCCTGGCCAACATGGTGAAACCCCGTCTCTACTAAAAATACAAAAATTAGCTGGGCGTCGTAGCGTGTGCCTGTAGTCCCAGCTACTCGGGAGGCTGAGGCAGGAGAATTGCTTGAACCTGGGAGGTAGAGGTTGCAGTGAGCCGAGATCGCGCCACTGCACTCCAGCCTGGCAACAAAGCGAGACTCCATCTCAAAAAAAAAAAAAGAAAAGAAAACTCTAAAATTACACACACACAAAAAAAAACTGTTAGAACTAATAAGTGAATTCAGCAAAGTAGCTGGATAGAAAGTCAACAAGCAAAATCCAGCGACGTTTCTTTTTTCTTTTTTTTTTTTTTTGAGACAGAGTCTCACTCTGTTGCCCAGGCTGGAGTACAGTGGCACGATCTTGGCTCACCACAACCTCCACCTTCCAGGTTCAAGCGATTCTCCTGCCTCAGCCTCCTAAGTAGCTGGGACTACAGGCACGCGCCACGATGCATGGCTAATTTTTGTATTTTTAGTAGAGACAGGGTTTCACTATGTTGGCCAGGCTGGCCTTGAACTCCTGATCTCGTGATCAGGAGTTGGGAGGCCCACCTTGCCTCCCAAAGTGCTGGGATAACAGGTGAGAGCCACTGCGTCCAGCCTCCAGTTACATTTTTATACACTAAGAATGAACAATCTAAAAAGGAAATTACAAAAACAACTCAATTTAAAATAGCACCAAAAAGAATAAAATATTAGTAATTAATTTAACCAAGGAGGTGAAAGACTTATAAAATGAAAACTATAAAACACTGCTGAGGCCAGGCGCAGTGGCTCACGCCTATAATCCCAGCACTTTGGGAGGCCAAGGTGGGTGGATCACCTGAGGTCAAGAGTTCGTGACCAGCCTGACCAACATGGTGAAACTTTGTCTCTAGTAAAAATACAAAAATTAGCTGGTCGTGGTGCCACATACCTGTAATCCCAGCTACTCAGGAGGCTGAGGCAGGAGAATCACTTGAACTCGGGAGGTGGAGGTTGCAATGAGCTAAGATTGTGCCACTGCACTCCAGCCTGGACAACAAGAGCGAAACTCCATCTCAAAACAAAAACAAACAAAAAAAAACTGCTGGCAGAAATTAAGGGGCATAAATAAATGGAAACACATCCCTTGTTCATGAACTGAAAGACTTAATATTGTTAAGATGCCAATACTACCCAAAGTGATCTATAGATTCAATGTAATCCCTATTAAAATCCCAATGACGTGTTTTACAAAAATAGAAAAATTCATCCTCAAATTCATATGGAATCCCAAGGGAGTCCAGATAGCCAAAACAATCTTGAAAAAGAACAAAGCTGGAGGACTCACACTTCCTGATTTCAAAACTTACTACAAAGCTGCAATAATCAAAACCATGTGGTACTGACATAAAGACAGACTTATAGACCAATGGAACATAACAGCACTTAGAAATAAGCCCTCTTACATATGAGCAAATGATTTTTAATAAGGTTGCCAAGACCATTCAATCAGAAAAAGACAAGCTTTTCACCAAATGGTGCTGGGAAACTAAATATCCATATGCAAAAGAATGAGGTTGGACCCTTATCTAACACAATATACAAATATTAACTCAAAATGGATCAAAAATGTATGTAAGACCTAAAGCTATAAAACTCTTAGAAGAAAACATAAGGCAAAAGCTTCACAACAATGGATTTGGCAATGATTTCTTGGATATAACACCAAAGATACAGGGAACAAAAACAAAAAGACAAACTGGACTTCATAAAAATTTAAAATGTTTGTGTATCAAAAGACAGCATCCCTGTGATCCCAGCTACCTGGAAGGCTGAGGTAGGAGGACTATTTGAGTCCAGGAGTTCACAACAAGTCTGGGCAATAAAGCAAGATACTATATTTAAAGGGGAGAAAAAAAAAATAGCCCAGGCACGGGCTCACGCCTGTAATCCCAGTACTTTGGGAGGCCAGGGTGGACGGATCACCTGAGATCAGGAGATCAAGACCAGCCTGACCAACATGGTGAAACCCCATCTCTACTAAAAATACAAAATTAGCCAGGCGTGGTGGCGCATGCCTGTAATCCCAGCTACTCTAGAGGCTGAGGCAGGAAAATGGCTTGAACCCAGGAGGCGGAGGTTGCAGTAAGCCAAGATCGTACCAATGCACTCCAGCCTAGGCAACGAGAGCAAAATTCCGTCTCAAAAAACAAACAAACAAACAAACAAACAAACCCAAGGGAAAAAAAAAGACTTTATCTTCCTTTTCTCCATCATAGTGCAAGATCAAGGTAAAAAAAAGAGAACTCTGGCCAGATGAGGGCTCACACTCATAATCCCAGCACTTTGGGAGGCCAAAATGGGTGGATCACTTGAGGCCAGTAGTTCAAGACCAGCCTGGCCAACAAGGCGAAACCCCATCTCTACTAAAAATACAAAAAATTAGCCAGGCATGGTGGTGCACACCTGTAATCCCAGATACTTGGGAGGCTGAAGCATAAGAATTGCTTGAACCTGACAGGCAGAGGTTACAGTGAGCCGAGACTGTGCCACTGCACTCCAGCCTGGGTGACAGAACGATTTTCTGTCTCAACATCTGTATGGAGGAGACTGGAGATGACTGACCCCAGCAGCCAAGGTGTTGGAGCAGCTCATAGGCCAGACCCCTGTGTTCTCCAAAGTCAAATACATTGTCAGATCCTTTGGCATCAGGAGAAGTGAAGATTGCCACCCACTGCACAAAGGGCCAAAGCAGAAGAAACCCTGAAGAAAGGTCTAAAGATGCAGGAGTGTGAATCAAGAAAGAACAACTTCTCAGATACTGGAAACTTTGGTTTGGAGATCCAGGAACACACAGATTTGGGTATCAAATGTGACCCATGCATTGGTATCTACAGCCTGGACTTCTGTATGGTGCTGGGTAGGCCTGGTTTCAGCACTGCAGACACATAGCACAGAACAGGCTGCACTGGGGCCAAACACAGAATCAACAAAGAGGCCATGCACTGGTTCCAAAAAGAAAAAGAAAGGAAAAGACCACACGGTATCAATGAGTAAAAAGGCAAACCACAGTAATGGGGAAAAAATTTTTGCCGTTTATGTATCTGAAAATATCCAAAATATATAGAAAATTCCTAAAACTCAACAACAAAAAAGCAAACCAATTTAAAAATGGGCAAAGGACTTAAACAGACATTTCTCCAAAGATACACAAAATGGCCAGTAAACACATGAAAAGATGCTCAACATCATTAATCATTAGGGAAATACAAATCAAAACTACAATGAGATAGCACCTCACACCCAATGGATGGCTACTTGAAAAAAAAAAAAGAAACAGAAAATAAACGTTGGTGAGGATGTGGAGAAATTGGAACCCTTATGCACTGTTGGTAGGAATGTAAAATGGTCCAGCCACTGTGGAAAATAGTTTGTCGGTTCCTCAAAAACTTTAAAATAGAATTATCATATGATCCAGCAATTACAATTCTGGGTAAATACCCAAAAGAATTGAAAACCCATATTCATAGCAACATTATTCATAATAGCTAAAAGTAAGAAGTAACTCAAGGCCGGGCTCCGTAGCTCACGCCTGTAATCCCGGCTCTTAGGGAGGCCAAGGCGGGCAGATCACAAGGTCAGGAGATGGAGACCATCCTGGCTAATATGGTGAAACCCCGTCTCTACTAAAAATACAAAAAATTAGCCGGGAGAGATGGCAGGCGCCTGTAGTCCCAGCTCCTTGGGAGGCTGAGGCAGGAGAATGGCGTGAACCCGGGAGATGGAGCTTGCAGTGTGAGCCAAGACCGCGCCACTGCACTCCAGCCTGGGCAACAGAGCGAGACTCGGTCTCAAAAACAACAACAACAAAAAAAGAAGTAACTCAAGTATCCATTGACATATGAAGGGACAAGCAAAATGTGGTATATACATATAATAAATACTATGCAGCCTTAAAAAGGAAGAAAACCCTGACATTTGCTACAACATGGTCCAACCTGGAGGACATTATGCCTAAGTGGAATGAGCAAGTCACAAAAGGATAAATACTGTATTATGACTCCACTTTATGAAGTACTTAGAGTAGTCAAAATCATAAGACAGTCGAATGGTAGGTGTCGGGTTGATGGGAGAGGGAAATGGGGAGTTATTGTTTAATGTGTATAGAGTTTCAGTTTTTCATGATGAAAAGAGTTATGGAGATGGATGGTAGTAATTGTTGCAGAATATTATGTATTTAATATCACTGAACTGTACACTTAAAAGTGGTTAAGATGTTAAATTTTATATTATGTGTGTTTGAAAATGACTTTTTAAATTGGGAAAAAAATAGGGGATGGAATAGGAGGGACATAAGAAAGAGAACCAGTAGCGCATTATGTAGGGATCTGTAAACTTTAACCTGTGGGTCAAACCTGGCCCCTGCCCTGACAGATTTAAGAATGATTTTTACAGTTTTAAAGTGTTCTTAAAAAAAAAAAGATCAGAAAATAATGTGACAGAAACCACATGTAAAGGGGTACAGTAGCTCACGCCTATAATCCCAGCACTTTGGGAGGCCAAGGTGGGTGGATTCTCTGAGGTCAGGAGTTCGAGACCAGCCTGGCCAACATGGTGAAACCCCATCTCTACTAAAAATACAAAAATTAGCCAGGCATGGCGGTGTGCGCCTGTAATCCCAGCTACCTGAGAGGCTGAAGTGGGAAAATTGCTTGAATCCGGGAGGCGGAGGTTGCAGTGAGCTGAGATTGCACCACTGCACTACGGCCTAAGAGAGCGAGACTCCGTCTCAAAAAAAACTGATAAACCACATGTGATCTGCAAAGCCTAAAGTATTTAAATAAAATAAATATTTATTTCTCTGGGCCCTTTACAGAAAAGGCTTACCAACCCCTGAGGACCTCGCAACTCATAAGTTGCCTATTTACTAAAGCTTAATGCTTAATGACAGACGCACCAGGAAGGCTATTTGAAAGA
The DNA here is from genome assembly GCF_000001405.40 of Homo sapiens. Lineage (NCBI taxonomy): Eukaryota > Metazoa > Chordata > Mammalia > Primates > Hominidae > Homo > Homo sapiens. Next base: position 92,594,895 of record NC_000010.11, on the reverse strand, counting down.
AAAAGGCTAATCTGAAAAAAAAAATCTCTTTACACAAAAATTATTGTAAATATTAGACACAAGCAAAGAACTATTCTATTCATTGGTGATAAAGTAAATCTCTTCTAAGACTTGAAATGTATACGGATCATAAACATCAAGTTCAAGATAATGGTTAACAGTGGCTGGAGGAAAAGGGATGGAGAGGGAAAAGGGGGGCTCCAGCAATGATTGTTTTGTTTCTTAATCTGGGTGATGAATATACAAATGTTTATTACATTGTTCTTAATAACTTTTTGTAAGTCTGAAATATTTTGTAACTAACATTAAAAAAGAAATTAAATAAATGCATACGGAAAAGGTAATATTGCCTGGTTTTATTAAACAACCAAAATAATTTTAAAATTTGCACTTGTTATATGCACTGCATTTTTAAATAAAAATCTTCAAACAACTAACTACTAACAGAAGCCCCAGAGTACAACAACTAGTAAGTGTCACTGGCTAGACTTAAGATTGCCACCCAATTTCCTCTCTGACACCTTGTTTAGAAACCTAGTCATCACCTTCGATATCCACAATTCAAGTTACCAGGGCTGAGTAAACAATAGCCTAAGAAAGTTTGTTGATACAAGTTTTTCTAAAAAATAACCTTTTAATTTTAGAATACTTTGGGGTTTACAGAAAAGTTGCAACAGCAACTGTTAACAGCCACAAAAACGGACACACAAAACACACATACTCAGTAAACTGTGGAGAGCCTCTAAAAAGTTGAATAAATCAATTCTAACTAAGCAGCAGTTTCTAGCTTATTTTAAAATTGGGAAGTTATTTGGAAACCAGTCAGGGGAGGGCCGAACACCCCTCCACATCCCTTTATCTCGAAATATCCGTTTAGTTTGGTCTATGAACAAACACGCAGATGAAAGGGAAAACTGCAGCACAATCAGAAATTTACACTAGCTTAACTTGTCTTGATCTTTTAAAAAACATAAACTCACTTTATTAATTTTTAATGTTTAAAGACAGAGATGTTTACTTGTTTAGTAGGGATGCAGAAAATATTGCATCTAGAATAAAGAGAACAGTGATTGATTGCTTTTTAGAGGTAATAATACCAACGTAAGTGCTTAACCATCTGCAAAATAGGTATTCAGTCTTACTTCCAAACTGACAAACTACATGAAGTAGCATATAAAAGTGACACCTACATCTTTATTGACTATAGTTTAAACATAAGAACGCACTTTTCAGTATGGAACAGTGATCAAATCAAACATGTTATTTTCTCCTAAAAACCACATACACACAGCAACCGGGTGTCATTTTTATTGAACAGAACGCGGAGAACCAAGAAACTGGGACCCTCAGGAAATGCAAATAAAATCCCTCTCCCTGGACCGCGCAGTAGGGGGCCCAGCAGCGAAGCCGCAGCGCTCGGAATCCTGTCAGCCCTCTCCCTACCTGCATCTCACCACCACCTGGATGTTCTTCCCCTTCTCCTCTTTCTTCTTCGCAGACGAATTTGGCTGCGACGCCATGACGGTCCCCGCCAAAAAATCAAGGCCCGGCCGCGGACCTGGGCGCTGTGAGGGGCGGAGGGGCTTGGCGGCCGACAGGGGCCGGAGTCTCCCTGGTCCCTCTCGGGCGCTGGCGTGGCCTGGAGGACCGACGCACGCAGGTCGGCGTCCCCGCTCTCTACCCGGTACTCTGGCCGTGGCGTTTGTCCCGCGCCAGTCGGAGCCGCCAAATCACTAATCTCGTCTCCGCCCGAATCCCCAGAAACTAAGCAACGACTCGGCGCCTCAATTTGAAAAAGAGACAGAGTAGCCGGACCAATGGCTGCGCTGGCGCGCAAGGCACCATGGGATGCAGTATCCTCACTGGAGCCCCGCCCCCGGAGCGTGGCCTACGGGAACGTAAAGAGGTGGTCTGTCTGCTTGCTCCGGAACTTGGTAGTCCAGAGCCGAGACGCTAGAATTGAGTGTGGAACTTTTAGCGTAGCGTGGCTCAACTTACATAACGTCCCTAGCCCAAAATTCCCTCAGCTGCAGAGAGGAAATAATAGTAACCATCTCAGAGGGTTAGGGTGAGAATTAATGAGCTTGTGGAAGTAAATAGATTGGAATATATGGTAAGCACTCGCCATGATTATAATTATTAGAGAATTGTAAGAGAGGGCAGTAGAAGCACAGAAGAGAGGTCCAAAGCGAGCCGCCATCCCGGAGGCAGAGACCAGAATAGTCTTTGTGTGTGTGTGTGTGTGTGTGTGTGTGTGAGAGACGGAGTCTTGCTCTTGTCACCCAGGCTGGAGTGCAGTGGCGCGATCTCGGCTCATTGCAACCTCCGCCTCGCAGGTTCAAGCGATTCTGCTGCTTCAGCCCCCGAGTAGCTGGGATTACAGGTGCGTGCCACCACGCCCGGCTAATATTTGTATTTTCAGTAGAGATGTGGTTTCACCATGTTGGCCAGGCTGGTCTCGAACTCCTGACCTCAGATGATCCACCCGCCTCGGCCTCCCAAAGTGCTGGGATTACAGGCGTGAGCCACCGCGCCCGGTCCAGAATAGGCTTGAAGAATAATTAATGTTGGGGCCCGGTGGCTCAGGCCTGTAATCCCAACACTTTAACGGGCCGAGGTAGGACGATAACTTAAGTTCCAGGAGTTTGAGACCAGTCTGGGCGACATAGGGAGACCCCCCTCCCCGCGCCTCCCAACGGGTCTCAACAAAAAATAGAGGGGAAAAAATAGCCTGGTGTGGTGATGCGTGCCTTTTGGTCCCATCTACTCGGGATGCTGAGGAAGAAGGATCGCTGAACACGGGAGATAGAGGCTGCAGTGAGCCGGGATTATGTCGCTGGATTACTCCAGCATAGGCGACAGAGCAATGCCCTTTCTCAAAAAGAAAATAATAATAATAATAATTAGGAAGTGTTAAGCGATAAGGCTACTACAGGTTCCAAATCGTGATGAAATGGACACTGGACGCCATTTGGAGGACTCTGAATTTATCCTTTAGTCATCATCTCTAAGTGACTCCAGGCAAGAAAGCAGGGTCCGCCTCGATTTTAGAACGACTGCACTGACCGAGTGACGCAGGCCGCGGGTGCGCTGCGCTCCCCGTTTCTGCGCGGCGCAGCGGGCGGTGGCATCTCAAGGAAGCTGCGCAAACATCCGCCGCCCCGGCCTACGGATCCCAGCATGCAGCGCTCGCTGGGGCCTGCGCGCCGTCGGTCACCTCCGGCCTGCTGCGGGAGAACTTTTCGGCGTCTTGGCAGTGCCTGGCGTGACTCGACCGCTGTAGGTGTGGTACGCCGCACCAGGAAATACTGAAACAGGAGCCTATTGTTATGAATAACTTTTAAAATCTTAAGGAAATTGAACACTTGAACAAAGGATTTTTAGCAAAGCAATTTTATTTTTGCGCAGAGGGGTGCCTTTTTGGCCAGTCGCCTTGAGAGCACACCTGAACAAAGGGGCAGGAGTCTATTTTTGACGCAAGTCCTGCCCCTGTATCTTTTTCCCATTGGCTGGGGTCGGGTCGTATAATCTAAACTAATCCCGGTTGGCTAAACATTTGATTTTTTTTAGCTAAGGTGGGTACTTAAAAGAAAGCGGACAGGAAAGGGGAAGGGGTGTCTGTAATGAGCTAAAAAGTTAGTCCCTTCAAATAAGGAAAGGAATGTGAGCTGGTATTGATAAGGCCTAGTATTGTGGCGTGCCTGGGCATTTAACAAAAGCAAAAAAGGAGAAAAAGAGAAAAAAGGGAGGGTACTATGAATTAAAGAATAAAAGATTGATCGGGTTATTTGAAGAGAAACATCATATCCCACACTATGTTGTAGTCGGTTCCTGGAACTGCGCTTCTGGCCCACACAACCCATGGGAACCTAAATGTCGTGTTAGTCTATTAAGTAACAACCCGGTGTAGTGGAAAGCTCTGATGTCCTTTTTGTGTTCCTCCACTTGCTAATCCCCTACATGCGCCCCCCCGCACAACCCGCCCCAAGGAAATAACTGCATCTACAGCTCCTTCTGCTGGTCATCTCTATTTTGAGTAGCCAGCTGTCTATTGATATCTCCTCTTAGGTGGCTCGCTGGCATTTCAAAATGGGACCTATCTCCACCCTAATCTTTTCTCATCTGGATACTGGTGCTAACCAGAACCTTTGATTCCTCCACGTGTAGTGGAGTCCTGTTGATTTTATCTCCCCTCCGATGATCACCCTAGTACAAGGCTCTTATCTCTTCCCTGAACAAATGTCATCTACCTCCTTAACAAGTTTCTCTTCTGCCCTTTTCTCCTACCCCCAACTCCTCCACTACATTTACTCAGCAAGGGAAGTGTCTTTTAAGAAATAAGAAAATAAGATTATGCTCTTCATCTGCTTTTTAATCTTACATTACCTTCTCATTTGTATTTGGAATTAAATCCAAACTCATTACCATGCTCTGTAGGGTCCTCATGATCTGGCCCTTGTCCATACCACCAACTAAAGGCACTTTCCAAAAATCTCATTACCATGCTTCAGAGCTCCTAGCTTTTTCCTGTGGCCAGGCCCTTGTACCTGACGTACCCTCTGCCCTGAACTCTGTTTGGCTCTTTGCATGGCTTACCCATCTCATTCTTCAGCTCTCAGTTGAACTTTTTCTTTTAAAAACACCTCTTCTGACCACCCTATCTAAAGCACATTCTTCATAATTTTCTTTTTTTTTTTTTGAGACGGAGTCTTGTCCTGGTCCCCCATGCTGAAGTGCAGTGGCGGGATCTCGGCTCACCGCAACCTCCGCCTCCTGGGTTCAAGCAATTCTTGTGCCTCAGCCTCCTGAATAGGTGGGATTACAAGTGCCCCACCACGCCCGGCTAATTTTTTTTTATATTTTTAATAGAGACTCGGTTTCACCATGTTGGCCAGGCTAGTCTCGAACTCCTGGCCTCAAGTAATCTGCCCTCCTTGGCCTCCCAAAGTGCTGGAATTACAGATGTGAGCCACTGCACCTGGCCTTCCTCTTATAACCTTCTATCTCAGAACCCTGTCTATTTTCTTCATAACACTACAGGCAATATATTGTGTGTATTGACAATATATTATATTGTCAATATATTGTGTGTCTCCCTGGATAGAATGTAAGTTTCATTAGGGACCCTGTCTTTTTGTTCAGTATTATTTTCCCAGTGTCTTGAACAAGCCTTACACCAAAGTAAGGCTTTACTCAATAAATATATATTGAGTACCTGAAGGAAATTACTTCACCTCTATCAGCCTTGGTTTCCTTATCTGTAAAATGGAGATAATAATAATTACTATTATTGTGAGGATTAAAATAACATATAAAGTACCTGGGATACATATAAAGTACACTGGCTGGGCACGGTGGCTCATGCCTTTAATCCCAGCACTTTGGGAGGCCGAGATGGGCAGATCATAAGGTCAGGAATTCAAGACCAGTTTGGCCAATAAATATGGTAAAACCCCGTCTCTACTAAAAATACAAAAAAAATTAGCCAGGTGTGGTGGAGGGCGCCTATAGTCCCAGCTATTCAGGAGGCTGAAGCAGGAGAATCGCTTCAACCCAGGAGGTAGAGGTTGCAGTGAGCCGAGATGGCACCACTGGACTCCAGCCTGGGTGACAGAGCTAGACTCTGTCTCAAAAAAAAAAAAAATCCCCTTTTCTTTCTTTTTTTTTTTTTGAGTCAGGGTCTTGCTCTATCACCAAGGCTGGAGTACAATACACCATCACGGCTCACTGAAGCCTGGACCTCCTGGGCTCAAGGGATCCTCCCATCTCAGCCTCCTGAGTAGCTGGGACTATAGGCACAAGCCACCAGACCTGGCTAATTTTTTTTTCCTTTGGTAGATATGGGGGTCTCCCTATGCTGCCCAGGCTGGTCTTGAACTCCTGGTCTCAAGTAATCCTCCCACCTCAGCCTCCTAAACTGCTGGAATTATAGGCATAAGCTACCCTGCTGGGCCGTCTTTCCTTTCTCTTTAGCAAATATTCAAACAATATATATGTTAACAGTCACATGGGTTGACGCAAGAAATTCAAGAGTCTCCATTTGATAATAGATACAGCTACCATTTACCTAGGGTTTACTGTGAGTCAGACTCCATGCTAAAGGCTTTGTGTGTATCATCTCATTTAATCTTCAGAACAACTTTGTGAAGTAGGAACTATTATTTTCTACTATTTTATCAGTAAACTAGCCAAATAAGTTTGTCTGTAGTCATACAGCATATCACTGTACTTACACTTTAATCATAGTATAAGGTTAACTATTAGGGAAGGAACTTAGAATTCTTTCCCATTCCAACTCCCAGGTTCTTAACTACTGTCTTTCCCATTGAGTTTTTTTCATTTGCTAAGTGCACATGTATTCTTTTTTTTTTTTTTAATTGAGATGGAGTACTGCTGTGTCGCCAGGCTGGAGTACAGTGGCACAATCTTGGCTCACTGCAACCTCTGCCTCCCGGGTTCAAGCAATTCTCATGCCTCAGCCTCTGAATAGCTGGGTTTACAGGCACGCGCTACCACACCCAGCTAATTTTTGTATTTTTAGTAGAGACGAGGTTTCGCCATGTTGGCCAGGATGGTCTCGAACTCCTGACCTCGTGATCCACCCACCTCAGCCTCCCAAAGTGCTGAGATTACAGGCATGAGCCACCATGCCTGGTCACATCCACTTTTCTCATACTCTTCTTGAAATGCTTACTGTGGGCCTGGCAGTGAATATACAGGCTGAATTATTGTACTTGCCCTCAGGGCTAAGTCTAATAGAGATAGTTAGGGTCTAATGGCCCCATGTAAGTGTTTTGTTGCACTAAGCAGTCCCTGAAATGTCATTTTACATTGCCTTTGTTGAGTTCAAACTACTCAGCCTAATAATCAACATTTCTCGGCTGGGCACGGAGGCTTACGCCCGTAATCCCAGCACTTTGGGAGGCCAAGGCAGGTAGATCACCTGAGGTCAGGGGTTCGAGACCATCCTGGCCAACATGGCGAAACCCCATCTCTACTAAAAATACAAAAATTAGCTGGGTGTGATGGCACGTGACTGTAATCCCAGCTACTTGGGAGGCTGAGGCAGGAGAATCGCTTGAACCCTGGAGGTGGAGGTTGCAGTGAGCCAAGATCACACCATTGCACTCCAGCCTGGGCAACAGAGCGAGGTTCCATCTCAAAACAAACAAATTAGCTGGGGCCGGGTGTGGTGGCTCACACCTGTAATCCCAGCACTTTGGAAGGCCAAGATGGGCAGATCACCAGGTCAGGAGTTTGAGACCATCCTAGCCAATATGGTGAAACCTTGTCTCTACTAAAAATACAAAAAAAAAAAAAAAAAAATTTAGCATGGTGGCGTGTGCCAGTGGTCCCAGCTACTCGGGAGACTGAGGCAGGAGAATCACTTGAACTTGGGAGGCAGAGGCTGCAGTGAGCCGAGATCACGCCACTACACACCAGCCTGGCGACACAGCAAGACTCCGTCTCAATAATAATAATAATAATTTAAGTCTAGTTAAACTGAATTCTAACAATGCAACATCGTTGCCCACGTGTTTGCTCTGGCATTTCTCTTTCAGGAGTATATGTACTTCTCGAATAAACTATTTTAAATTGATTTTTATTTTTCTTAAAGAAAAACATGGAGGCTGGGCATGGCAGCTCATACCTGTAATACCAGGCAGGAGAACTGCCTGAACCTGGGAGGCAGAAGTTGCAGTGAGCCAAGAGCATGCCACTGCACTCCAGCCTGGGTGACAGAGTATGACTTTGTCTCAAAAAAAAAAAAAAGAAAGAAAGAAAGAAAGGAAAGAAAGGAAAAGAAAAGAAAAACGTGGAAATGTTTTATAAAGTTAAATAGTTCTAAAAGGCTTGTAACAACAACAACAAAAAAAGTATTTTCTCAGCCTTATTCCACACCAATGCCTCTAGACCTTTACCCCAGAAACAACCAACCACTTTAGTTGTTTTTGCTGGCATTTACACATTTCTATTTTCATAAGGAATTTGTATATACTGTTATTTGTATTTATTTATTTATTTATTATTTTTTTGAGACAGGGTCTCACTCTGTTGCCTAGGCTAGAGTGCAGTGGCTCTATCAGGTATCACTGCAGCCTCAACTGCTCCCATTGAAGCAATCCTATTGCCTCAGCCTCCTGAGTAGCTGGGGCCACAGGCACATGCCACTACACCTGGCAAATTTTTTTCTATTTTTTGTAGAGACAGGGTCTCACTTTGTTGTCCAGGCTGGTCTTGAACTCCTGGGCTCAAGTGATTCCCCCACCTTGGCCTCCCAAAGTGCTGGAATTACAGGCATGAGCCACCGCGCCTGGCCCTTGACCTCCTGGGTTCCAGCAGTCCACTTCCACCTCCTGAATAGCCTCAACTGCATCAGTTGAAGTGATCTTACTGCCTCAGCCTCATGAGTACCTGGGACTACAGGCACACACCACCACACCCAGTAATTTTTAAAGTTGTTCATAGACACAGGGTATTGCTTTGTTACCCAGGCTGGTCTCAAGCTGCTGGACTCAAGCAATCCTCCGCCTCAGCCTTCCAAAGTGCTAGGATTATAGGCATGAGCCACCCCTGTGCCAGACCTATACCGTTATCTTTTGATTAATCCATTTTAGACATTATTTATTGACATCTTATGGTAGGTGAGGTTTAGTTCTCAAACTTTACCATCCTCTCTGCATTTCCTTCTCTAATACCCAATATTACAATTTCTGGTTAAATCAATTATCTGTATTCAGGTCATTATGTCTGTTCATAGCTGAGCATTTCATTCTAGTGACTAGAAATTTTGCAATGAGGCGGGGTGTGGCGGCTCATGTCTGTAATCCCAGCACTTTGGGAGCCCGAGGCAGGTGGATCACCTGAAGTTGGGAGTTTGAGACCAGCCTGGCCAACATGGTGAAACCGTGTCTCTACTAAAAATATAAAAATTAGCTGGGCGTGGTGATGCACGTCTGTAATCCAAGCTACTTGGAGGCTGAGGCATGACAATCGCTTGAACCTGGGAGGTGGAGGTTACAGTGAGCCGAGATTGCACCACTGCACTCCAGCCTGGGTGACAGAGCAAGACTCCGTCTCAAAAAAAAAAAAAAAAAAAAAAAAAAAAAGAAAAGAAAAAAAGAAAGAAATCTTGCAGCTGGGCATGGTGGCTCACGCCTGTAATCCCAGCACTTTGGGAGGCTGAGGTGGGTGGATCACGAGGTCAGGAGTTCGAGACCAGCCTGGCCAATATGGTGAAACCCCATCTCTACTATAAATACAAAAATTAGCCGGGCATGGTGGCGCGTGCCTGTAGTCCCAGCTACTTGGGAGGCTGAGGCAGGAGAATCGCTTGAACCCGGGAGGTGGAGGTTGCAGTGAGCTGAGATCGTGCCACTGTACTCTAGCTGGGGCAACAGAGTGAGATGCTGTCTCAAAAAAAAACAAAAAACAAAAAAAAGAAATCTTGCAATGATGTGCCTTGGTGTGCATCTACTTTCTTTCTTTCTTTTTTTTTTTTTTGACACGGAGTCTCACACTGTCGCCCAGGCTGGGTGCAGTGGCGCAATCTTGGCTCACTGAAAGCTCCGCCTCCTGGGTTCACGCTATTCTCCTGCCTCAGCCTCCGGAGTAGCTGAGACTACAGGCGCCCGCCACCACGCCCGGCTAATTTTTTGTGTTTTTAGTAAAGACGGGGTTTCACCATGTTAACCAGGATGGTCTCGATCTCCTGACCTCATGGTCCGCCCGCCTTGGCCTCCCAAAGTGCTGGGATTACAGGTGTGAGCCACCATGCCCAGCCAATGTGTGCATCTACTTTCATTAATTGGGCTGAGCCACAGTCTGGCAAGTTGTTACCTTCAGTCTGGGAAATGTTTTTGAATTATTCATTGACTATTTCACTTGCCACGTCTGTTGTTTCTTTCTGGAACTCCTGTATAGAGATAGCAGATTTCTACCACCCAGCAATTACTACCATTAATATTTTGATGTATTTCTTTCCAGTTGTCTATTTGTATATTTTCAGTAATTGAGATCATAATTGAATATATAGGGTTTTTTTGGTCTTTCCCCCCCTTTTTATGGAGAACAGAGTCTCACTATGTTGCCCAGGCAGGTCTTGAACTCCTGGACTCAAACTATCGTGGACTCAAACTATCATTCTGCCTCTACCTCCTTAAGTGCTGGGATTACAGGGGTAAGCCACTATGCTCAACCTGGATATAGAATTTTGCATCCTGAATTTTTATTTAACGTAAGAATTCTTCCAAGACTCTCCAGACCTCATCTCTACAAAAAATGAAAATAGTCTCAGCCATGGTGGCACTCACCTGTGGTCCCAACTACTCGGGAGGCTGAGCTGGGAGGATCACTTGAGCCTGGGAGGTGAGGCTGCAGTGAGTCATTATCATACCAGTGCACTCCAGCCTGGGTGACAGAGCAAGATCTTATCTTGAAAAAAAAAATGGGGGCCAGGAGCGGTGGCTCGGGCCTGTAATCCCAGCACTTTGGGAGGCCGAGGCAGGTGGATCACGAGGTCAGGAGATCGAGACCATCCTGGCTAACACGGTGAAACCCCATCTCTACTAAAAGTACAAAAAAAATTAGCTGGGTGTGGTGGCGGGCGCCTGTAGTCCCAGCTACTTGGGAGGCTGAGGCAGGAGAATGGCATGAACCCGGGAGGCGGAGCTTGTAGTGAGCTGAGATTGCACCACTACACTCCAGCCTGGGTGACAGAGCAAGACTCCGTCTCAAAAAAAACAAAAAACAAAAACACCTTTAGCTGGTTTTAATTACTCAACAAATGTTTACTGAGCTTAGGTGCATACCCTGTGATAGTCACAAAAATGAATTTAAAAAGTCCTGCCCTGCCAGGCATGGTGGCTCACAGTTGTAATCCCAGCACTTTGGGAGGCCGAGGCTGGCAGATCGCCTGAGGTCGGGAGTTCAAGACCAGCCTGACCAACATGGAGAAACTCTGTCTCTACTAAAAATACAAAATTAACTGGGCATGGTGGCACATGCCTGTAATCTCAGTTACTTGGAAGGCTGAGGCGGGAGAACTGCTTGAATCTGGGAGGCAGAAGTTGCCGTGAGCCGAGATCATGGCATTGCACTCCAGCCTGGGCAACAAGAGCAAAACTCAGTCTCAGAAAAAACAAAAACAAAACAAACAAACAAAAAAACAGGCAGACAGGGTCTCACTCTGTCACCCAGGCTGGGGTGTAGTGGCATGATCTCGGCTCACTGCAGCCTTTGCCTCCCGGATTCAAGGGAGTCTTCTGCCTCAGTGTCCCAAGTAGCTAGGACTACAGGTGTGCACCACCAAACCCGGCTGCTTTTTGTATTTTTAGTTTTTTTTTTTTTTTTTTTTGAGACAGAGTTTTGCTCTTGTTGCCCAGGCTGGAGTGCAAGGGTGCAATCTCAGCTCACTGCAACCTCCACCTCCCAGGTTTAAGTGATTCTCCTGCCTCAGCCTTCCGAGTAGCTAGGATTACAGGCCTGCACCACCACACCCGGCTAATTTTGTATTTTTAGTAGAGACGGGGGTTTCTCCATGTTGGTCAGGCTGGTCTCGAACTCCTGATCTCAGGTGATCCGCCTGTCTCAGCTTCCCAAAGTGCTGGGATTACAGGTGTGAGCCACCGCGCCCAGCCGCTACTTTTTGTATTTTTAGTAGAGACGGGATTTTGCATTGTTGGCCAGTCTGGTCTCCAACTCCTGGCCTCAAGTGATCCAGCTGCCTCAGCCTCCCAAAGTGCTGGGATTACAGGTGTGAGCCACCACGCCTGGCCTTAACCTTTCATATTCATAATAAACAATAGATTAGGAGTGATGTCTTAGTCATTTTTGTATCCCACCTAGCAGCAAGCACAGTGCTTAGTAAACACTTCTCAAATGCATATTTGCTGAATCTGATCAAATCGGTGGATGTAACTACCATTTACAGGAAATATAAGAAACAAACATGTTAAGTCACATTGTAAGAATACAGTCAGCAGGCTGGGCACGCTGGCTCACGCCTGGAATCCCAGCACTTTGGGAGACTGAGGCGGGTGGATCGCTTGAGGTCAGGAGTTCAAGACCAGCCTGGGCAACGTGGTGAAACCCCGTCTCTACTAAAAAATACAAAAAAATTAGCCGAGCTTGGTGGTGCACGCCTGTAATCCCATCTACTCAGGAGGCTGAGGCAGGAGAATCACTTGAACCCAGGAGGCGGAGGTTATAGTGAGCCGAGGTCACTCCATTGCACTCCTCTTGTTGCTCCTGGGCAGCAAGAGCGAAACTCCATCTCAAAAAAATAAAAATAAAAAGAATACAGTCAGCAAAATTTAGAATGTTGGGAACACTATAGGATAAATGACTCAACTCCTTTGACAAATAAATTGCAAAATAAAAAAGAGGAGGGAGAGGCCAGGTGCAGTGGCTCACGCCTGTAATCCTAGCACTTTGGCAGGCCAAGGCAGATGGATCACCTGTCAGGAGTTTAAGACCAGCTTGACCAACATGGCGAAACCCCATCTCTACTAAAAAAATACAAAAATTGGCCAGGCGTGGTGGGTCATGCCTGTAATCCCAGCACTTTGGGAGGCCGAGCCGGATGGATTGTGTGGTCAGGAGATTGAGACCAGCCTGACCAATATGGTGAAACCCCATCTCTACTAAAAATACAAAAATTAGCCAGGCATAGTGGCATGCACTTGTAATCCCAGCTACTCAGGAGGCTGAGGCAGGAGAATCTCTTGAACACGGGAGGCAGAGGTTGCAGTGAGCCGACATTCTGCCACTGCACTCTAGCCTGGGTGACAGAGCAGGACTCCGTCTCAAACAAACAAACAAAATAAATAAATAAATAAATAAATAAATAAATAAAAGATTTAGAATTGACAAGCTATGGGCCAGGCACGGTGGCTCACGCCTATAATCCCAGCACTTTGGGAGGCCAAGGCAGGTGGATCACCTGAGGTCAGGAGATTGAGACCATCCTGGCTAACACAGTGAAAACCCCGTCTCTACTAAAAATACAAAAAATTAGCTGGGCATTGTGGCGCATGCCTGTAATCCCAGCTACTTGGGAGGTTGAGACAGAATTGCTTAAACCAGGGAATCGGAGGTTGCAGTGAGCCAAGATTGCACCACTGCACTCCAGCCTGCTGACAGAGTGAGACTTCATCTCAAAAAAAAAAGTAAACAAACAGGCCGGCGCGGTGGCTCATGTCTGTAATCCCAGAACTTTGGGAGGCTGAGGCAGGAGGATCATCTGAGGTCAGGAGTTCAAGACCAGCCTGACCAACATTGTGAAACCCGGTCTCTACTAAAAAAAAAAAAAAAAATTAGCAGGGCATGGTGGTGGGCCCCTGTAATCCAAGCTACTTGGGAGGCTGAGGCAGGAGAATCACTTAAACCTGAAAGGCAGAGGTTGCAGTGAGTTGAAATCACGCCACTGCACTCCAGCCTGGGCAACAGAGTGAGACTGTCTCAAAAAAAAAAAAAAAAAAAAAAAGAAAAGAAAGAAAAGAAAAGAAAGTGAACAAACAAAAATTATTCTAAAAAATATGGATAAATCTCACCAGATAGTTAAACAAAGCCAGACCCAAAAGAGTATATACTGTATGAGTGCATTTATATTAAACTGTAATCCAGGCAAAACTAATTTATTGTGTTAGAAGTCAGGTTAGTGTTTACCCTTGGGGTGACAGTGACTGAAACGGAGAATAAGGCAGAGCTTCTGGGTGTGTTTACAGGGATGTGTTCAGTTTTTGAAAATTCACTGAGCTGTACACTTATCACTTGTTTACTTTTCTGTTTGCAATACTTCAATAAACTCTTCAAAAAAGATCATCTTCAAAAGATACAAAACAAAATAAAAAAAGGAAACATATTAATTAAATGAAGTGTTTTGTTCTTGTTTGGATCCTGATTTGAACAAACCCATTGTGAAAAAGAAACATTTGAGGCAATCAGGAAAGTGGGAACACTCAGGAAAGTGGGAACACTGACTACATATTTGATTATATTAAATAATTATCTTAATGTTTTAAGTATGTTAGTGCCTGTGGATTTTCTTTAAGTCCTTTGAGACATATACTGAAATACTGAGATGAAATATTAATAATATGATGCCCGGTATTTGGTTCAGAATAATTTAGTGGAGGTTGAGGGAGTTGGAGGAAAAGATAGAACAATATTGGCCATGAACTGGTAATTATGGAAGCTGAATAATGAATGGATGCCTGGGGTATTTATTTATGGACATTGTTTGGCTGTGGAATTCTAAAATCGTATTTTTCAAAATGTTTTTATCCTAAATCACAAAATCTATGTTGACATTATTGGGCTATAGAATTCTAAAATCATATTTTGCCTGGAATAGTTATACTATTTTCTTTTATTTTGTTTATGTTTGACTACTTGTTCCATAATACAAAGTTTTCTCTTTTTTCTTTTTTTTTTTCTTTTTGAGACAGAGTTTCGCTCTTGTTGCTCAGGCTGGAGTGCAATGGCGCAATCTCAGCTCACTGCACTCTCCACCTCCCAGGTTTAAGCAATTCTCCTGCCTCAGCCTCCTGAGTAGCTGGGATTACAGGCATGCACCACCACACCTGGCTAATTTTGTGTTAATAGAGACGGGGCTTCTCCATGTTGGTCAGGCTGGTCTCCAACTCTCGACCTCAGGTGATCCACCTACCTCGGCCTCCCAAAGTGCTGGGATTACAGGCGTGAGCCACCATGCCCAGCTTTTTTTCTTTTTTTCTTTTTTTTAATGAGACAGAGTTTTGCTCTTGTTGCCCAGGCTGGAGTGCAATGGCATGATCTTGGCTCACTGCAACCTCTGCCTCCTGGGTTCAAGCAATTCTCCTGCCTCAGCCTCCTGGGTAGCTGGGACTACAAACGCCTGCCACTGTACCCGGCTAATTTTTTGTATTTTTAGTAGAGTCAGGGTTTCATCACATTGGCCAGGCTGGTCTCGAACTCCTGACCTTAGGTGAGCCATCCGCCTCAGCCTCCCCAAGTGCTGGGATTACAGGCGTGAGCCACCGTGCCCCTCCCAATAAAAAGTTTTAAAATGTATATTAGTTTTAAGTACAATACTATGGTAATAAAATACCTAAAAGCAACATGAATTTTTAAAAATGTTTTATAGATAAGTGATTAATTATAAATTTGTTTGTTAGGAGTTTTCCTAAATGACTCATCTTTGCTAGTCCTTAAAGGTAAATTTGAGTTACTTTATGGGCAGGATCTATAATTCGTATTTTCCACACACAGTTAAGACAACTCTTGATTTATGCATTCAACAAATATTATGGGCCCAGGGCTTGCTTTCAATGTTGAGGATACACCAGAGAAAAGAGCAACCAGGTTTCTATGCTTGTGGTATTTACATGTTAGTGAGAGAGATAAATGAGAAAATTAAGACACATAAAATAAGGCTGGGTGCGGTGGTTTTCATGCCTGTAATCCCAGCACTTTGGGAGGCCGAGGTGGGCAGATCACCTGAGGTCAGGGGTTCGAGACCAGCTTGGCCAACATGGTGAAACCCAGTCTCAACTAAAAATACAAAAAAATCAGCAGGGCGTGGTGGCTCATGCCTGTAGTCCTAGCTACTTGGGAGGCTGAGGCAGGAGAATCGCTTGAACCCGGGAGGCAGAGGTTGCAGTGAGCTGAGATCACTCCACTGCACTCCAGCCTGGGCCACAGAGGGAGACCCCGTTTTAAAAAGATAAAAAAGGCCGGGTGCAGTGGCTCATGCCTGTAACCCCAGCACTTCGGGAGGCTGCGGTGGGTGGATCACCTGAAGTCAGGAGTTTGAGACCAGCCTGGCCAACATGGTGAAACCCTGTCTCTACTAAAAATACAAAAATTAGCTGAGCGTGGTGGCAGGTGCCTATAATCCTAGCTACTCAGGAGGCTGAGGCAGGAGAATCGCTTGAACCTGGGAGGTAGAGGTTGCAGTGAGCCAAGACCACACCATTGCACTCCAGCCTGGGTGACAGAGTGAGACTCTGTCTCAATTAAAAAAAAAATGTCTTTTGAGACATTTTTCTTTTGAGAAAAAGAAAATTGATGGCTAAAACCAATGTTCCTCAGCTGTTCATTAAAGAATTGGCATTGCTCAAGAGCCTTAAAAAATAATACAAATAAAAATGATGTTTATGAAAAATGTTTAAGGTCTTGTAAGAATTGTTGTTTGAGACAGGGTCTGGCAGTCTTGCCCAGGCTGGAGTGCAGTGGCATGATTTTGGCTCACTGCAACTTCCACCTCCTGGGCTCAAGCCATCCTCACACCTCAACATCCAGAGTAGTTGGGACCGCAGGCATGCACCACCATGCCCGGCTAATTTTTTGTTTTGTTTTGATTTTATCTTTATTTTAAATAGAGATGAGGTCTATGTTGCCCAGGCTGGTCTCGAACTCCTAAGCTCAAGTGATCCTCCTGCTTTGGCCTCCCAAAGTGCTAGCATTACAGGCATGAGCTACTGCACCTGCTGCCTAATTTAGTTTTTATTTTTTTATATAGACAAGGCCTGACTATGTAGCCAAAGCTGGTCTTGAACTCCTGAGCTCAAGCACCCTCTCACCTCTGCCTCCCAAATTGTTGGGATTACAGGCATAAGCCACCGCGTCTGGCCCTAACTTTAAATTTTCCTTTGTTATTAACTACCTAGGTATGCTTTCTCTTTAGCTATTTGTACAAAATTTTGAGTTGGTGGATTCAGAATTCAGATTTTGATTTTGAATATATAACAATAGGCTAGATTAGTTCAAAAGACATTTTTTTTTTTTGAGATGGAGTTTCACTCGTTGTCCAGGCTGGAGTGCAATGGCTTCATCTCGGCTCACCGCAACCTCCGCCTCCCGGGTTCAAGCAATTCTCCCGCCTCAGCCTTCCGAGTGCTGGGATTACAGGCATGCGCCACCATGTCCAGTTAATTTTGTATTTTTAGTAGAGACGGGTTTTCTCCCTGTTGGTCAGGCTGGTCTCGAACTCCCAACCTCAGGTGATCCGCCCACTTTGGCCTCCCAAAGTGCTGGGATTACAGGCGTGAGTCACTGTGCCCAGTCTCAAAAGACATTTTAAGTTTTATTTTCGAGACAGGGTCTCACTCTGTAACCTAGGCCGGAGTGCAGTGGCACGATCTCAGCTCACTGCAACCTCTGCCTCCCAGGTTCAAGCGATTCTTGTGCCTCAGCCTCCCAAGTAGCTGGGACACAGGTGCACACCATCATGCCCAGCTAATTTTTTAATTTTTCTGTAGAGACAGGGTTTCACCATGTTAGCCAGGCTGGTCTCAAACTCCTCACCTCAAGTGATTCACCTGCCTCATCCTCCCAAAGAGCTGGGATTACAGGTGTGAGCCACTGCACCCGGCCTATTTAAAAAAAAAAAAAAAAAAAATTCTTGCCCGGGCGCGGTGGCTCACGCCTGTAATCCCAGCACTTTGGGAGGCCAAGACAGGCGGGTCACCTGAGGTTGGGAGTTGGAGACCAGCCTGATCAACATGGAGAAACCCGTCTCTACTAAAAACACAAAAATTAGCTGGGTGTGGTGGCGCATGCCTGTAATCCCAGCTACTTGGGAGGCTGAGGCAGGAGATTTGCTTGAACCTGGGAGGCGGAGGTTGCGCTGAGCCAAGATCATGCCATTGCACTCCAGCCTGGGTGACAAGAGCAAAACTTCGCCTCAAAAAAAAAAAAAAAATTCCTTTTCTTTCCTCTGCTAAAACATCTGGGGGGACAAAAGATATTATTTTTCTGAACATTACCAATTAGGAAATAAACGCCAATCTGTCACCACTGGGCTTCCTTTTTAAGTTTTTTTCTTTCAATCATTAGGAACTCCTGACTCAGCTCTATGGTGAACTCTATTCTATCTGGGCTAATGGAAGGAACTTACAGCACAGATAAACACTAATATTTGGCTTCCAGTATATCAGAATACTTATATTTGAATATGTGTCTAGTTTTCCTATCTAAGGCAAAGAATGACTTCAGCACATTACTTTTTCTGCTTCTAAAAAAGTTGTAGGCCGGGCATGGAGGCTCACGCCTATAATCCCAGCGCTTTGGGAAGCTGAGGTAGGGGGGATCATGAGGTCAAGAGATCGAGACCATCCTGGCCAGCATGGTGAAATCCCGTCTCTACTAAAAATACAAAAATTAGCTGGGCATGGTGGCGTGCGCCAGTAGTCCCAGCTACTCTGGAGGCTGAGGCAGGAGAATCACATGAATCCGGGAGGTGGAGGTTGCAGTGAGCCGAGATCGCGCCACTGCACTCCAGCCTGGTGACAGAGCGAGACTCCATCAAAAAAAAAAAAAGAAAGAAAAGAAAAAAAAGTTGTCTAGGTGGTTTACACCTTATACTTGTTTGAGTGAGAGTGGGAAAGATTACACCCTAGACCTTCACATTTCCTACTTTTTCTCATCATTCTGGGGTCTGCCTGAATGTCACTTCCTCAAAGAGGCCTTTCCTGACCACCTGTTCCTTCATATCACTTACTCACTTGATTATTATCTGTTTTTCCCACACAGCTAGAAGGTAATCTCCATCAAGACAGAAACTTTTGTCTTTTTTGTCCACTGCTGTATTCCCAGCACCTTTATAATACCTGGTATCTGTAAGGCATTCAACAAATATTTGTCAAGTCATAAATGAGATGAGCAAATCACAGGTTTTGGAATAAGACAGTCCTGGGTTCAAATTACAACTCCACTCTTTTTGTCCAATTGTTGGCAAGTTACTCAACCTCTCTCTGCCACAGCTTCCTCATCTCTGGTAGGTGAGGAAATATCCATTACAGAGGGTGGTCATGATGACTAATGAAGGAGCCATGTACAATGCCAGACACAGAGTAGACTCTCAAAATTGTTACTTTTCTTTCCATCCACCTCCTCTTTATTGAGATGATAGTTATGAGACTATATTAATATTAATCTTTCTTATCCAGGACATCTACTCCAACCAGAGGGAAATTTATCATGAAGCTAATGAAGTTTAAACTTCAGGGCTGCTCACTTGCACAGGCTCCAAACTGGGAGTTGTAGAGGGAAAGCCAGTTGTTGTCTGGAAGCATTTTTTTTTTTTTTGAGACATAGAGTCTCATTTTGTTGCCCAGGCTGGAGTGCAGTGGCGTGATCTTGGCTCACTGCAACCTCCGCCTCCAGGGTTCAAGTGATTCTCCTGCCTCAGCCTCCTCAGTAGCTGGGATTACAGACGCATGCCACCACGCCTGGCTAATTTTTGTATTTTTAGTAGACACGGGGTTTCACCATTTTGGTCAGGCTGGTCTCGAACTCCTGATCTCGTTATCCGCCCGGCTTGGCCTCCCAAAGTGCTGGGATTACAGGCATGAGCCACCACGCCCGGCCATCTGGAAGCATTTTTATGTAAGCATTTCTAATAAGTAGCCTAAAGAGATCTCAGGAAAAAAAAGGGTACTAATCTCCAAGTCTCGAGTATTTGTTGTGATGTATTTTCTCTCTATAGTAATCTTCTGATTGCTAATTTTGTATTTATAATTTGTATTTTATGTCTCAAAGAGGTCCCCCAAATTGTATATGTTTCAAGCCCTCCAAGTCTGAATCTACCCCAGCCCATTTATAGATTCCATTAATGGAGCATAAATGTATTCAGAAAGGCTGCATTAACACTCTCAGAGGAGCTGCTTCAAGGTGATTGACTACTCTGCATTGGGACTGGTAATTTAAAGGTTCTTAAAACCATGCACTTGCAAACACCACTAGGAGGCTTGCCATAATTTTTACCTGTTTTCATCCAAAGGTTTGCCTTTAGGTGAAACCGCACTGTTAAAAAGATCGTGGGTACGTCTTCGATAAAGCATCAACTTGATTAAGGAACCCTCCTACTGAATTCCCATTTAAAGCAATACTTGGACTAAGGACACCGTTTTTGGCTGCAGTCTTGATCGTCTGTCAATCAGAAACCTAAAAGTACTTAAGCTGGCAAGTCACCATCCCTAATAGCATTCTTCCTTAAAGACTCCCATAAGGTATTATGGAAAGTTAGATTCATAACAACTATTAAGTTGTTCGTGGGTGCAAAGCCCCATAAAGCCACTGGGGAGAAAATTCTTTGTTTAAAAAGTAACCACTGAAGCCGACTGACATTAGTAGTATTCCTAGTACGGAGTACTAACAAGAGTAGTAGTTTCTACTCTGGATTTGAAGCCTTGTTTTGCTGCGGCGCCCGTCCCATCCGCACCTTCCTCTTAAGAGAGCTGCTAACTTCCCCAAGGATGGAAACGTCCCCCTGGGTCCTGGCCTCTCTATCGCTGACCCCTGCGTCTGAATTTCCCCCACGCCGCACTCGAGCCTTGTCTCCAGCGCATCTGTGCCTTCGCGGTCCACGTCCCCACCGCGCTCTAGAGGGAGCCCGCGGGCCGCGCGCCGGCCGCGGATTCATTTTACGTGAGGCCGCCGCGACCACGAACCTTGTTCCAACACCTGCAGGGTCCGGCACGCTAGTCAGTGGGGGTGCCTCAGAAAACATAGCCCCGTGTGCCCTCACTGGATTTATGAGCGGCCCCTCGCCCCCTCACAGTCAGACACACGTCGCCACCCTCACAAGTGCGGCCGGTGGGATCTAGCTGGGACCCTCCCCGCCTGGGAAAGTCTGGGTGCTGGCTCCTAAAGCGCCCCGGCCAAACCCCTGTCCCTCCAGTCCGCCTGCTCAGGCCTCGGCTGTCCGCGGTCTTCACCGTCCTCGCCTGCGTCCTGGCCCCATCCGGCTCCAGGCAAAACCCGGAGCAGCTACCTCTCCGCAGCTCCCGGGAGACCGCGCGGCGCCGCGGCTAGAGCATGCGCAGTGCGCAGGGCCGGCTCGAAGCGCAAGCAGGAAGCGTTTGCGGTGATCCCGGCGACTGCGCTGGCTAATGCGGTACCGGCTAGCGTGGCTTCTGCACCCCGCACTGCCCAGCACCTTCCGCTCAGTCCTCGGCGCCCGCCTGCCGCCTCCGGAGCGCCTGTGTGGGTAAGCGGAATGGAGCGCCCGGGCCCTCGGGCCCCGTGGGTCACAGCGGTTTGGCGCTCGGGTTGCAAAGTGGTGATTCAGCACTTAAAGCCGCCACCGCTGCCCCTCACGCCGCCCGTCCCGCCGGCCTGGGGCCCGTACTGCCGCGCTGAGGCCGCCCCAGGGCCCGGAAGAGCGGCTCGCCAGGCGGGAGCCAGAGGCCTGGTCCAGAGTCGGGGACGTCCCTTGGGCTGGTGAGGGGCCGGGGCCGCTACCCGGGGCCACGGGGCGTGTGCCACTAGTGCGGGGGGCGCAGGGGCGGACAGAGTCACCCGGCCTGCACCTGGGAGCCGCGCCGCGTCACTCTCCCGGAGTCCGCCTGTGAGGGGGCCGGGAACCTGAGGCGGACTCGAGCCGTGGGGTAAAGGAATCCGGCGACTTCGGGGGGACCGCTTCTCACCTTGCCCTCAGCCCTGCCCTTTTCTCCGGGCACTGAGTTTCCAGGACCGTGTGGAATGCCCGCGCTGGGAAAAAAGTTTGCCTGCCTCCCGCCTTGGAAGACGAGTGTGGGGTTTCCTATCGGGGGACATTTAGGAGCCAAAAGATACCTCGGGATCCTCTACAGCAGCTCCCTTGTTTTACGTCGGAGACAACCGGAGCTCCGAGAGATGGCTTGATTTCCCAGCAACTGCCGAGATTGTGGCAAAACCAGGATTAGGACACAGGTTTTTTGCCATCCGGCGGCGTGCCCTCTCCACTGCACCGTTGATCTGCGTACGCTAGGCGTTTTCAGGCTTGTAGTGAACGCTGAATACTTTTTACTACGAATGGAAGAAGATAGGCAGTATTATCTTGCCCTCCCTAGAAACGTTATTTGAACCCCTGCTGGTTTTAATCAGTAATAGCCAGCACCTACTAAGTGCAGGGCACTGTGCTGGACCCTCTATGTAAAGTATGTGTCTGCCTTCCAAGGAACTTTGACTTGATTGGAGCGGATTGGGATGCCACGGGAATTGAGATAGCTACAAGGGTGTGTTGATGAGGGTCAGAAGATGGGTAGTATGGGTAGTGTGTGGGGCCAGAGATGGGGGGGTAGGCTGGCTTTGGAAGGAATGGCAGAAAGGTTGGAGTGAGGGCTGGCGTGGGCGTAATCCAGCCTAGATATGCGGGCAGTTTGTGTTGGGGGAGCAGTGAGCCGATTAGTCTGGTTGAAGCTTTATAGAATTTCCTTGGGGTAATTAGAAGGACACAAGTCCTGTATTATAACAGTAGGGTAATGCTGGCCTGGGTCTTGAATTTTAGTTGGGATTTTCCCAATGCGTAGTAGGTAGGGAGCCATTAAAGTTTTTGAGCTGGAAAGTTATCTGATGGAACTGGGGGTTTAGGAAAGTAGTTTGGTGGCTGTGTGCAGGATGTCAGGAAGTGGAGAGAGTCCTAAGGCAGAGAAACCTGTTGGGACTTAGTCTTTACTGCCTGTATTAGGATGGTAGCAGTGGGGCACTAAGATAAGCTAATACAAATGAAGACTCTATGGAACTTGTTCTCCTCTGTTTTCCACTACATCACAAAATCTCCTATAATGTGCAAAAGACCCCTGAACTTAGAGAATCAGGTGGTAAGCACAGGCAGGATGCCTCCTTTTGTCCTCTTTTGTGTCAGTCTGCTTTTGTTCTAAATTCATTACTGATAGGCTAGGCTTAGCTGTCTCCATACTGTCTCCAGCATATAGCATTTGTGATTTTTAAAGAAAGCACCAATTTTAAGTTTTGTATAACTAAGTGGTTTGTATGTTCTAGTTAAAATTACATTTTCTCTGTAGTTATAAAGTCCGGTCGACCATCCAGAGTTTTAAGATATGTTTTTCTCAAAGATGGAAATTTGAGAGATTCAAAGCATAATGAATGAGATGAGCCAGCTAGAAAGCTCTACCCTAAAATCAGTGAGTGAGGCTTTTGAGGAAAATACAGGTCCAACCAAAGGGATTAGGGCATAGTTTTAGGAAGGAAAGCACTAACATCTGAAGCTACCACATATTCTCATCTTAAGGAATGCAATCAGCCCTACTGTACATAGTCGGAAGAATGTCTTAACAGAGATAGCCACACAGCTATTTGCTGGAAGAGCTGGGATTTAACCCATGTCTATCTGGCATCGGAGCCTGAGCTCTTAACTGTTATGTATTTGCAAACACAAGTACTGCCTCTGCTGGTATTTGGGCATTCATTTTCTGGTCTAACCTCTTGAGACAGAGATGGTCTTAAAGCATTTATGTAAGATCAATCCATTTACAGAGTAACCTCCTTGTTCTGTGTTCAGCTGTATTTTATAACTTGGGACTGTGTGGAATTATCTGAACTACTGGGGCACCTGGAGATAATAGCCCATTCCCTGGCAACAACTTGAGCCACCTGGGCATCAGTCATCTCACTTTGCAGGCAGCCCTACTTTGCATTTCCCTGTTCCATAGGCTTAGGAAACAGTGGTATGTCAGTTGGGACTATCAACATTCAAGCTTTTAAACTACTGTCAATCAGAAAAATGCCTTTTAATAGTGTAAAAGAACAGGGTACCCCTGAAGTTTCTTTAACCTAATCCACACATTCTGCCTGTCTTGAAAGTTAGGGTTGAGGCCAGGTGGGGTGGCTCATGCCTGTAATCCCAACACTTTGACAGGGCGAGGTCGGGGGGATCACTTGAGGTCAGGAGTTCAAGACCAGCCTGGGCAACATGGTGAAACCCCATCTCTACTAAAAATACAAAAAAATTAGCCGGGCGTGGTGGTGGGCGCTTGTAATCCCAGCTACTCATGAGGCTGAGGCAGGAGAATCGCTTGAACCCGGGAGGCTGAGGCAGGAGAATCGCTTGAACCCAGGAGGCGGAGGTGCAGTGAGCTGAGATCGTGCCACTGCACTCCAGCCTGGGTGACTGAGCGAGACTGTGTCTTAAAAAAAAAGAAGTTAGGGTTGGGGACAGTCTCCCCAGGGTAGGGGAGAAAAAGTTCAGTATGTTTTCTTTTTTTTAAAGTTCGAGACAGGGTTTCACTCTGTCGCCCAGGCTGGAGTGCAGTGATGTGATCTCAGCTCACTGCAGCCTTCATCTCTTGGGTTCAAGTGATCCTCCCACCTCAGCCTCCTGAGTAGCTGGGACTGCAGGCTCATGCCACCACCCCACAACTAATTTTTGTATTTTTGGTAGAGATGGGGTTTTGTCATGTTGCCCAGGGTGGTCTCAAACTCCTGGGCTGAAGCAATCCCCCTGCCTCCCAAAGTGCTGGGGTTACAGGCATGAGCCACTGTGCCAGGCCCAGTATATGTTTCATAAACACTGGTTTCCTTTCTGTTTTTCTGTTGGTATTTTATATCTCCTAAACATGTAGCCAGAGGATCAGGCTACCTTTTAGCCAGGATGACAAGGCTAGAGCACTTTCCCTCCACAGGGGTAGATCCTCTATAGATATGTTAGGTTCTGGAGCCTTCTCATTTGGCTTGTCTTCAGTCTGTTTTCACTGTTCTGTTAGTTTAGACATTATTTGAATGTCTACTCTGTAGTGATCACACACTGTGTCCAGTACTATGTAAATGCAAAGATAACCATAAATCTTGTCCTCAAGGAGCTTTCAGTAATAAACAGTAAACTGCTTTACCTCTGACCTTTTACTAGACACCTCCACTTTTATGTTTTGTTGTTTCTTTCAATTAATTTTGAAAAACAACTTAGTATTTTATCACCATACTGATTACTTTTTTAAAAAGTGGGACTCACAAAATTATTTTATTCTTCTCAAAGAACTGTTTAGTTTCTTTTTGCCTATTAAAAGTGTAACTTTTTTTTTTTTTGAGACTGAGTCTTGTTCTGTTGCCCAGGCTGGAGAGTGACACGATCTTGGCTCACTGCAACTTCCACCTCCCGGGTTCAAGTGATTCTTCTGCCTCAGCCTCCAGAGTAGCTGGGATTACAGGTGTGTGCCACCACACACAACTAATTTTTGTATTTTTAGTAGAGCTGGGATTTCACCATGATGGCCAGGCTGGTCTTGAACTCCTGACTTCAGGTGATCTGCCCACCTTGGCCTCCCAAAGTGCTCGGATTACAGGCGTGAGCCACTGCGCTCGGAATAACTTTTTAAAGTAGGACTCACAATCTGCTTTCTGAAGGGAAGGCATCACACTCTGCCTGACACATAGTAGGTACTCAGTACATATTTACTGCATAACTTAATTGATTAATGGTCTTTTTTCAAAACAATTTTTTTCTGTAGAGTCCTTAGTTTTGCTATGTTGTTATCATTTTTTCAGTTTAGCTTGAAAATGAGAGTTTTCAGTTTAGCTTGAAAATCTTTGAATCTTTTTCCCTCATTGCCTATTCCCAAGACCCAATCCTCCTGAGTCTTTCATCCTAAAGATTCCTAAAGTTTCTTGGAGTGATCTTGACCCTCATCACCATCCTAGTTCAGGCCATGATCATCTTCGTAACATCTTACATCAGTGAGATTATCTCACCTGAACAGGTTTTAGAACTGACTTTTCCAGCCTTCTGTCTCCCTACTAGTTGATTCTTATCATCACATCAGATTAATAAACCACTTTTCCCAAGCTGTTGTCTCGCCTAAATATCACCAGTGGTTCTGTGCTATTTCAAGATCAAGTTCAAACTTCTTGACCCAGCATGTAAGCATTCTGTTGGCTGGCTTAGCCCAACTTTTCAGCCTAACTCTTCTCCAGTCAGACTTACCAATTTGCTGTCTCCTTTTACATGACCTATTCATTCCCAATTCCGAGATGCCCTTTCTGTCTTTTCTTTATATGACTAAATCCTTTATTCTTTTTAGGCCTTGTTATACAGGTCACACAATTACTCTTCCTTTTTCTCAACTTAATAATTTTTAAAAACATTGTGAAACATCTATTTGATGTTTATATATTGCCTCTTATTTTTTTACTCTCTTATTTAATATTGTACATGCCAGAGTATATAGGACAAAGAAGAAAAAAACACCTGTGTACCATCTACTTTAGGAAACAAACATTTCCAGCAACTTTGAACCTGTCTGTGCTCACCTGTCCAATTATAACTCTGCTCCTCCCCTGTAAAGGTATTGTTATTATTATTATTATTATTTTTTTTTTTGAGAAAGAGTCTGCCCTTGTTGCCCAGGCTAGAGTACAGTGGCGCAATCTCGGCTCACTGCAACCTCCATCTCCCAGCTTCAGGCGATTCTCCTGCCTCAGCCTCCCAAGTAGCTGGGACTACAGGCGCGTGCCACCACGCCCGGCTAATTTTTGTATTTTTAGTAGACATGGGGTTTCACCATGTTGCCCAGGCTGGTCTTAAACCCCTGACCTCAGGTGATCCACCCACCTCAGCCTCCCAAAGTGCTGGGATTACAGGCGTGGGCCACCGTGCCCGGCTGTATTATTCTATATTTGGATAACAATTTCCTTAGTTTTCTTTATAGTTTTATCACATTTGAATACTTCTTAAGCAGTATATTGTTTAGTTTTATTGTTTATTTTAGTTTTATAGCTTTTGACCTTTATTGCAAACTTTTCTGAGTTACTTTTTTTCATTTAACTTTCATTTAACATCATTCATAAAGATGTATGAGTTCACTGCTGAATGGCAGTCATGCAAGTATGCCCTGGTATCATATTGATCATTGCAAAAATTCTGTAAGATAGGCCTAATCTATATTCTGACAACTCCCAAATGTATTTCTCTAGCCAGAACCTCTCCCTCAAATTTCAGGTTTGAGTAATAAACTTCCTACTCAACAATGTGAGTCACACTGGTCTACTTGCTTGACTTGCTCTTACCTCAGATCATTTGCATTGTTTTCCCTCTGCTGAGAACACCCTGCTGCTAGTAAGAATGGCGAGAGCTTTGCAGAGAACATAGGATTTGAACAAGAGTCTTTGAAGGAAATATTGAATTGGATGAACAAAGAAGGAGAGTTGAGAAAATATTTTATTTTTTGGAGACAGGATCTCACTGTCACCCAGGCTGGAGTGCAGTGGCACGATCAAAACTCACTGCAGCCATGAACTCCTGGGCTCAAGTGATCCTCTCACCTCAGCCTCCTGTAGCTAGGACTACAGACTTGTGCCACCATGCCTGGCTAATTTTTAAAATTTTGTAGAGGCAGGATCTTGCTATGTTGTCCATACTGATCTCTAACTCCTGGCTTCAAGCAATCTTCCTGCCTCTGCCTCCCAAAGTGCTGTGATTACAGGCATAAGCCACCACAACCAGAAGAGAAAATATTTTAGATAGAAGGAATGGTATTAGCAAAGGTTCAAAAGTAGGGAAATTCACAATATCAGCAAAGGAAAGTGAAATTTTGTCTTATTGGATATAGAGAACCTCAGATGCTTTTTGAGCAATTCAGTGACATATGAAAGCTGTATTTTTGGCTAATTAATCTGGCTGTTTTTTGTAAGCACTGTTTGAAACGCAGGCAGAGACTGATGAGGGATAAAGAAGGTAGTACAAATGACAAGGAAAGAAGAGTGTCTGCAGAAGACATGTGCAAGAAGGATTCAGCAGAGTTTAGTTATTGATTGATGTAGGGACGATGTGGGAGTCAGAGAAGCCTGAGGTCTTGAGCGTGAGTGACTTTGAGTCTAGAATAGGAGGGGCCACCAGGGTAGGGAAAACTCTTGTCGGGGAGACCCAGCTCTGGGAAGAAGTTCAGCTAGGTGAGATGTTTGTCCTGCCTGGCAGGTGGCAGGTTTTCCAAAGGCATACCAAGAGAACGAACCACTGCTTGGGTACAGCAGTGGGCACAGTCTTGTAGGCACTTTTGGGCTGGCTGTTACCCTCAGGTCCCGTAGGGTAGTGGACAGGACTGAGCGGTCCTTAAATACCCAAGGGAATGAAATCTAGTTTGTAGATTGGTAGCTCAGGGACTAGTTCAATTGAAAGATCAGAACCACATTGATGAATACTGACCTACTACTGGGGTTTCTTATTTGTTTTGCTTAAGGATAGGAAATGGATCCAGAGCCTAGAACAAGTCTGACCTGTGCTGGGGTCTAAGTGGATTCAGCTGTAACGCTCTTGCTGCTGCTGACGATGTTAACCATAAAAGATTTAGTAGCTAATATTTATTGAATGCTTATTGTATGTTATGCTTTTTTGGGTGGGGGGTAGTCATCCCCTCAAGCATTTATTCTTTGTTACAAACAATCCAATTAAACTCTTTTAGTTATTTTGAAATGTGCAATTATTATTGATTATAGTCACCCTGTTGTGCTATCAAATCCTAGGTCTTTTTTTTTTTCTTTGGTACCCATTAACCATCCCCACCTGCCCTCAACCACCCACTACCCTTCCCAGCCTCTAGTAACCATCCTTCTACTCTCTATCTCCATGAATTCAATTGTTTTGATTTTTAGATCCCACAAATAAGTAAGAACATGTGATGTCTGTCATTCTGTGCCTGGCGTATTTCACTTATCATCATAACCTCCAGTTTATGCATTTTATTAGGAGCTTTGCCTATGTTGTGTGTGTGTGTGTGTGTGTGTGTGAGAGAGAGAGAGAGAGAGAGAGAGATAGAGTCTGACTCTGTCACTCCTAGGTGGAGTGCAGTGGCGTGATCAGGGCTCACTGCAGCCTTGACCTCTCTGGGCTCAGGTGATTCTCCTGCCATCTCAGTACTCCCCTGTTTCCTGGGTAGCTGGGGCTAGTAGCTGGAACTTGGCACATACCACCATACCTGGCTAATTTTTTGGAGTTTTTTTTTTTTTTTGTAGAGACAGGATTTCGTCATGTTGCCCAGACTGGTCTTAAACTCCTCGGTTCAAGCAGTCCACCTACCTTGGCCTCCCAAAGTACTGGGATTATAGGCGTGAGCCACTGCACCTGGCTACATATGTTGTCTTGTTTAATGGCCACGGTAATTATGTGGGAGAGTGGTGGTGGTAGTCTTTTTTTTTTTTCTTTC
Source organism: Homo sapiens (assembly GCF_000001405.40). NCBI lineage: Eukaryota > Metazoa > Chordata > Mammalia > Primates > Hominidae > Homo > Homo sapiens. Next base: position 92,565,997 of record NC_000010.11, on the reverse strand, counting down.
AGATAAGGATATTGAAGCTCAAAGAGGTTAACTTGCTCAAGGATACACAGCTAGTAAGTGGCTTAGCGAGATATGAATTCAACTGGGCTCACTCAAGAACCTCAGGGGTTGGCCATTATATTGTCTTCTTCCTAGAGGTAGCACGATATCTTTAGTAGAGATGGGGACGTTAAAACAGGGAGATTTTTTAGAAAGAATATACATGGTAGTTGATGATATTGAGTCTGAAGTGATTACTGGATAGCCAAGGGGAGATCTGCAGGAAGCATTTGAAATATGACTGGAACTTGGTAAGAAGGCCTGAGCTGATTTCCTAAATCTGAAGATAGAGTTGAAGACACGGACATGGATGGATATAGGAAAAATAATCTATGTTTAGATGCGGTGGGGGAGGGGGCAGCCTTGACAATGCTCACATTTAGGTATAAGAAGGAAACATAGTTGGAGAGGTTGGGAGTTAGAGAGGTGGAAGATGATATCGGAAGTGAAATAGTCTGAAGTTCTAGCCAAAGAGATTTTGGGGAGAATAGGGTCTTGAGAAAAGAACAAATACCATTTCTTTCTTTCTTTTCTTTTTTTTTTTTTTTTGAGATGGAGTCTCGCTGTGTTGCCCAGGCTGGAGTGCAGTGGTGCTCACTGCAACCTCTGTCTCCTGAGTTCAAGCAATTCTCATTCCTTAGCCTCCTGAGTAGCTGCAATTACAGGTGCCCACCACCATGCCCAGCTAATTTTTTCTTTTTTTTTTTTTTTTTCTGAGACAGAGTCTCGCTCTGTCACCCAGGCTGGAGTGCAGTGGCGAGATCTTGACCCACTGCAGCCTCCGCCTCCTGGGTTCAAGCAATTCTGTTTCATCCTCCTGAGTAGCTGGAATTACAGGCGCCCGCTACCACGCCGGCTAATTTTTTTATATTTTTAGTAGAGATGGGGTTTCACCATGTTGGCCAGGCTGGTCTCAAACTCCTGACCTCAGGTGATCAACCCACCTCAGCCTCCCAAAGTGCTGGGATTACAGGCATGAGCCAGCACACCTGGCTACTGTTATTTCTTGATCTCTTAATTTTAGAAATTTTCTGTTGCTTTGTTATGCCCAGCTATTTTATTTTTTTAGAGATGGGGTCTTACTGTGTTGCAGAGGTTGGTCTTGAACTCCTGGCCTCAAGTGATCGTTCTGCTTAGCCTCCCAAGTAGCAAGGATTACAGGTATGAGCCATCACACCCAACTGTTTACATATTTCTGATTCTTCCCACTTGATCTTATGGTCCTATGGACATTTAGTACAGTTTCAGTTTTTTTTTTTTTTTTTTTTTTTTTTTTTTTTTTTTTTTGAGACAGTCTCGCTTTATCGCCCAGGCTGGAATGCAGTGGCGCAGTCTCGGCTTACTGCAACCCCTGTCTCTCGTGTTCAAGCATTCTCCTGCCTCAGCCTCCTGAGTAGCTGGGACTACAGGCGTGTGCCACCATGCCCACTAATTTTTGTGTTTTTTTAGTAGAGAGACAGGGTTTCGTCATGTTGGCCAGGCTGGTCTCCAACTCCTGACCTCAAGTGATCTGCCGGCCTCTGCCTCCTAAAGTGCTGGGATTACAGGTGTAAGTTACCTTGCCCGGCCTAGTACAGTTTCTTATATGATCAAATCTATTAGATGATCTATTGGTTCCATATTTTCTCCTTGGAGACTATCCTTCAGGACACTTTTTCCTTCTTGCTGTAGTTTGAACTAGTTTTCTCCAGGCTTGCTACAGAATGGTTGCCTGGAATTTCCCTTTGCTTCTCTCCTCTAATGGATCTGTTTCCTGGTTCTCAAATTTTTTTCTTTCTTGGCTTGCTCCTTCATTCAAGAGTAGTTGTATATTGGAACAAGCTTTCATGTAAAGACTACATGGGAGATAACTTTTTGTAGATCTTCTGGTGATTTCCAAACAGAAAAGTATAGATCTGGGTCCTAGTGTGAATCTACACCTTTGTAGAATAAGACTACAAAAGTGAGAGAGATGACCTGAATGGCTTCCACTCCCTCCATCTAGCTCTAGAATTCTAGTATTGTAAGTACTTGGGAATTAAGTTATTTTACAGGTTATCTAGCATATGGTTAAAGCAGCAAGCTTTCAGGGATATCCTTTGTGAGACTTTGACAAAAAAGACATATGGCTTCTTTTTTCCCCTCCCTTTAAAATTGAACTTTAAGATTTTTTTAATTGAACTTAAAGATTTGCTTTTCTTTTCTTTTTTTCTTTCTTTTTTTTTTGAGACGGAGTCTTGCTCAGCTGCCCAGCTAGAGTGCAGTGGCGTGATCCCGGCTCACTGCAACCTCTGCCCCCTGCCCCAGGTTGAAGCGATTCTCTGCCTCAGCCTCCCAAGTAGTTGGGACTACAGGCGCGTGCCACCACACCCAGCTAATTTTTATATTTTTAGTAGAGATGGGGTTTCACCATGTTGGCCAGGATGGTCTCAATCTCTTGACCTTGTTATCTGCCCGCCTCAGCCTCCCAAAGTGCTGGAATTACAGGTTTGAGCCACCATGCCCAGCCTTTTTTTTTTTTTCTTTTTGAGACAGAGTCTCACTCTGTAGCCCAGGCTGGAGTGCAATGGTGCAATCTTGGCTCACTGCAAACTCCGCATCCCAGATTCAAGTGATTCTCCTGCTTCAGCCTCCTAAGGAGCTGGAACTACAGGCATGCACCCACACACCCAGCTAATTTTTGTATTTTTAGTAGAGATGGGGGTTTCACCATGGTTTTTTCCCCCCCGAGGTGGAGTTTTGCTCTTGTTGCCCAGGCTGGAGTGCAATGATGTGGTCTTGGCTCACTGCAACCTCCGCGTCCCGGGTTCAAGCAATTCTCCTGTCTCAGCCTCCCAAGTAGCTGGGATTACAGGCGCCTGCCACCACGCCCGGCTAATTTTTGTACTTTTAGTAGAGACGTGGTTTCACCATGTTGGCCAGGCTGGTCTCGAACGCCTGACTTCAGTTGATCTGTCCACCTCGGCCTCCCAAAGTGCTGGGATTACAGGCGTGAGCCACTGTGCCCAGCCAGGGTTTCACCATGTTGACCAGGCTGGTCTTGAACTCCTGACTTCAGATGATCCACCCGCCTTGGCCTCCCAAAGTGCTGGGATTACAGACGTGAGCCACCACACCCAGCCTGCTTTTCTTTTTATGGAGGAAGTAAATTTGAAATTTTGCTTTTAAAACAAGAAATAATGAAAACAAACATTAGTCACCTGATTTTCCTTCTTTTTTTTCTTTCTTGAGTTGGTGAAAGTTTCTCCCTTCCCATTGTTGGGCTACTCTGTGGTTTCTGTATGCTCTGCTGATGGCCAATATAGGCTGGGAGTGTTGGATAACATTTGGTCCAGGGTAAAATATTCTTGAATTCAGCTTCTGTTCCAGGAAGATATCAGTAAGATTGACACCTGTTCTAAGTTTGTACTCCAGACTACTTTAAACTGCCATCCAGTTGAAAAAAATGCCTTATTCTCTCTATAGTCTATCCATTTGGGAGCCAGTGTGATGTAGTGGAAAAGTCACTCTGACTTGACACTTGGTTATTCTTTTTATCTTGAATTGGTTAGTTTGCATGAGTCTTTTTCCTAGCCACCAGACTAAGTAGCTTCAAATATCTTTATTAATCCTACCAAGTTTTGGTTTCTGAACGTTGCCTTCTACAGGTGCATAGTTCTTTTTCCTTTCTTGTGCTTACATATCACTAACTCCTCACTTGATGTTGCTTTTATTTTAGAGAGTATGACCGACTATAAATGAGGTCACTGTAGACCAGTAGGCTGGGATGTGGCATGTGGATATGTTTTGCAGTTGTTATTTTTTAAATGGGAATCAACACTTAGAAATCCTGAGAGTTCAGTTCCTTTTGGGAAAAAGGGATAATCTGGTAACAGTGGGCCCACATTCCTGCCTGGCAGCAATTAGCTTGAGCTAGGGAAGATTTGTCTTTCAGAAGGGGCATGCATTCCTTCTTACAGCCTGCTTTGCTTATTTACATTACTTTTTTGGCCTTGTAAACATTATATTTGTGATCCGTTCTATACAGTGATTGGAGGAAGTTAGTCTTAGTAGTTTTCAGACATACTGGAGGTTTTTGTTAATAATAAAAATGAAACAAAATACACATGTAAATTGCTCCGAAAGTACAGAAATGATTGTGTAATCAGGACTACCCTTTGCCTCATTTAAAGTTTACGAAGATTATCACATCATCTTATTTTATTTTATTTTTTTTTGGTGACGGAGTCTCGCTCTGTCACCCAGGCTGGAGTGCAGTGGCGCGATCTCCGCTCACTGCAAGCTCCGCCTCCCGTGTTCAAGCCATTCTCCTGCCTCAGCCTCCCAAGTAGCTGGGACTACAGGCACCCACCACCACGCCCAGCTAATTTTTTTTTTTTTTTGTATTTTTATTAGAGATGGGGTTTCACCATGTTAGCCAGGATGGTCTTGAACTCCTGACCTCAGGTGATCCGCCCGCCTCGGCCTCCCAAAGGGCTGGGATTACAGGCGTGAGCTGCCACGCCCAGCTTACATCATCTTATTTGATCCTTGCAGGACTACCCTTTGCCTCATTTAAAGTTTACGAAGATTATCACATCATCTTATTTGATCCTTATGGCAACTATAGGAGGTTGACAGAGAAATGAAAAGTCCCACAGCTCTTAGGAAGTCTACTTTAGACAGCTGTGCTACTGCTGAGTTCGCCTTACTTATTTATTTATTTACTTATTTATTTTTTTTTTAGACGGAGTTTCACTCTTGTTGCCCAGGCTGGAGTGCAGTGGTGCCATCTCGGCTTACTGCAACCTCCGCCTCCCAGGTTGAAGTGATTCTCCTGCCTCAGCCTCCTGAATAGCTGGGATTACAGGCGCCCACCACCGTGCCCGCTAATGTTTGTATTTTTTTAGTAGAAAGACAGGGTTTCACCATGTTGGCCAAGCTGGTCTCGAACTCCTGACCTCAGGTGATCCATCCACCTTGGCCTCCCAAAGTTCTGGGATTACAGGTGTGAGCCACCACGCCCAGCCTGAGCCACCACACCCGGCCTGAGTTCGCCTTATTGTCTAGAACCCAGGTGAGGATGGAGTGAAGGTGGTGGGTGTGGAAGAGCATGTTAGCTTTGCTTCTAGGAAAGTAAGTGGAGCTATCAGCCTGAGCTCTGTGAGCATGCATAAAAGGAGTAACAAGTCACTTCTCTCAATCTTTTTTTTTTTTTGAGACGGAGTCTCGCTCTGTCGCCTAGGCTGGAGTGCAGTGGCTCCATCTTGGCTCACTGCAACCTCCGCCTCCTGGGTTCAAGTGATTCTTCTGCCTCAGCCTCCTGAGTAGCTGAGACTACAGGTGCGCACCACCATGCCTGGCTAATTTTTGTATTTTTAGTAGAGACGAGGTTTCCCCTTGTTGAACAGGCTCGTCTTGAACTCCTGTCCTCAGGTGATCCACGTGCTAGGGCCTCCCGAAGTGCTGGGATTACAGGTGTGAGCCACCATGCCCAGCTCACTTCTCTCAACCTTTGAGGCATCTCTTGAGTTGCTCACCAAGAAGAGAGGGAGAAAAGAGAGCAAACAGTGTACAGTAAGTCAAGAAGACGATGAGTGTAATGTAACAAGGTAGGGAAGACCAAGAACCTTTTGGAGCAAGATGGCTACATTAGGATTTCTGGTCAGTCAGGTCACATAAATAAGGCAGATAGGAACGTTGACACTGGGAAGACACCGTTCCCAGAAGCCAAATAGACAAGACTATCTGGCCAGTCAGATACACGGTTAAACTAACAGACTTTTAAGGAAAATGAATATGTTATTTGTACTTACAGTCAACCAGCCAAACTATTATCGATATTATTATATGGCAACAACATAGCATCTTTCTAGAAATATTAATGAACAAATTAGGAATTGTCATAAAACAGCAAAAGGGGCAGAGGAAATCAATGAAGCACACTAGAGTTTAACTCTTTCCCTTAAACAATTGAGTTTTTAAATAAGTAAATCCTGTGACTCCCAGACTGAGGCAGGAGGATTGCTTGAGTCCAAGAGTTGGAAACTAGCCTGTGCAACATAGTGGGACCCTATCTCTACAAAAAATAAAAAATTAGCCGAGTGTGGAGGCACGTGCCAGTAATCTCAACTATTCCAGAGGCTGAGGCGGGAGGATTGCTTGAGCCGGGGAAGTCAAAGCTGCAATGAGCCATGATTACACCATTGCACTCCAGCCTGGGTGACAGTGATACCCTGTCTCAAAAAAAAAAAAAAAAAAAATATACCATTCATGGGTTTTAGTGTATTTGCAGAGTTGTGCAACCATCACCACAATCATTTTAAAACATTTTCGTCACCTCAAAAAGAAACATTATACCCTTTGGCAGTTACACTCTATTCCACTCTTCCCTGAGCCCATGGCAGCCACTCATCTTTCTTTCTATGGATTTGCCTGTTCTGGACCATTCATACAAATGACATCAAACAATATGTGGTCTTTTGTGTCTGGCTTTCACTTAACATAATGTTTTCAAAGTTCATTCATATTGAGGTATGTGTCAGTACTTCATTCCTTTTTAGTACTCATAGTATTGCATTGTATGGATAGACCAGATTGTATTTATCCATTCATTAGTTGATGGACATTTGGATTATTTCCAGTCTTGAGATATAATGAATAATACTGCTTTGGGCATTCGTGTACAAGTTTTCATGTGAACACTTATTTTCGTTTCTCTTGGGGATATGCATAGGAGCGGAATTGCTAGGTCATATGCTAACTCTTGTGTTTAACCTTTTCAGGAACTACCAGGTTGTTTTTCAAAGCAGCGGCACTATTTTGCATTTCCACCAGCAGTGTGTGAAAATTCCAATTTCTCTATATCCTTGACAACACTTGCTATATGTACTTTTGTTATAAGCCATCCTGGTGGGTATGAAGTGGTGTCTCATTGGAATTTTGACTTTCATTTTCCTGATGACCAGTGAGTATATTTTCATATGCTTCTTGGCCATTTATATATCTTCTTTAGAGAAATGTCTACTCAGATCCTTTTTCTATTTGTTAATTGGGTTTTTTTTTTTTTTTATTAAAGTTGTAAGAGTTTTAAAATATATTCTCTAGGCCGGGCGTGTTGGCTCATGCCTGTAATCCCAGCACTTTGGGAGGATGAGGCAGGTGGATCACCTGCAGTCAGGAGTTCAGGACCAGCCTGACCAACAAGGTGAAACCCCATCTCTACTAATAATACAAAAATTAGCCGGGCATGGTGGTACACGCCTGTAACCCCAGCTACTCGGGAGACTGAGGCAGGAGAATCGCTTGAACCCTTGAGGCAGAGGTTGCAGTGAGGCAAGATCGTGCCACTGCACTCCAGCCTGGGTGACGAGAGTGAAACTCCATCTTCAAAAAAATACAAATGAAAAAATATATTCTCTATACAAGTCCCTTATCAGATATATGATTTACAAATATTTTATGCCATTCTATAGGTTGTCTTTTCACTTTCTTGATGGTGTTCTTTGAAGCAGAAAGTGTTAAATTTTGTTGAAGTCTAATTTGTCTTTTTAAAAAACTGGTTGTGCTTTTGATGTCATATCTAAGAAGCCACTGCCCAATCCAAGGTCACAAAGATTTAAGTTTTCTTTTAAGATTTGTATTATTGGCCAGGCATGGTGGCTCACACCTGTAATCCTAGCACTTTGGGAGGCCGAGGTGGGCGGATCACCTGAGGTCAGGAGTTTGAGACCAGCCTGGCTAACATGGTGAAACCCTGTCTGTACTAAAAATACCAAAAATTAGCCTGGCGTAGTGACAGGCACCTGTAATCCCAGCTACTCAGGAGACTGAGACAGGAGAATCGCTTGAACCCGGGAGGTGGACGTTGCGGTGAGCTGAGATCACGCCTTTGCACTCCAGCCTGGGCAACAAGAGCAAAACACTATCTCAAAAAAAAGGTTGTATTGTTTAATTATTTAGCTGTTACATGGAAGTCTTTGATCTATTTTGAATTAGTTTTTATGTATGGTGTGAGGTGAGAGTCCAACTTCATCTTTTTACATGTGGATATCCAGTACCATTTGTTGAAAAGACTAGTCCTTCCTCATTGAATTGTTTTGCATCCTTTTTTTTTTTTTTTTTTTGAGGTGGAATCTTGCTCTGTTGCCCAGGTTGTAGTGCAGTGACTGCAACCTCCGCCTCCCAGGTTTAAACAATTCTTATGCCTCAGCCTCCTGAGTAGCTGGGACTACAGGTGTTGGCCACCATGCCCAGATAATTTTTGTATTTTTAGTAGAAATGGTGTTTCACCATCTTCGCCAGGCTAGTCTCGAACTCCTGGCATCAAGTGATCTGCCTACCTTGGCCTCCCAAAGTGCTGGGATTACAACATGCCCGGCCATCATCCTTTTCAAAAATAAATTGATCAAAAGGTGAGGGTTTAACTCTGAGCTTTCTGTTCTGTTCCATTAATCTGTATGGTTTTTTTTGAGATGGAGTCTTTCTCCCAGGCTGGACTGCAGTGGCACTATCTTGGCTTACTGCAAGCTCCGCCTCTCAGGTTCACACCATTCTCCTGCCTCAGCCTCCTGAGTAGCTGGGACTACAGGCGCCCGCCACCAAGCCTGGCTAATTTTTTGTATTTTTAGTAGAGATGGGGTTGCACCATGTTATCCAGGTTGTTCTCGATCTCCTGACCTCGTGATCCACCCCCCTCGGCCTCCCAAAGTGCTGGGATTACAGGTGTGAGCCGCCGTGCCTGGCCCATTAATCTGTATGTTTATCCTGATGCCAGTACCACACTATTTTGCTTACAATTGTTTTGAAGTCAGGCAGTTTGAGTCTTCCAGCTTTGTTCTTCTTTCTCAAGACTTTTTTGACCATTCTGGGTCCTCTGCATTTCCAAACAAGTTTTAGGATCAATTTGTCAATTTCTGCAAAAAAGGAGGCTTAGGTGGGATTTTAATCTATTTGGGGATTACTGTTATCTTAAAAATACTGTCTTCCCATCCATGAACATGGGAGTCTTTCCATTTAAAGTTTAAGTTTTACATTTCTTTTGTTAAATTTATGCATAAGTTTTTTTTTTTTTTTTTTGAGGCGGAGTCTCACTCTGTAGCCCAGGTGGAGTGCAATGGCAAGATCTTGGCTCACTGCAACCTCCACCTCCCAGGTTCAAGCAATTCTCCTGTCTCAGCCTCCCTAGTAGCTGGGATTACAGGCGCCCACCACCGTGTTCAGCTAATTTTTGTTTTTGTTTTTGAGACAGACTTTCGCTCTGTTGCCCAGGCTGGAGTGCAGTGGCGCGATCTCAGCTCACTGCAACCTCCGCCTCCTGGGTCCAAGCGATTCTCCTGCCTCAGCCTCCCGAGTAGCTGGGATTACAGGTACCCACCACCACGCCCGGCTAATTTTTGTAGTTTTAGTAGAGACAGGGTTTCACCATGTTGGCCAGGCTGGTCTCGAACTCCTGACCTCAGGTGATCACCTGCCTTGGCCTCCCAAAGTGCTGGGATTATAGGGGTGAGCCACTGCACCCAGCCTGATTTTCGTATTTTTTGTAGAGACAGGGTTTCACCATGTTGGTTAGGCTGGTCTCGAACTCCTGACCTCAGGTCATCCACCCGCCTCAGCCTCTCAAAGTGCTAGGATTACAGGCATGAGCCACTGTGCCCACCCAGTATTTTATTTTTTGATGCTATTATTAATTGTTTTCTTATTTTTAGTTTGTTCATTGCTACTGTATGGAAATACAATTGATATTTTTATATTCAAGATCATGTCTTCTGCAAATGGAGCTAATTTTACTTTTTTCTTTCTTTTTTTTTTTTTTTTTTTTTGAGACGGAGTCTCGCTCTGTCACCCAGGCCGGACTGCGGACTGCAGTGGTGCAATCTCGGCTCACTGCAAGCTCTGCTTCCCGGGTTCACGCCATTCTCCTGCCTCAGCCTCCCGAGTAGCTGGGACTACAGGCGCCCGCCACCGCGCCCCGCTAATTTTTTGTATTTTTAGTAGAGACGGGGTTTCACCTTGTTAGCCAGGATGGTCTCGATCTCCTGACCTCGTGATCCACCCGCCTCGGCCTCCCAAAGTGCTGGGATTACAGGCGTGAGCCACCGCGCCCGGCCTACTTTTTTCTTTCTAATTTGTACGCCGTTTATTTCATTTTCTTGCCTAATTGGTCTGTTTAGAACTTCCAGGACAGTGTTGAATAGAAGTGGCAAGAGTGGAAATCCTTGTCATCTTCTTGATCTTAATGGTAAAAACATTATCTGTCACCATTAAGTACGATGCTAGCAGTAGCTTATTCATAGAGTCCCTTTTTCAGGTTGAGGAAATTCTCTTTTATTCCTAGTTTGATCAGCATTTTTGTCATGAAAGAGATATACTGTATTTTTGAAACAATCTCATACTGAAAAGTTTTTATTGTACAATATAGTGCAAATAATTTTTTTCCTGAACCAATTACAGTAATTTGACCATTGGATACTTTAGTGTGATTTTCTTTTTTTTTTTTTTTTTGAGACAAAGTTTTTTTCTTGTTGCCCAGGCTGGAGTGCAATGGCACTATCACGGCTCACCGCAACCTCCGCCTCCTGGGTTCAAGTGATTCTGCTGCCTCAGTTTCCCAAGTAGCTGGGATTACAGGTATGTGCCACCATGCCTGGCTAATTCTGTATTTTTAGTAGAGATGGGATTTCACCATGTTGGTCAGGCTGGTCTTGAACTCCTGGCCTCTGGTGATCCCCCCATCTCAGCTCCCAAAGTGTTGGGATTACAGGCGTGAGCCACTGTGCCCGGCCTCTTTAGTGTGATTTTCTATATCATCACAATACCATCAGAATCAGAAAATTATCATTGATGAATAGAAATGAGAGTGGGCATCCTTGTCATGCTTGTTCCTGATTATAGAGGAAAGGCTTTCAGCTTTTCACTGCTGAATACGTTCATTGTTTGCTTGTCTTCCATGGCTCTTATTGTACTGAAGTACACAATGGAGGTATTCCTTGTATACCTAATTTGTTGAGAGTTTTTACCGTGAAAGGCTGTTGAATTTTGTCAAATTATTTTTCTGCTCTATTTTTCCCCCCTTTTTTCACAGCTCCTGCATGTGGCATCTGAAAGCTATCTGTGAAGAGGTATTTTTCTGTTTGTTTTTTTTTTGAGATGGAATTTTGCTCTTGTTGCTCAGGCTAGAGTGCAAGAGTACAGTGGTGAGATCTTGGCTCACTGCAACCTCTGCCTCCCAGGTTCAAGCAATTCTTCTGCCTCAGCCTCCCGAGTAGCTGGGATTACAGGCATGTGCCACCACGCTTGGCTAATTTTGTATTTTTAGTAGAGACGGGGTTTTCCCATGTTGGTCAGACTGGTCTCGAACTCCTGACTTCAAGTGATCCGCCTGCCTTGGCCTCTCAAAGTGTTGGGATTACAGGCATGAGCCACTGCACCTGGCCATCTTTTTTTTTTTTTTTTTAAGACACTGTTGCATTCTTGTCAGCCTGATTGGAGTGCAGTGGTGCAATCATGGCTCACTGCAGACCTAAACTCTTGGGCTCAAGGGACCTTTCTACCTTAGCATCCCTGAGTACTTGGGAATATAGGCATGTGCCATCATGCCCAGCTGTTTTTGTAGAGACGGTATCTTGCTGTGTTGCCCAGGCTAGTCTTGAGCTCTTGAATTCAAGCCATCCTCCCACCCCAGCCTCCCAAAATGCTGGGATGACAGGCATGAGCCACTATACTTAGCCTTTTTTCTGCATCTATTGAGATGATTGTGTGGGGTTGTTCCCCCTTCATTCTGTTAATGTGGTATATCACATTTATTGATTTGCAATAAGTGTGTTGATGTTGAACCATCCTTGCATTGCCGGGATAAATCTCACTTGATCAAGGTGAATGATCCTTTTAACGTGCTGTTGAATTTGGTTTGCTAGTATTTTGTTGAGGGTATTTGCATCAATATTCATCAGTGATATTGGCCTGTAGTTTTCCTTTTTTGATGTGTCTTTGTGTAGTTTTGGTATCAGGGTAATACTGGCCTCATAGAATGAGTTTGGAGTTATTCCTTCCTTGTCTATTTTTTGGAATAATTTGAGTAGAATTGGTATTAGTTCTTTAAATATTTAGTAGAATTCAGCAGGAAAGCCATGGGTCCTGGGCTTTTCTTTGCTAGGAGACTTTTTATTATGGCTTCAATCTTGTTACTTGTTGGTGTGTTCAGGTTTTGGATTTCTTCATGGTTCAATCTTGGTAGGTTGTATGTGTCTAGGAATTTATCCATTTTTTCTAGATTTTTCAATTTATTGGCATATAGTTGCTCATAATAGCCACTAATGATCTTTTGAATTTTTGCGGTATCAGTTGTAATGTCTCCTTTTTCATCTCTGATTTTGTGTTGTCTCTCTTTTTTTCTTAGTCTGGCTAAATGTTTGTCTATATTCATCAAGGTTATTGGCCTGTAGTTTTCTTTTCTTGTAATGTCCTTGTCTGGCTTTAGTATCAGGGTAATACTGATTTCATAAAATGAGTTTGGAGGTATTCTCTCTTCTTTTTTGGAAGAATTTGAGAAAGATTGGTATTCTTTTTTTTTTTTTTTGAGACAGAGTCTCACTCTGTTGCCCAGGCTGGAGTGCAGTGGCATAGTCTTGGCTCACTGCAACCTCTGCCTCCCAAGTTCAAGCAATTCTCCTGCCTCAGCTTCCTGAGTACCTGGGACTACAGGCGTGTGCCACCACACCTGGCTAATTTTTGTATTTTTAATAGAGACAGGATTTCACCATGTTGGCCAACCTGGTCTAGAACTCCTGACTTCAGGTGATCCGCCTTCCTCAGCCTCCCAAAGTGCTGGGATTACAGGTGTGAGCCACCATGCCCAGCCTGCTTTTTCTTTTTCTTATTTATTTATATTGCTATGAACATACATTTATCTTAACTTACGGCTGAAAATTCAGTACTATCGTTCTTTGTTTTGTTGCTCAAATTATTATGGCTTGGACCCTTAGGAGTTTCTTCATTTTGGCTCCTGTGTATTTTGAATAAGCCCCATCTTTTTTAGAGTATTGTTTTACTTCTGTTCTAGACTCATATTTTTCTTGCCCTAGCCCTTGAATCAATCACTTAGTTCCTTTTATTGGAAAATAATTTTTTTTTTTTTTTTTTTTTGAGACTGAGTCTTACTCTGTCACCCAGGCTGGAGTACAATGGTGTGATCTCGGCTCATTGCAATCTCTGCCTCCCAGGTTCAAGCAATTCTCCTGCCTCAGCCTCCAGGTAGCTGGGATTACAGGCATGTGCCACCATGCCTGGCTAATTTTTGTATTTTTAGTAGAGATGGGAGTTCACCATGTTAGCCACACTGGTCTCAAACTCCTGACCTGAGGTGATCTGCTCGCCTCAGCCTCCCAAAGTCCTGGGATTACAGGCGTGAGCCAACTCACCTGAGCAGAAAATAATCTTCGCAGACCAAGATCTGGGCACTAGATGTGCTCATTGTTGCTGAGGTGTCATTGCTTCTAGTGGCCGGCCAGTCTAGTGCCTCTGGTGGACAGCCACATATACACGTTTTTATATTTCTATGTCTTTTTGTATATAATAAAAATATAAGTTTGTATTGATACCTTTGATTCCAACTTAGTACCACAATTGTAGCCTTCTCCCATTTCTTATTTATAACATCTTTTTCCAACAATGAGAACACTGGATTTCATTTTCTACAATTTACTTTCTTATTTCCTCAATTCTAGTGTACACATAGTTTCATAATTGCTAGCTCACCTGTGAGAAACATTTTTAAAATAGGTCACAATATTTGCATGTAGTTCTTTTTCTCTTAGGCTTTATTGTATCCAGTCAAAATCCAGCTTTCCATAGTTAAGTTCTTTTCTTTTACACTCCTTCAATGTGATTATGTTACTCATTTATAGTTGTTAGGTTAGTTTGTTAGAATATTGATTGTTTCTCACCCCACCCCCCCATCATGGTTGGTTTTATTATTGTGATAAAGAATATGTAACATAAAATTTATCATTTTGACCTTTTTGTGTGTGTGTATAGATGGGGTCTGACTATGTTGCCCAGACTGGTCTCAAACTCCTGGCCTCAAGTGATCTTCCTACCTTGGCTTTCCAAAGTACTGGGGTAACAAGCATGAGCCACTGCACCTGGCCCATTTTGAGCATTTTTAAGTGTATTGTTCGGTGGCAGTAAATACATCCACGTTGTTGTGTAACCATCACCATCATCCATCTCTAGAACTTTTTTCATCTCACCAAACTGAAACTCTGTACCCATCAAATAATAACTCACCATTTCCCCTCCCTTCAGACCCTTGCAACCACCTGTCTGTTTTCTGTCTGTGAATTTGACTACTCTAGGTACCTTATATAAGTGGAGTTGTGTAGTATTTGTCCTTTTGTGATTAGCTGATTTCTTTTCTTTTTTTTTTTTTTTTTTTGAGATGGAGTCTTGCTCTGTCACCAGGCTGGAGTGCAGTGGTGCAGTCTTGCCTAACTGCAACCTCTGCCTCCCGGGTTCAAGCAATTCTCCTGCCTCAGCCTCCTGAGTATCTGGGACTATAGGTGTGCACCACCACTCCCAGCTAATTTTTGTATTTTTAGTAGAGATGGGGTTTCACCGTGTTGGCCAGGATGGTCTCGATCTCTTGACCTCCTGATCCACCTGCCTTAGCCTCCCAAAGTGCTGGGATTGCAGGCATGAGCCACTGCACCCAGCCAGCTTATTTCATTTAGTATGTCTTCTAGGTTCATATGGTAGCATGTGCCAGAATTTTTTTCCTTTTTAAGGCTGAATAAATTTTATTGTATAAACTACGTTTTGTTTACTGATTCATCCATCAGTGGACACTGGCGTGACTTCCACCTTTTGGCTGTTGCCAGTACTGCTGCTATGAACATAGCTGTACAAATATCTGTTTGAGTCTTTGGTTTCATTTCTTTTGTATATGTATCCAGAAGTGGAATTGTTAGATCACATGGTAATTCTATTTCTAATTTTCTGAGGAACTGCCATACAGTTTTCCATACTGCTGTACCATTTTGTATTCCCACTAGCAAGTGTGCACAGGTTCCAGTTTTTCTACATCCTCACCTGCACTTATTATTTATTCTATTTTATTTTTTAATATTATTTTTTGAGACCGAGTCTCGCTCTGTTGCCAGGCTGGAGTGCAATGGCACGATCTCGGCTCACTGCAAGCTCTGCCTTCCAGGTTCATGCCATTCTCCTGCCTCAGCCTCCTGAGTAGCTGGGACTACAGGCGCATGCCACCACGCCCAGCTAATTTTTATATTTTTAGTAGAAACGGGGTTTCACCATGTTGGCCACGATTTTTTTTTTTTTTTTTTTTTTTTGAGACGGAGTCTAGCTCTGTTGCCCAGGCTGGAGTGTAGTGGCGCTATCTCTGCTCACTGCAAGCTCCGCCTCCTGGGTTCACACCATTCTCC
Source organism: Homo sapiens (assembly GCF_000001405.40). Lineage (NCBI taxonomy): Eukaryota > Metazoa > Chordata > Mammalia > Primates > Hominidae > Homo > Homo sapiens. The sequence goes on along the minus strand of NC_000010.11, from coordinate 92,550,557 downwards.
TGTCTCAGCCTCCCGATTGGCTGGGACTACAGGCACCTGCCACCACACCCGGCTAATTTTTTGTATTCACAGTGTTTTTAAAATAATTATCCTAATTGGTATGAAGTGGTACTTCATTTTAGTTTTGATTTGTACTTTTCTAATGATTAGTGATGTTGAGCATCTTTTTATATGCTTATTGGCCATTTGTATATCTTCTTTGGAGAAGTGGCTTTTTAAGACCTTTGCCCATTTAGAAATTTTTTGTTGTTTTGTTGCAGATTTTAATATATTCTGGATATTAACCCCTTATCAGATATTTTTTCCCACTCCACAGGTTGCCTTTTCACTGTGTCCTTTGCACAGAAATTTTTTATTTTAATATAGGTCAGTTTATTTATTTATTTACTTATTTACTTAGTTTTTGAGATGGCCCAGGCTGACGTGCAATGGCGTGATCTCAGCTTGCTGCGACCTCCACTTCTCAGGTTCAAGAGATTCTCCTGCCTCAGCCTCCCGAGTAGCTGGGATTGCAGGTATGCGCCACCATGCCCAGCTAATTTTGTATTTTTAGTGGAGACGGGGTTTCTCCATGTTGTTCAGGCTGGTCTTGAACTCCTGACCTCAGGTGATCTGCCTGCCTCGGCCTCCCAAAGTGTTGAGATGAACTTTTAACTTGGTGGAGTGTTAAACAGCATGGTCATTTTGTGTCTAAAGACTTGGGTTTGAATCCTAGCTCTTCTATTTTATACCTATGTGGTTCCAACCAAATAACTTTTCTGAGCTTTAATTTCCCCATCCAGTAAAGAATGGGACTAATAGGATCTATATAAGGGGTTTATTGAATATATTATATATATGTATAATATATAATAGATTTATTCCCTAAACAAGTATATGTGCCACAAGATACTGACTGAGTATTCAGTAAGCATCTGTTCTGACATACTGGCTTTGCTTCTTTCTAAGCTTAACCCCTTCACTTACGTACTAGATTCCTTACTCTAGGACAAGGTTCCTGTAAAGTTTCCTTCTCTCTTTCTCTTTCATTATCAGTTTTTCTCCTCTCTTTATGTAAATCTTTTGTGGCTTAGATGTTGATTGATTGATTGATTGATTGAGAGATATGTAGATACATAGATGGGAGTTTAATTATAGAAGCGTTCTGTACTTTAATGAGGCTGTCTCTTGGATTTAAGTGGATAGAATTGGTTGCATTGATTTTCATCCATTATTTTGGGGGTAATAAAATCAGAACTATAAGCTAGGGTCTTTCATCCTTAGCACTATTGATATTTTGTGCCAAAATCTTTTTTTTTTTTAAGACACAGTCTCACTCTGTTGCCCAGGCTGGAGTGCAGTGGCACAGTCTTGGCTCACACAACATCCGCCTCCCAGATTCAACTGATTCTTGTGCCTCAGCCTCCCGAGTAGCTGGGATTACAGGTTTGTGCCACCATGCCCAGCTGATTTTTGTATTTTTAGTAGAGACAGTGTTTCAATATGTTGGCCAGGCTGGTTTCTAACTCCTGACCTCATGTGATCCGCCCGCCTCAGCCTCCCAAAGTGCTGGGATTACAGGTGTGGATCATATAATTCTTTCTTGTGGGAGATATCCCATACAGTGTAGGTTGCTTAGTGGCATCCCTGGCCTCTACTCACTATGTGCCATTAGCACCTTCAGTTGTGACAATAAAAAATGCCTCTAGTCATTGCCATATGTCCTCAGCGAGGGTTGGTGAGTGGGAATAGTCACCCATTGAGAACTACTTACTATAAACACTGGCTCATCTATAGCAATTATAAAGGGATAATTATTTACCTGGTTTCCTAATAGTCTTATAAAGTATAATCCTATTATCAGCCTACCTAATGAATGTTTTTGACCTCCAGAGATGACAAATAACATCTGGAATTCACATAAGTATGTGTTAAGAATGCTGGTAATAACATGGTGGTTATGGAGGTGGTTCATTTGCACCTTAGCCACTGCGACCATAATAATGATGATGATTTTATAATAATCAAGTTACCATTCATGGATGACTACTGTGTACCAGGAACTATGCCTTGGTGAAGTTTATATAAACATATTTTACAGGAGAAACTCTGTGAAAGGTTGTCTGAGTGTGATGCAACTATAGGTGCCCCTGTCAATTTAATGAGCCATGTATACATTTCATCTGACTCTTTTTTTTTTTTTTTTTTTTTTTTTTTTTGAGATGGAGTTTTGCTCTTGTTGCCCAGGTTGGAGTGCAGTGGCACAATCTTGGTTCACCGCAACCTCTGCCTCCTGGGTTCAAGCGATTCTCCTGCTCAGCCTCCCGAGTAGCTGGGATTACAGGAGTCTGACACCACGCCTGGCTAATTTTGGTGTTTTTAGTAGAGATGGAGTTTCTCGACGTTGGTCAGGCTGGTCTTGAACTCCCGACCTCAGGTGATCGGCCTGCCTTGGCCTCCCAAAGTGCTGGGATTACAGGCATGAGCCATCGCGCCTGGCCTCATCTGACTCTTGATTGTCAAAACTAGATGAGGCCAAGATGGGCACGATGGCACACCATCCTACTTGGGAGGCTGAGATGGGAGGATCGCTTGGGCCTGGGTGTTCAAGTTCAGCCTGCGCAACATAGGGAGAACTGTTTTTTAAAAAAACAAGCTAGATGAGGCCAGAAAGTCTGGTTTGACCAGAATAGTCCAGTAGTATCCAGTGCCTCAGGAGCAGAGAGGTCATCTGGTAAAGGTGAGGGTATGTAATTACCAAACACGGGCTGGAAGTGGTCAGTAGATCAGTGCAGACAGTGAAGAATCACACCTAAGGCAAAGTACAGGTCAAGTTTCCTGAGGCAGCATTCTCTGAGTTGGGCAGATCATCTTCTGTACATATGAGTGGAACTGAACTGTCTGTACAGAATACAGGTTGAGCATTCCAAATCTGAAAAATTCAAAATTCAAAATCAGAAATGCTCCAAAATTCTAAATTTTTTGAGCACCAACATGATGCTCAAAGTAGATGCTCTATCGGTAAATGTAATGCAAATATTTAAAAATCCAGGAAAATCTGAAATACATCTGATCCCAACCATTTTTGATAAGGGATATTTATGGTTTGCTTTTTTTAGAAGGCTATCTTGAGAGAATTACTTACAGGTCGATAACTCTTCCCAGCCTGTGATTTGAATTGATCTTTAGAAACCAGGCCAGGTGCAGTGGCTTATGCCTGTAATCCCAGCATTTTGGGAGGCCGAAGCGGGCAGATTGCTTGAGCCCAGGAGTTCGAGTCATCCTGGGAAACATGGTAAAACCCTGTCTCTACTAAAAAAAAAAAAAAATACAAAAAATTAGCCGGGCATGGTGGCGTATGCCTGTAGTCCCAGCTGCGCAGGAGGCTGAGGTGGGAGGATCACCTGAGCCCAGGAAGTCATGAGCCATGATAGTGCCACTGCACTCCAGCCTGGGCGCTGGGAGTGAGACCCTATCTTACAAAAAAGAAGAAGAAGAAGAAAACCATGACAGGTGTCTTTAAGCTGCCCTTGCTGTTCTGGGTTCATGAAGCATCTGTGGGAGGTTGCCCATATGTAAAATTAGTTGAGTTTGAAGAAATGTTAACGTTATATGGTATTCTTTTAATTTTGTTTTAAAAATAATTTTTCTCATTCAAATCCTGAATTAGAAGTTGTTTGGTATAAATATTGAAAATTGTTGAGGGGAGAATTTATTCAAAGTTTAATCATTTTGCTTTTATCTATGTTATACTTAGCTATTAGTTACTGGAAGTGTCAAGTTTTATTTTTAGATCTTAACTAGAGTCTAAAGTAATTACTAAAAGCTAGTTTTCAAATAATATGTAATGAGTAAAGTCCTGAGTTAAAAGATTTAGCATACTGAATTAACTTAGTTGACTGATGCTGTACTTACATGGGCCTCCTATTTCTTGTGGCCAAGATAGCATCAACAGAAATAATTGAAATAATTGTCTCGAGACACACCTGAGAAGGTTTAATTATGTTAATTGTACTACTGTTCCTTAGTGAGCCTTCTTAGTTTAGCACCTCTTTGGTATGGGTAGCTGCTTTCCAGTATTCAAGTGGTACTATTTCCAGGATGATTTTTGGCGGTTGATATTTGTAATATCAGTAATTCATGTATCTCCCCCTTCCTTTTATTTTACTGTGTTTTATGATATTTTGAAAAGCTCTATTTTTAAGAACTTTTAATTGAAAGATGGCAGTGTTCAACTTAATGCATTTTTACAAACTGAACGTACCTGTATAACCAGCACATGACCTGGAACCCCAAAGCCCCCTTCATTCTCCTTTCCAAATCCAATCACTACTCCCACTCCCAAGGGTAATGACTATCCTGGGATGAAAGCATAGCTTGATTTTACTTGCTCTTCTGCTTTGTATAAATGGAAGGTTACAGTATTTACTCTTTTGTGTCTAGCCTCTTTCACTCAACCCTATATTAGTGAGATTCATGTTTATTGTGCTTTGTTCTATATTATTCCTTTTTATTGCTGTATACTTTCCATTGTGTGCATGTACAATTTATCATTTCACTGTTGATTGTCATTTGATCATTTCTGGTTTGGGCTAGTTTGAATAGTGTTGCTATGAACATATAAATGCATTTATTTGGGTTATTTATCTGTTACTAGCATTGTTAGGTCATAGTGTGAGCTTTAGTGTATAGTGCCAGTTTTTGAAAATGGTTGTACCCATACCAAATTGCATGTCTGTAGCAGTGTGTGAGAGTTTGTTAACTTCTCTAACACTTGGTATTTGCCCTCTTTTTCTTTTTAGCCATTCTGGTAAATACATAGTAGTATCTCAGAAAATCTTCTGTTGGGAAAGTTAGTTGCAAATTTGGGACCTCCTGGGACTTTAATCTGTCACACCAACTTCATGCCACCACTGAAGCCTCAATAATACCTCTTCGTCCAGTACAGTCCCTTTGCTTAGGGCAAGCATGATCTTCAGTCTGCACTCAGAATTAGCAGATATTCCCAGATAAGAAAATGAATGATGATTATCAGCTCACCTCAGAGGTTGCTCACCTTTCTGGAACTAGTTTATCCAATCCTTGTTGCTTGCACAACTTTCCAACATCTTTGCAAATGTGATTTTTGTAATTTATCATGGCCTTTTCTAGTTGTTGAAGCTGAATTAGTTTGCCATGAGCTGCTATATCCTACCCAGAAGTGGAAGTTGTCAGTAGATTCTTGGGATTTTCTATATACATAATCATATTGCTTGAGAATCATGTTAATTTTTTTCCTCTTTCCTTTCCCATCTCTATGTGTTTTGTTTCTTTTTCTTGGTTTATTTGGACTGGTTAGAACTACCAATACAATGTTGAAATAGAAGAAGTGTTAGTGGCATCGTGTTGGTGGGGGAGGGCGGGAGATTGTTTACATTAATTGTAATGTAAACTATTGAGTATACCATTGAGTATGATAATTACCATAGTTTCTATGATATTCTTTTTAAAATGGATAAATTTAATTCCAGTTTGCTGACTTTAAAAAAATACGTGAATGGTTGTTGAATTTAAGTACTTTTCTGCAGCTACCAAGATGATTATGATTTTCTTCTCTTTTTTCTGATTATATGGTTTAATGTATACTTTTAAAAAATAGTATACTTAAACCCATTCATGTCTACTGTAGTACTTGTTTTTATGTTTCCTTTCATGCATGAGTCAGTTCTGTACATATACTCTCTTGCTTTAAACCTGTTATACATTTAATCCTGCCATGTATTATGGTTCTTAGCTAAGGGATTCCTTTGGTAGATTAGAAGCATTGCAGACTCCCCCTACTACCTGTGTTTTATATGCAGAAGAAGGAGTGAAAAACTGAAAACTTTCCTTGGAGCATTTATTTTGACCTAGTTTAATTTTTGTTTCCTGGCTTTTGTTATTTGGGATTGTAAGGGAAGAAGAATGGGGCTAGGGAAGGACTGTGAGGGTGATAAACAGGAGCTGGAGAATAAACCAGTGTATGATTTCCTTCAGCACCACCTCTGTCCCTCCCCTTCCCACGCTTCCTCTTTCTCTGTAGTTCCAGCTTTACCACAATCAGCTTGCCCTTGGGCAAGTCACTTAACCACTTATCTTTTCTTTTTTTTCTTTTTGGTTATACTTTAGTATGCAAGCACTGACTGAGCTTTTGTTTCTCATTTGGAGTTGAAGAGGATGACTGCGAACAGCTGTTACGACCCACCACTTAAGGAGAATGGAAGGATTAAATGAACAGTTTATAAAGCCTATGACACTTTAAAAAAATGAGAGTGATTGTTAGGATTAGATTTGTACAATGGTATTCTATCTTTTTTTTTTTTTTTTTGAGATGGTGTCTCGCTCTGTCACCCAGGCTGGAGTGCAGTGGCGCAATCTTGGCTCACTGCAACCTCCGCTTCCTGGGTTCAAGTGATTCTCCTGCCTCAGCCTCCCAAGTAGCTGGGATTACAGGCATGCGCCATCATGCTTGGCTAATTTTTGTATTTTCAGTAGAGACAGGGTTTCACCATGTTGGCCAGGCTGGTCTCAAACTCTTGACCTCAGGTGATCTGCCCACCTCGGCCTCCCAAAGTGTTGGGATTACAGGCGTGACCCACGGCACCCGGCCTATATCTTACATTTCCTAACAGCCCTGAAAACTCCATGTGGAAGAAGGATACTTGTGAAACACCCTTGGTACCCAAACTACAAGAAACTTTCTATAGTTACCTCTGTGGCACAAGGTCTAAAACAGAGGTTTTATTCACTTGCTTAAACTTTATAACGTTTCTATAAAGTGTTCTGTGTTAAGCTTGTCACTTTTGGAATGAACAACCATTGATAGGCATGCATCAAACTAAAACAACATTTGCAAAAGCACTTCTCTCTAGAATGATACTACTTTAGAATTTCTTTAAATTGCAACCACCCTACTTCATTTAAGGGTTTATTTGTTGATCATAAACTCCTTTCCAGAGGGCCAGGACATAGAGTTACGATAGCTGATATTCTGCCTGGCACAAAGGCAAAACATCAGGGGTGAATAAGTTTAACAGGATTTTATTTTGTACCCAACTTTATGATCTAGCTGGTGTATGAAGTTAGGTGTACCTGTTCCTATAACTGAAGAGCTTTGGGTAGGTGGTTCCCTAAGACATGTTGTTATTTTTTAGTTCATGTATTATTAATAGTACTTGGGGTATATGGTCTTAAGCATTAATATGTTGAGGCATCCTTGGGCTCATACCACCACTATCTTGTCACCCTCTGCTTATTTACCTCTACCTTCTGCAAGGAACTGGGAATGTTATGTGGTGTGGTTTTGATTCCATGCCTTTTCTCTCTGGGCTCCTCCTCCACATGCATGAGTGCTATAGGCCTTGACTTCCACCTATGGTTTTGGGAGTGGGTGGATGGATTCCACAGAAGGGAGGTTTTGGTTTGTAATTCACTATTAACGTGATCACTCACCTGTTCAGGTTTATAGGTCATTATTTCTAAATCAGGTCTGACTTTAAATTTGTGAGAGACCAATGGAGGTGAGTAGGAAGCAAAAAGCAAAGTAAAATTTCCCAATCTGCTACTATATTGATCATGAAACACTTTAAAGAGAGATGAGAAAGACTGAAAGGTCACCTGAATAAAAGATTCTTTGCAGAGTAAAATTTACTCTTGGTGTGGAATTTGGAAATGACCTTATATTTGGGGATTTGTTTTTGCAAACCTGAAATTTAGGCCTTTACATGTCTTAGTCCATGATCTTGACCTGGAGTTCCTGTTGTAGTTCATTAGCACCACGCTTCTTGTTTTTCCACTGTATTCCTCATGCTTTTTCCTCATTGTCAGGCTTCGCTCACGAATTCCCTTCTACTTTGATTGATTGTCCCCTTGCCTTTTATTTGGTGTGCTTCTACTCCCCCTCCTAGACAGGGTTACTCCCATAGTGCCCCAGGGAAAGTTTTGTCACCACACTTAAAAGATAATGACCTGGGCTGGGTGTAGTGTCTCATGCCTGTAATCCCAGCACTTTGGGAGGCCAAGGCGGCAGTCTCTTGCGCCCAGGAGTTTGAAAGACCAGCCTGGACAACATGGCAAAACCCCATCTCTACAAAAAAATTACCTAGAGACTAGGCACGGTGGCCCATGCCTGTAGTCCCAGAACTTTGGGAGGCCAAGGCGGGTGGATTGCTTGAAGCCAGGAGTTCGAGACCAGTCTGGCCAGCATGGCGAAACCCTGTCTATAAAACAAAACAAAAAATTAGCTGGGTACGGTGGTGAGTGCCTATAGTCCCAGCTACTGGGGAGGCTGAGGTGGGAGGATCACCTGAGCCCGGGATGTTGAGGCTATAGTGAACCAAGATTGTGCCTGGGTGACAGAGTGAAACCTTGTCTCAAAAAGTAGAAAAAAAAGATAATGACCTGTTTTTATATCTGACTTCATCACTAGTCTAGGTTCCTTCAAAACAAGGGCTCTGGTGTACTCATTTTTGTAACCATTTGCATAGTGTGATGCCTGGACCTTAATAGACTTCCTTAAGTGTTTGTTTGGATGTGGAGGGGAGGCTGGACACAGGACTGGGAGTTAAGACTGAGTTTGATTATAACTTTTTGTTGTATGATCTTGGGCAACTGATTTATTAAACTCCTTGAGGTTCAGTTTCCTTGTATGTAAGATGAGGGGATCTAGCCCACCTGGGGATCTTGTTAAAATGCAGATTATGGCTCAGTAGGTCTCTGGTGGGTTCTGATATTTTGCATTTTTAACAAGCTCCCAGGAGAAGCCAGTGTAGCCAGTCCCTGAACTGCAAAGGACTAGATAACATCTAGTGGCTCTTCCAGCTTTTATCTTCTGTGATTATAGTCATTGTTTTAAATTCTGAGCAGAATGACAAAATATATGTTGTAATTACTAAATATCTCTCCAGTTTATCAGAGTGCTGAAAAGACAGTTCTGTGCCTTATGAAGTTTCCAGTGTATGACAATGTCCCTAGAATTGAAAGTAATTTTATTGCTCCTAAAATTTTAACTTTAACAAGTTAAAAATATAAATGTCTGGGAAAGCATTTGAGTTAACACTAGCTCGTCATCTAAATTGTCAGTATGCTTGCTTATTGGAGAACATTTGCCATAAATAAAATTACTCTTGAAGGCTTTATGCTAATGATCTGAAGTAGATAGACAGGTGATCTTATGAGTATAAATACAGAGACAGGCAAGCTGTTGATGAATTCATCATCAGAGGAGGAAGAGTTCCCAGTCATTGTCTTCACTTCTCCAGAAGGTGAGAATCAAATCGTTGTAGGAAGTGTTTATAGATATGCTATAGGTAAACCCAGACTTTGTATTGAATAGGATTGCCAGGAATAGGTTTTGTTTGAAAATGTTGCTACTATTTCTTTTGGGTTTTACTTCCTCAAGAAGTCATGATATTTGATTAGGGAGTATTGCCACCTTGGAAATTTTTAGCTTTTCTTGATCCTTTGTACACTAGTAGTTGGACTAATTTTTATGTGTGACTTGTAGAATAAATCTATCTCTTTATTCTCAACCATATCAGGAATATTAATCCAGCACAACTTCAGCGTCCAAATAAGTTATATCCATGGCTGTGATGGATTCTGATCATTTGCAAATAGTTCTTACTGGGCTGGAACTGTTCTGTCTACCTACATCCTACTCTGTGTTTTACAATTTAAATTTTTTTTGTCTAAAAAAATTAAAATCCAGATAAGGGAAGTTGAAACCCTGAAAAAAAGTACAGAGTGTAGCTTATAGTTGAGGTGGTTATCTTTATATAGAGTTTTTAACCTCCCACATAGTAAGTTAATTTATACTTCCAAAGTGAGCTATATTTCATCTCCCCTCTACACAGTTGTGGTTTGGACAGAAGTTTTAGACCATCATCATCATCATCATTATTACATTTCAGTCATTTGTAATTTTTGGTTACCTAAGTCAAACTCACTAGGTCAAGCACCACAGAGGAAATTGAGTATAACTATCACCAGAAGACCAACCTCTTTTCTCCCTGGAGTAGATTCTTGCCTGGGGTAAGTTCAGGCATTCTCTTTGGTACACACGGAGGTTCTTATTAACACTGCCGTTTTAACACTGCCCTTCTTGCTGGGTGTCTTAATGGAGGCTGCCTTGTGGCTTATTTAGTGTTATGTCGCTGCTAAGTTGGATTCATTTTTAAAAATAGTTTAATTTATATTGAACTCAAATTAATGTTTTTGAAACAAACTGTGTACACACTGAAGGCATTTGCTGCAGTCTAAACAGATTGTCCTTTGCCAAATGTCTTAACCAGAACTGTTTTTTTTTTTTTTCTTTTGAGACGGAGTCTCGCTCTGTTGCGCCCAGGCTGGAGTGCAGTGGCATGATCTTGGCTCACTGCAGCCTCTGCCTCCCGGGTTCAAGCAATTCTGCTGCCTCAGTCTCCCAAATAGCTGGGATTACAGGCACCCGCCACCATGTCCAGCTAATTTCTTGTATTTTTAGTAAAGATGGGGTTTCACCATATTGACCAGGCTGGTCTCAGACTCCTGACCTCAGATGATCTGCCCGCCTCAGTCTCCCGAAGTGCTAGGATTACAGGCGTGAGTCACTGTGCCTGGCCTAGGACTGTTATCTGAGGTTCCTTGTACCCCTCTTTAGAGTCTAAAATAGACCATTTCCTGTCACCCTGAGAATTATTACTATTTTACCGCAAACACCATTTTTTAGACTTGGCACTCAGATATTTTCATCGTTCTTTGCCATTGAATTTTAGTGGCTTATGGCTAATGAGAAAGAAAATAATTTTTTTTTTTCTTTGAGACAGGATCTCACTCTGTCGCCAGGCTGGAGTGCAGTGGCTTGACCTCAGCTCACTGCAACCTTTGCCTCCCGGGTTGAAGCGATTCTCTTGCCTCAGCCTCCCAGGTAGCTGGGACTACAGGTGCACGCCACCACACCCATCTAATTTTTGTATTTTTAGTAGAGACAGGGTTTCACCATGTTGGCCAGGATGATCTTGATCTCCTGACCTTGTGATCCGCCCGTCTCAGCCTCCCAAAGTGCTGAGATTACAGGCGCGAGCCACCGTGCCTGGCTGAAAATAATTGTTAATAATGGCTTTTCAGTTTCAAGTTGCTTTTGAATTTTCCAACAGTGACCTACTAACATAGCCCCAATATGTTAGTATTATATTTTATGCTTTGTTTTTCAAGAAATGATTTTTACTATAAATAGGAGACCATTAGCACTATCTGTTGTAAAGTACTATGTGATTTTTAAAACCAGTATTATACATTTAGTGTGATATGTTGATCTTTAAAATTCCGTATCTCCTCTCCTCTAAAGAAGATCTATCAGCACTGTAAGAGAGGGCGAGAGAAAAAAAAAAAAGATCTAGGGGATCTAGGGGACAGTCTTAGTAGCAACAAACCCCTTTGATTTATCAATTGTTATGCAGATTGGAAGAATAGTTATAGGTGATTTCAGAGAGGAAAATATAATGGTGAAAGCAAACTAGATTTTTTTTCCTCTCTCAATCTCTAGAGATTTTAACACAGAAAAAACTTATCTAAAATAATTGTATGCCTATTTCTTCCCCCTCTTACTTACGTTTAAATCTAGCTGTCAGTCTTTAAGGAACAGTCAGATCTGTTTAGTTTTGTCTTGTAGGTAAGAAGCAGATGTGCTCATAGAGGGTTATTTTTCCTCTGTAGTTCCAGATATGTTTTTGGCTTTACTTAATTATATACTGGCAGTATATTAACCTGCCAGTAGTAGCAGTTTCAGTTTTTTTTTTTTTTTGTCTATTAAGCAATCTCCAGTATAGACAAAAGTTACATCTACCCTACTCTCAAAAAACATGCGTACCCCAGACTCTGGAAAGTCCCTTCACTGCACTAATTGCAACCAACATCCCTACATGATTCTGTGTACTGATAGTCCTTTCCCATCACTGTAATCTAGCCTTTGTAGAGAAGAAAGAAGACTGTCAGAGGAAGCCCTTTGCAAGAGAATTTTTCTGACATTTCTGTTAAGATTGCCAGACTTTTCCTGCTCTGGCATTCAGCTCTTCAGCAGGTTACAAAAATACTTGGGGTCCTTCCAACTTTTTGTTTGTTTGTTTTATGTCCTTGTTATTGCTGCCGTCATAGGACAGCACCGGTCTCTTATTTTATATTAGAACTTTACAGGATTGTTCCTCATTGGGGGTTGTTCCCTATGGGAGTTGTTCCCTATGTTCTGAGCATGTGTATGTCAGACCTGCGAGTTCCAGATCTACCCTATCTTTCAATATCATCAGTTTGAGCAGTGTTTGGGCTAACCCAGTAATAATTCTTACACAACATCTCACCTCACTTATTCTAGCAGATACCTCTGAAATAGTGTGAAATAAAACTCTATTCTAGGTCGGGGCGTAGTGGCTCACACTTGTAATCCTAGCACATTGGGAGGCTGAGGTGGACAGACGGCTTGAGCTCAGGAGTTCAAGACCAGCATGGGTAACAAGTTGAAATCCCATCTCTACAAAAAATGCAAAAAATTAACTGGGTGTGGTGTTGAGTGCCTGTGGTCCCAGCTGCTTGGGGGGACTGAGACAGGAGGATGAGGTCCACTTGAGCCCAGGAGGTTGAGGCCTGCAGTGAGCCAAAATCACGCTACTGCATACAAGCCTCGGTGACAAACTGAGACCCTGTCTCAAAAAAACAAAAACAAAACCAGCAAAAAAAACTCTATTCTAGTTCTGCATACAGGCCAACACATGGTCTAACCCACCCTATCTCAAATCCCTATCCATGTGCTCTTTCAGATACAAATATGGCTCCATGAAAACAATTTTGTTAGCATTTCTCAGAAAGAATGAGGGGTAAGAGGGAGGAAAGGAATGACTGCACCCTGTAGAGTGGCTATAAAAGGTTTCCTTCAGCATTTAGAAAAATCTGATGATGTATTATATGGGTTTACTTGACGTTATTGTTTGTCCTTAAATATAAAGTCACAAATCAACAATTAAAAATCTCTTTCTTTTCAGTTTCCAAAAAAAGACTTACAGCAAAATGAATAATCCAGCCATCAAGAGAATAGGAAATCACATTACCAAGTCTCCTGAAGACAAGCGAGAATATCGAGGGCTAGAGCTGGCCAATGGTATCAAAGTACTTCTTATCAGTGATCCCACCACGGATAAGTCATCAGCAGCACTTGATGTGCACATAGGTACAATTGAAAATTGTGAATTAAGCTTTGTTTTGTTTCATTGACCTAATGCTGACATTTATTAGAACTTTCCATACGTGTTTAAATACTCAATAGTTACCGGTTCCATGTACCTTATTTTATACCAGAACCCTCGTAAAGCTATTGGTAAACTGCAGTTGTTTCAGTCAAATAATCTTACATTTTCTAAGGACATCTTGTTAGGTTCCCACCTAAGGTGACCTAGCAGCAAAAATTCATTGCCATTCTTTACAGTAACAGTTATGATTTTTTTTTTTACCGTGGTACATTTAATATAACATTCCTTTTTCTTTTTCTTTTTTTTTTTTTGAGACAGAGTTTACTCTGTCGCCAGGCTGGAGTGCAGTGGCGCAATCTCGGCTCACTGCAACCTCTGCCTCCTGGGTTCAAGCAATTCACCTGCCTCAGCCTCCTGAGTAGCTGGGACTACAGGCATGGGCCTCCATGCCCAGCTAATTTTTGTATTTTTATTAGAGATGGGGTTTCACCATGTTGGCCAGGATGGTCTCGATCTCTTGACCTTGTGATCTGCCTGCCTTGGCCTCCCAAAGTGCTGGGATTACAGGCGTGAGCCACCGTGCCTGGCCTAATACCATATTTCATAGGTTCTTGTGTGCACATTTCTTTTTTCTTTTTTTTTTTTTCTGAGTGGGAGTTTTGCTCTTGTTGCCCAGGCTGGAGTGCAATGGTGTGATCTCGGCTCACTGCAACCTCCACCTCCCGGGTTCAAGCAATTCTCCTACCTCAGCCTCCCAAGTAGCTGGGATTACAGGCGCGTGCCACCACGCCCGCCTAATTCTGTATTTTTAGTAGAGATGGGGTTTCTCCATGTTGGTCAGGCTGGTCTTGAACTCCTGACCTCAGGTGATCTGCCCGCCTCGGCCTCCCAAAGTGCAGGGATTACAGGCGTGAGCCACTGCTCCCAGCCTTGTGTGCACATTTCTTTTTTTTTTTTTTTTTTGAGACGGAGTTTCACTGTTGTCGTCCGGGCTGGAGTGCAGTGGTGTGATCTCGGCTGACTGCAGCCTCCACCTCCCAGGTTCAAGCAATCTTCCTGCCTCACCCTCCTGAGTAGCTGGGATTACAGGCGTCCACCATCATGCCCAGTTAATTTGGGTATTTTTAGTAGAGATGAGGTTTCACCACGTTGGCCAGGCTGGTCTCGAACTCCTGACCTCAGGTGATCCACCCGCCTCAGCCTCCCAAAGTGTTGGGATTATAGGCGAGAGCCACCATGCCCTGCCATGGGCACATTTCTTACACATTTAATGTTGCTTTAATCAGGTTGCTTCTTTTTTTTTTTTTCTCTGAGACAGAGTCTCACTCTGTTGCCGAGGCTGGAGTGCAGTGGCGCAATCTCCGCTCACTGCAGCCCCCACCTTCAAGGTTCAAGCAATTTTCCTACCTCAGCCTCCCTAGTAGCTGGGATTATAGGCGCCCGCCACCACGCCCAGCTAATTTTTGTATTTTTATTAGAGACGAGGTTTTGCCATGTAGGCCAGGCTGATCTCAAACTCCCGACCTCAGATGATCTACCCACCTCGTCCTCCCAAAGTGCTGGGATTACGGGTGTGGGCCACTGTGCCTGGCCGAGTTGCTTTTTATGTATGTGTACAGTTAGTGGGACAGTGTTTCTTTTTGTCCTCTTTGAAAAACTTTTAACTCAGTGTCATTTTAGAACTGAAGAAATAAGGTAATATTGAACAAATAACTACTGCCTACCATAATGCCTTAGACTACCAGGGTGATTTGCATATGTCATCTAATTTGTACTCACACAGCCCTGTAAGATGGGTATATATTGAAGCGATTGAGTCAAGATAGGTACAGTATTGTGCTTACCGTTTCACAGCCAGTAGAGTGGTAACCCCCAAACGCATGCTGTTAACACTGTGCTGTATAGTCTCCTGCAATGAAATCATGACAAGAAAATTCTAGCTCTTGCTGGGTGTGGTGGCTCAAGCCTATAATCCCAGCACTTTGGGAGGCCGAGGCTGGCGGATCACGAGGTCAGGAGATCGAGACCATCCTGGCTAACACGGTGAAACCCCGCCTCTAATAAAAATACAAAGAATTAGCTGGGCGCGGTGGTGGGCGCCTGTAGTCCCAGCTACTCAGGAGGCTGAGGCAGGAGAATGGCGTGAACCCAGGAGGCGGAGCTTGCAGTGAGCCAAGATCTCGCCACTGCACTCCAGCCTGGGCGACAGAGCAAGACTCCGTCTCAAAAATAAATAAATAAATAAATAAAAAGAAAATTTTACCTCTTAAAACTGTGAATCCAGCTCTTTCTTCCTCTCCGGCATGTGGGGAAACTAATGTTCAGAGACACTAAGTAACCTGCCTGAGGTTACCAACTAATTAGCGTCAAGAGCAGGCACTAGAAACCAGTCTTCTGACTACTGATTTACTTTCTAAATAATATCATTTTAGGTAGCTTGTGCTTAACTTTCTCTGATTATATAGTTGGAGTTGTCATGCTAACAAGAACTACAAATCACCTGTACTTACTAACTTTCAGCATAGGACAATGATTTATTATATACGTGTTTTCTCTTTCAGGTTCATTGTCGGATCCTCCAAATATTGCTGGCTTAAGTCATTTTTGTGAACATATGCTTTTTTTGGGAACAAAGAAATACCCTAAAGAAAATGAATACAGCCAGTTTCTCAGTGAGCATGCAGGAAGTTCAAATGCCTTTACTAGTGGAGAGCATACCAATTACTATTTTGATGTTTCTCATGAACACCTAGAAGGTGCCCTAGACAGGTAATGCAGAATACCCTATGAATTATCCAACTTTGTGTACTTATCACATTAATAATAATAATTATTATTTCCACAGAGATGGCTTCATAATTTAACAAAAGGTATTTTAAACAGTGTTTTTCCCTGTGTTTTCTGAAAAAGAAAAAATGAGTGATGTCATATTTTAAATGAGCCTTCAGGCCTACAAAATATTTTATTGAGGTATAGAATTTTCAGCAGCCCTTTCCATTCTAACTGGTGTTACATATAAAGCATGTGATGAGGACTAACCTGTGATAATGTCATTGATCTCTTTTCAGACATACTTCTGTTCCAGAATGCTAAACCTTAAATATTCTCTCCTCGTTCATTTCCTTGCTTCTCAAGGATGCTTAGTAGATACAGAACGTTTTGACCTGCTGTTTCAACCGTGGGGATATTTTGAAAGTGTTTTCTGGAGCAAGCTCCATTAGGCCGATTTAATTTCTTGGTCAACCGTGGGGATATTTTGAATGTTTTCTGGAGCAAGCTCCATTAGGATGATTTAATTTCTTGGTCAATTTTTTTTTTTTTTTCAGACGGAGTTTCGCACTTGTTTCCCAGGCTGGAATGCAATGGTGCAGTCTTGGCTCACTGCAACCTTCGCCTTCCGGGTTCAAGCAATTCTTCTGCCTCAGCCTCCCGAGTAATTGGGATTACAGGCATGTGCCACCACGCCTGGCTAATTTTGTATTTTTAGTAGAGATGGGGTTTCACCATGTTGGTCAGGCTGGTCTCGAACTCCTGACTTCAGTTGATCCACCCACCTCAGCCTCCCAGAGTGCTGGGATTACAGGCATGAGCCACTGCGCCCAGCCTTGGTCAGCTTTTTTTTTTTTTTTTTGGTCAATTTTTTATACAGCTAACAATTTCTAATTTTTTTGTTGCATCAGTGATTTGATTCATTATTTGACTCAAATAATGGACTACACTCTGGTAGTCCAAAGCATTATGGTAGGCAGTAGTTATTTGTTTATCCTTGGTGAATATTTATAGTTTTCTGTGATGCCAAGGTGTAATTCTGCAACTTTTTGGATCTATAATGAAATTTGGCAGTTTTAGTCACTGTCGGCTTTATTTGCTTACTTTTAATAATAGTTATTATATTATTGAAAAAACATTATCAAGGCAAGGTTATGGGTTTATGAGATGTGCTGGGCCAAAGTAGTCTGTTTCCTACTTATTTTATTTTATGTTTCAGTCTTTAGGCAGCAGCTTTGAGGTGTAATCATCGCTAATATGTATTCCCAGAAGACTTCCATTAATTAGTTCCCTGGGATCATACACTGAATTTCATCTCTTGCTTTACAAATGCTGCAGCAGATGTTCATATAATAGATCTCTGTATGATGGGGGATGTCTGTTACTTGGCTCAAACTAAAAATCCACTTGTATAAGAGGATCATTTAAAAAACTTTATTATACTGTGTCATAACATGATCCTTTATCTGGGCCTATCCAGCTTTGGTATGTAGCTATTAGACATTTTTCCCAGCCTGGAAGTATTGAGGTGGGTAAAAGATGTTATGTGACCAGAAATCATCTGTTTTCATACATCTTTGATTATAGACTCCAGATAGATAGAGTTTCCCCTTGTGGTATATGTAAAGTACTTAGCATAGTATCATATTTTCTTATGCACTTAAAGTAAATAACAAGTAATGATAATGGCTTCTGTGACAGCTGGACTGTGAGGCGTAGTAACTGAGATGTTTATGGACCCAAGAGTTCCTTAGGCCCACTGAATAAAGTAGTCCTATTCAGAGCCTCTGCTCTTAGCTTCATCTGAATCAAGTCTTATTCTATAAAATGGGATGTAAAGTTTCTTAAGAATTACTACAGGAATCATGAGTTAAATTCAACCTGATATAGAAGAGTTAATTTATTAGCTGTAGGTATCTTAAAGTTAGGTATTATTATTAAGGAATAGCCTCAAGAAAGGCATATTGGTTACTTATGTTAAAGTTACATACCATGTTATTTATTGAATCACTGCTTATTAAAATTTTATGGACTTTTTCTCTTATGATTTCATAAACGCCCATAATCATGGCTTAGTCAAACTATGTCATACCTCAGGTTTTTTACTGCATTATGTTTTTTCCTACTAATTCAAGTTTGTTTTTCTACATAAGAAGAAAGAAATATTCAAATTGAGCCTGTTAAAAGTAGGTCACTTGTTTGTCCTAAGGTGCCTGAGTCTAAGTGAAATTGCACCTAAAACTGTAAATTTAAGATTGGCCTAAAAACTATGACCTGCCTTTTTCTTTCTTTCTCTTTTTTTTTTTTTTTGGAGCATTAGCCACATGTAACAAAGTTTTTATAGACGTACCAAATTAAAAATCTTAAATAGACTGCTATTGTCCATAATCTGCCTTTTTTGGTGTTAATTTTTTAAATTTTCACTGTTTATCATCTCTGGGGTAGATCAACTCCTCTGCATTTACCTCTGTTCAACATTAGATTTTTCTTCTGTTACATAGCACTTATTTTATACTCCTTTTTTCTTAGTAGCAATGGTAGTTTTGTTTCTGATTCTGCAAAATTTACATTTCCTATCTAATAAGTTCCAAAAATCTTTCTAAAAGGCTATTGTTTTAAAATGACATCTTTCAAGTTTTAATTATGTTTCGTACCCTTAGGTTTGCACAGTTTTTTCTGTGCCCCTTGTTCGATGAAAGTTGCAAAGACAGAGAGGTGAATGCAGTTGATTCAGAACATGAGAAGAATGTGATGAATGATGCCTGGAGACTCTTTCAATTGGAAAAAGCTACAGGGAATCCTAAACACCCCTTCAGTAAATTTGGGACAGGTTTGTCAACAGCTGCTTTCCTTGACCTCATTTAAACCCATGGCCACTGCATAGTATTATATTTTATGTATATATAAAATATATTTATGTATATATTTATGTATATAACCCATGGCATATACAGTTCATGGCATATTTTACAATTCAGGATAGATTTCAAAATTCCACATTTCTACTTACATCCTGTTCAAATAGGGTTCTAAACGTTTAAGGAGCAGAGCAGTTAGAGTTGTGAATAGATATTAACCAGCATTCCATATGGAGAAGATAATAGATTCTTTTATTCCAAAGCCTACCTTCCAAAGTACTTTTTTTTGTAAAGGCTCACTGTAGTATTGTTGAATCCACTTGTCCTCATTGCCTCTACTTCTGCTAATCCAGATGCATAGCGTCTGCTATGGGGTTAGCTCTGTGGGAGATAGGACACTGTAGAAGACACACAAGATCCCAGCTCTTAAAGTGCTACAATCTCCTAGAGGGAGATAAGAAATGGGGATAACAGGAAGTAGAATAAGATAAACGTGGAGACTCTTGACTTTATAATTGTACCTTTTTCTTCAATTTTTCATTAAAAAAGTACTTGTTTAAATATTTAAACAGTACAAAAGCATTTAGAGTAAAAATAAAAGCAGAAACACAAAGTCTGTCTATTCTTTATCTATTCCTGCCAGTCATGCTCACCAGAGGTAATCATTGTTAACAGATTGCTATACTTTTAAAATACTGTTTTGGGTATTATAAAAGTACATAAGAATAATGATAATATATTATTTAATGTACTTAGAAATTTATGCTTAAAAATTCACTTCTCTATTATGAGAACATGCTTATTTTATAAATTAGTTTTGGGAACTTTTTAAAACCATAAAGACAACTTTCTTTAAGTTTGGATATCATCCTAATGTATCCAACAGCAGTCAGAGAAATTAGCATAGCTTTACAGAATTAGGAGTTTTCAAAAATTATACTTTGAAGCAGTGATATTATATTCTTTAGAACCGTGGTACTTGGCACTCAATATTAACATAATTGCCAAGATGAATAGTGTGGTTCTTAGAATGTCTACATAATGCTGAATTTTTTAAAAAGTGATTTTTGTGGAGAACATCAGTATACATGGTATGTCAAGAATGGAATGTGAGTTTTAAAAAACAAATATCAGGCCAGGCATGGTGGCTCATGCCTGTAACTGCAACACTTTAGAAGACCAAGGTGGGAGGATTTCTTGAGTTCAGGAGTTTGAGACCAGCCTGGGCAACATAGTGAGACACTATCTTTACAAGAAAATAAAATAATTAGCCAGGCATGGTGGTGTGTGCCTGTAGTCCAAGCTACCTGGGAGGCTGAGGATGGCTTGAGCCAGTGAGTT
Organism: Homo sapiens; assembly: GCF_000001405.40. Lineage (NCBI taxonomy): Eukaryota > Metazoa > Chordata > Mammalia > Primates > Hominidae > Homo > Homo sapiens. The sequence goes on along the minus strand of NC_000010.11, from coordinate 92,530,378 downwards.
CAACTGCAGTGAGCCACAATTGAGTCACTGCACTCCAGCCTGGGTGATAGTAAGACCCTGTCTCAAAAAAAAAACAACAACTTTTTTTTTGTTTTTTCAAAAGCATTACATTCAAATGGTTATTTATTTATTTATTTATTTATTTATTTATTGAGACGGAGTCTGGCTCTTATCACCCAGGCTGGAATGCAGTGGCCTGATTTCAGCTCGCTACAACCTCTGCCTCCTAGGTTCCAGCAATTCTCCTGCCTCAGCCTCCTGAGTACCTGGGATTACAGGCGCCCGCCACCATGCCCGGCTAATTTGTGTACTTTTAGTAGAGGCGGGGTTTCTCCATGTTGGTCAGGCTGGTCTCAAAATCCTGATCTCAGGTGATCCGCCTGCCTCGGCCTTCCAAAGTGCTGGGATTACAGGCGTGAGCCACTGCGCCTGGCGATTATTTAAAGTAGTCCTTTTGGTATGTTAGATACTTACACAAACAATGCTGCTATTTTGCAGAATATGTTGGAGCTCCTCTTTGGGAGTTGCCTTTTTTTAAATAGCTTCACTGGTGACAAATTATAATCAGCATAATCAGAAAGCAGTTACACATTTTCCAGAAATAAATCCAGTGAATAAGGTGAGTAGTGTTACTTCTGGTCACAAACAAGGAACATTTTTTTTTCCTGTAGAGGTGGGGTCTCACTATGTTGACCAGGCTGGTCTTGAACGCCTGGCCTCAAGTATTCTTCCTGCCTCGCCTCCCAAAGTGCTGAGATTACAGGCATGAGCCACCATGCCTGGCCACAAGAACAATCTTAAAATATTCTATAGAAGGGTTTCAGGAATGATGGGCAAAGAGATACATTGCATGGCATATCCATATGGGTGAAGTTTCAGGGCATATTTCTTTTTATAGCCTGAAAAGCTAGGCAGTTAGCAAAGTACAAGGTAATATAAACAGCTGAGAAACAAGTGAGCCAGACTCAATACACAGTACAGAAAATGTGATATAAGTAATGCAAATGTCAAGTTACCTTCTGATTTTAGAATTATAAACTTACGTTGAATTTTTTGGAGTAGAAGTTCTGTGTATTTTTAAGGTCACAGGTACATTTGAAAATTTGATGACAGTTGTATGCCCTTATCTCAGATATTATGCATATTGAAAACTTTGCAAAAGTGATCGTTGCAGTAGGTTCCTTGTCAGAAATTCATGCTAATTTATGTAGATTGCTTTGGCCTCAGATGTTTTTGTGAGTGTGGGCCACTTTGTTCATCAGGGGATTTTTTGTTTTGTTTTGTTTTTTTGTTTTGTTTTTTTTGAGACAGTCTTGCTCTGTCGTCCAGGCTGGAGTGCAGTATGGTGATCTTGGCTCACTGCAACCTCTGCCTCTCAGGTTCAAGCGATTCTCCTGCCTCAGCCTTCTGAGTAGCTGGGATTACGGGCACCCACCACCATGCCCAGCTAATTTTTGTATTTTTAGTAGAGATGGGGTTTCACCATGTTAGCCAGGCTGGTCTCGAACTCCTGACCTCAAGTGATCTGCCCGCCTCAGCCTTCCAAAGTGCTGGGATTACAGGCATGAGCCATCACGCCTGGTCTCATCAAGGGATTTTGATTTAAAATAATAATACCAGAAAAAGGTGTGTATTTTTGAATGAATAAAAACCACACATTGTATTATCTGTTTTAAGAAAACTTTACAGTAAGATGTTTGTCCCTAACAGTCGGTTTTCATGCTCAGAAATAGTATAGATTAGTGGCTTTCAAACTCTTTTTTGTATACAACTCATAGTAAGAAGCACATTTTATTTAGCAATTCAGAGTACATATATGTGTTTGTGTAAGCAGCTGAAACAAAATTTTGTCAAACACTATCTTACATCATGGGATGTAGTCTGGCACTTTCCCTTATATTCTGTTTTTTTTTTTTTCTAGAGAAACTCTGATCTGCTAATACTTTAAATGCATTTAATTACAATATAATGGGTCCTGACCCACAGTTTTAGTAGTCCAAAGTGATAGACAGTAGACTCTGAGCATTGGATAAAACACAGCACTCATCCATGAACAAAAATAAACCACAACAATAAAAAACTTTCAAGCTGATTAAAAGCTATTGTCAAACTTCATGATTAATGGAGGTTTCAAAGGATTTCTGTTGAAAAAATAAGGATGCCCACTATCACTTTTGTTTGGCTATACTTACAGGTATTAATCATTACAATAAATCAAGGGGGAAAATGTGATTATAAGAGATGGAAAGGAAGCACAACAAAACCTATTTCCTTATTTCCATATGATAGGATTGCCTCCATAAAAATACTGAAGAAAATCTTCAGATCAGTCATTAAAAATAATTCAGCAAGGTTGCCAGAAAGAAGACAAACACACTAAAATTGCGTTCTTTGGAGTACAGTGGCGTGACCTTGGCTCACTGCCACCTCCGCCTCCCAGGTTCAAACGATTCCCCTGTCTCAGCTCCCCAAGTAGTTGGGATTACAGGCACGTGCCACCACGCCCAGCTAATTTTTTGTATTTTTAGTAGAGATGGGGTTTCACCATGTTAGTCAGCATGGTCTCGATCTCCCAGCCTCGTGATCCACCCGCCTTGGCCTCTCAAAGTGTTAGGATTACAGGCATTAGCCACCGTGCCCGGCCATGTTCTTGTATCAATAATCAATTACAGGAAAATGCTGGGGTAAAAATTATTTCATTTGCAATATTTAACAAAGCTGTAAAATATTCAGAAATAAATCCAATGAAAGAGTTGCAAGAAATATGTAATGGATATAAAAGAATGCCTAAATGGGGAGGTATATCATGCACATGGATGGTTAAACTCTATATAACATAAATGTAAATATGCCCCAAATTTCTCTAAATTCAATGCAGTGCCAGTTGAAAGTCCTGTAAGTTTTTTTTTAGGAATTGTATAATCTCATTATAAAATTAATAAGAGAGTAAAAGGCCAAGAATAGCTAAGATAATTTTGAGGAACAAGGAAAGCTACTTCTACCAGGTACCAAGACTTATTATAAAGTTCTAGTTGTTACAGTAGTAGAATTGAAGCAGGGGTGCATGAAGATACAAGTAGAACAGATTATAGGCCCTGGAAACATCCACAAACATATGGAAACTTGATATAAGGCAGAGGTACATTACAAATGAAAAAAATATAGTTCTTTCTTAGGACTTTATGTAGACTTTCTATAGACTACAGACATGTGCCACTGAGTCTGGTTCGCTACAACTTTTAAAAGAAAATATATGAGAATTTTTTTTATCTTCAGATAGAGGAAATGTTCTTAAACACACAGAAAAACCCATGAAGATAGAGATGAACCATAGGTTTAGAGATAAACTTGACCTCATTGAAATTTAAAATCCTTGTTCAAAAGAGACACAAAAAGCTAGATGTGGTGGTATGCACCTGTAATCGCAGCTTCTCAGGAGGCTGAGGCAGGAGGATGGTTTGCACCCAGAAGTTCAAGACCAGTCTAGGCAACATAGTGAGACCCTGTCCTTTTTTTTTTTTTTTTTTTTTTTTGAGACAGGGCCTCACCCTGTTGCCCAGGCTGGAATGCAGTGGTGCAATCTTGGCACTCTGTAACCTCCTCCTCCTGGGCTCAAATGATCCTCCTACCCCAGCCTCCCAAGTAGCTGAGACTACACGCACACACTACCACACTCAGCTAATTATTTAATCTTTTGTAGAGATAGGGTCTCCCTATGTTGCCCAAGCTGGTCTCAAACTCCTAGGCTCAAGTGATCCTCCTGCCTCAGCTTCCCAAAGTGCTAGGGTTACAGGCATGAACCATCATGCCCAGCCTCTTAACTTCTCTAAGCCCCAGTTCCTTTCCACATCAGGTTGATGCCAATATTAAATGAGATTGTGCATATGAAGCCCATAATAATGTTAAATAAATCATATTAATAGTATAATACCTGATTGGTAGCTGTGAAAGGACAGTAGGATTCTGAAAAAGTCCTTGTCTTGATTCCATATAGATTTTAGGATTTTTTTTTCTATTTCTGTGAAGAATATCATTGGTATTTTGATAGGGGTTGCATTGAATCTGTAGATAGCTTTGGATAGTATGGACATTTTAACAATATTAGTTCTTCCAGTCCATGAACACAGGATGTCTTTCCTTTTTGTGTATGCCCTCCTTAATTTCTCTTATTAGTATTTTATAGTTTTCATTGTAGAGATCTTTTACTTTACTTTTTTTTTTTTTTTGAGACGGAGTCCCGCTCTTTCTCCCAGGCTGGAGTGCAGTGGCGCCATCTCAGCTCACTGCAACCTCCACCTCCTAGGTTCAAGTAATTCTGCCTCAGCCTCCCAAGTAGATGGGATTACAGGCTTGCACCACAACGCCCAGCTGATTTTTGTATTTTTAGTGGAGATGAAGTTTCGCATGTTGGCCAGGCTGGTCTCAAACTCCTGAGCTCGAGTGATCTGCCCACCTTGGCCTCCCAAAGTTCTGGGATTAGAGGTGTGAGCCACTGCGCCCAGCCTGAGATCTTTTACTTTTTTGGTTCAGTTTGTTCTTAGAGGGCTTTTTTGTTGTGTGTTTGTTTTTTGTTTTTTGTAGCTATTATAAATGGGATTGCTTTCTTGGTTTTTTTTTTTTTTTTTTCAGATTGTTCACTGTTGGCATATAGAAATGCTACTGATTTTGATATGCTGACTTTTGTATCCTGCAACTTTACTGAATTCATTTATCAGTTCTAACAGGTGTTTTTGATAGAGTCTTCAGGTTTTTCTAAATATAAGATTATGTTGTCTACGAACAATGACAGTTTGACTTCTTTCCATTTTGGATGCCCTTTATGTCTTGTCTAATGGCTCTGGCTAGGACTTCCAGTGCTATGCTGTATAAAGTGGTAAAAGTGGGGATGCTTGTCTTCTTCAGATCTTAGAGCAAAGGCTTTCACTTTTTCGCTGTTCCATATGATGTTAGCTCTGAGTTTGTCATATACAGCCTTTATTGTTTTGACATATGTTCCTTCTCTACCCAGTGTGTTGAGAACGTTTATCATGAAGTGATGTTGAATTTTATTGAATGCCTTTTTCAGCTTATGGTGTTTGTCCTTGATTCTGTTACTGTGATGTATCATGTTTTTGTTTTATTTTGTTTTGAGACAGTCTCACTCTGTTGCCCAGGCTGGAGGGCAATGGTGCAATCTCGGCTTACTGCAACCTCTGCCTCCCGGGTTCAAGTGATTCTCTTGCCTCAGCCTCCCCAGTAGCTGGGATTACAGGCACACGCCTGGCTAATTTTTGTATTTTTAGTAGAGACTGTGTTTTGCCATGTTGGCAAGGCTGGTCTTGAACTCCTGATCTCAAGTGATCCACCCACCTCGGCCTCCCAAAGTGCTGGGATTACAGGCATGAGCCATTACACCTGACCCTGTGATGTATCATGTTTATTGATTTGTATATATTTGTATATATTTTTGTTTGTTTGTTTGTTTGAGATGGAGTCTCACTCTTTCGCCCAGGCTGGAGTACAGTGGTGCCATCTCGGCTCACTGCAACTTCCGTGTTCAAGCAATTCTCCTGCCTCAGCCTTTCAAGAAGCTGGGATTGCAGCGCCCATTACCACATCTGGTTAATTTTTGTATTTTTAGTAGAGACGGGGTTTTGCTATATTGGCCAGGCTGATCTCAAACTTCTGACCTCAGGTGATCCACCCACCTCGGCCTCTCAAAGTGCTGGGATTACAGGCGTGAGCCACTGTGCCCAGCCTGATTTGTTTATGTTGAACCATCTTTGCATCCCTGAGATGAATCCCACTTGATCATGTTGAATGATATATATTATTATATATAAAATATATATATAATATAAAATATATTATAATATAATATATATTATATATTATATAAAATATATTATAATATAATATATATTATATATTATATAAAATATATAATATATAAAATATATTATATAAAATATATTATATATAATATAATATATATTATATATTATATAAAATATATTATATATAATATATATTATAATATAAAATATATTATATATAATATAATATATATAATAATATATTATATATATTTTTTTGAGATAGAGTCTCACTCTGTCACCAAGGCTGGAGTGCAGTGGCACAATCTCAGCTTACCGTAACCTCCACTTCCCGGGTTCAAGCAGTTCTGCCTCAGCCTCCCAAGTAGCTGGGATTACATGCCTGCCACCATGCCCAGCTAATTTGTGAATTGAATGATATTTTTAATATGTTATTGAATTTAGTTGGTATCCACTTTCACTTTTTCTCTTCATTATTCACATATGCCTTTAGTTTCATAGTTCCTGATAAACTAGAAACCATTTTTCTGCCCTATTTTGTTTTTTTGTTTGCCTCTCAATGGAATTAAAGTAGGAGCAGTTGAATGTTTACAAGCAGGTTTAGAATAGTAAAAGGAAAAACTTAGTTCTGGTTATTCCTTACTGATCTGTTTCTCCAAACATAACTCTACCGACACTGTGGGAGCAACTGGGTTTATTCAGCTGGGAGGGAAATAAAAGAAGGAGGTCAAAGAGTGAGTGGGAACAACAAAACAGGTACTCCTTCATGTATAGGTAGAATGAAAGGCACAGTTGAAGACAAGAATATAGAGGGTGGAGCTGTATTTTAGGTGTGCGTGACTTTTTTTTTTTTTTTTTTTTAAGACTGAGTCTTACTCTTGTCGCCCATGCTGAAGTGACATGGCATGATCTTGGCTCACTGCAACCTCCGCCTCCTAGGTTTAAGTGGTTATCATGTCTCAGCCACCCAAGTTGCTGGGATTATAGGCACATACCACAATGCCTAACTAATTTTTTTTTTTTTTTTTTTAAGTAGAGACCATGTTGGCCAGGCTGGTCTCGAATTCCTGACCTCAGGTCATTTGCCTGCCTTGGCCTCCCAGAGTGCTAGGATTATGGTGTGAGCCACTGTGCCCAGCAAGTGAAAAGAAAGAAAATTTCTTTCTTTTCTTTTCTTTCTTTGAGACAGGGTTTCCTTCTGTCATTCAGACTGGAGTGCGGTCGCATGATCTCGGCTCACTACAGCTTCCATCTCCTGGGTTCAAACGATTCTCCTGCCTCAGCCTCTGAAGTAGCTGGGATTAAAGGCAGGTGCCATCACACCTGGCTAGTTTTTGTATTTTTAGTAGAGACAGGGTTTCACCATGTCGCCCAGGCTAGTCTCGAACTTCTGAGCTCAGGTCATCTGCCTGACTCCGCTGCTATTTACTCTAGTATGCTTATTCCAAGTTCATAGGATTATAAATATAAATGAGCCCAAATTTTCTCTCTCTCAGTTAATAAGTAATTTTTTTAGTCCCCCTACATGTAAAGTGCATTAGAAAATGCAAAGAAGTGTAACTAGTGTCATTGCACTCAAGGTGCTGAAAGTTTAGTTGGGGAAGCAAGGCAAACCCAGGATTTCACTGAGTGTAATTTTAGCTTTGATTTTCCAGGATCATCATCTCTCCATTTTCTTCCTCCTTTTTCTTGCTAATTTTTATTGAGTGCTATGCTAAGCACTTTACGTGGATTATTTAATTTCTAATAATTCTCACAGTAACCCCAGTAGGTAGATGCTCATATTTCCATCTTACATGAGTAGATTAAGACTTAAGATAATTAAATTGCCTTGGGTCCCTCAGCTTTTAAGTGCTGGAGTCAGGATCTGTGCCCAGATTTGGAGCTTTTAAACACTATTCTATTTTGCATGTTTTAGTGTTGCCCAGAATTTATTTCTCCAGGATCTTAGCGGAGATGCAGTTTCACTTCTCCTGAAGTATAGATAAGATTTCCTTAAGCAGAAGGAAGAGCCATTCAAGGGGAAAAAGAAAAGGAACTAATATTTGTTGTATTTGACTAATGTTTTAGTCTTGCAGGGAGTACAGAGAGGAGAGAGATAGGGTGGTAGTGGAACTATCTGTATAGGTTATGGAATTCAATTATCAAGTCAGTCTGAACTCAAAGCCTATGTTCTTCATGATAGTAATTAAGTTGACCCCCAAAACCATGACATGAAGAAAAGACCAAGGAGTGAGCCTGGTTTCTTTTGGAGAACATGAGTTAGGATAGTTTGAGTATAACAAAGGATGCTTTTGCATAGAGAAGTAGGAAGGAATAGAATAGAAAAAGAGAACCCAATAAAATTGTGGAATATGAACCAGAGGGTAGTTCAGTGACTCCTGATCCTGTGGTAAACATAATAACACACCAAATCAGACTCTAATACAAGTTCAATTACTTTTTTCTCTCTTCCCTCCCACCCTTATTTCCTCTTTTCTTCCCTTCACCATTTTTTTTTTGTGAAGAATTTAAAACATACACAAAAGAACACAAAATACTATAATGACCCTATGTGTGCATCACCCTGCCCCTGGCCAATTCTGTACAATCCACATTTCCATTCACCCTTTTGTATTATTTTGAAGAGATTCTAGATATCATTTTGCTCATAAATATTTCAGTATATATCTCTAAAACATAGCAATTCATTTTTAAAAACATAAAAATACCATTATTGTTACCATTATTATCAAATATCCAGTTAGTGTTCAAATTTCTAGTGTTCTTATAAAAATCATTATTTTTAAAGTTTATTTGAATCAGAGTCCAAATAAGTATTACATATTAGTGATTGTTTGATATGTCTTTCATTATTATTATTATTATTATTTTAATTTTTGTAGAGACAGGATCTCACTATGTTGTCCAGGCTTGTCTTGAAATCCTAGTTTCAAGCGATTCTCCCACCTTGACCACCCAAAGTGCTAGGACCCCAAAGTGAGTCACCCAAAGTGAGCCACCACTCCAGTCTGATATGTCTTTTAAGTCTCTTTTTAGTTTAAGAGTTCATCCTTCATCTCTTCCTCTACTCCTTCCCCTCACTCCCCTCTTGGAATTTATTTATTGAATAATCAGGTTGTTTGTTTTATCGAACTTCTCATAGCCTAGATTTTTTTTTTTTTACTGCACCCCTAACAATGTAGTTTAACAAGTTCCTCTGTCTTCTGTATTTCTACAAATTGGCAGTTGGATATAGAGGCTTGATCAAATTTGTGTTTGACTTTTTGACAAGACATCTTCATAGGTGGTGATGTATTTTTCCATTGGGCATACAATGTCTGGTCATTTATGATGTTGCAAATATTGATTCTCAGTGCATCACCTCCCTAATTTTGGTTTTTCTAATGCTAATTCTATTATTCCATCTCTTTTGATTAACTTGAGTACTGCTGTAAAATCTCCTTTTCTACTATTTGGCTAGTCAGTGGTACAGTTACTGTGGGAAAGGCAGGATAAATGCTTTTATTCCATTCCATTTATTTACCAATTTTCAAAATAATGAATTGGTTCGTCAGCATCCTTCAGGGTGACTAATTTGTTTTTTGAGTATCACATAGACTCATGGATGTAAAAACATTTCATATATTTTAGTCCATGTAATCATTTATTGTTCCCTTAGCTTTTCCATGGATTTTGTTACTATCTTTTTTCTCGTTACTGGGATATGTGTCTGTGGAAAACTAGAAATTTACTGAAAACAAGAGCTGGACCAATCAAGTGTAGGAGTGTTTTCTGATGGCATTTAAGAGGTTTTCACTTAAAGTCCCCTTTTATAACTCATATCTTGTACTTGCATATACTTACTCAGCTGCAGAGGAATTGTCGGTTTAAATTTTGTGGGAAAATTCACATATATCAAAAGGCTTTAGTCTCTCACTTCCAGGATTTTTAGAAGATTGCTATAGCAAGAAGAAAGGGCTTTTTAAAAAGTTTATAATAATTCCAAGTAACTAGCTATAGGTATGTTAGCCTAACTTTCAGGATCTTGGGTTTTCAGAGAACATATAAAATTATAATGGGTTATAACTATCAAGTTGACCTTTCCCTGAGAACATACTATTGGAGAAACCTGTGGTTTCTAAGACGTTTCTAAAACTTAAAACTCATTCCTTCCCAGTATAAGAAATATATTGCTGGCTTCAGAATTTTCCAGGAAAATAAATTTTATTCCCTTGAAAATCAGTATTCATATACATTAGTGCTGAGTTTGTAAGCTTTATTTGTTCTAAACAGAATTTAAAATAGTTGTTAAAATGAAAATATAAAGTAGCACTTACTGGATTTTACAATTTACCAACCCCTCTTCGCATCCATTATTACATTTCTTAGGCTTCACAAAACCCCATGTTAATATTCAGTAATTATTGTCTGATAGATGCTATGCTGAGCCTTAACATGGATTATTTATTTATTTATGAGATGGAGTCTTGCTCTGTCACCCAGGCTGGAGTGCAGTGGCTTGATTTCGGCTTACTGCAACCTCCACCTCCCAGGTTCAAGCGATTCTCCTGCCTCGGCCTCCCCGAGTAGCTGGGACTACAGGTGACCACCACCATGCCTGGCTAATTTTTGTATTTTTAGTAGGACGGGGTTTTGCCATGTTGGCCAGGCTGGTCTCAAGCTCCTGACCTCAGGTGATCCGCCTGCCTCAGCCTCCTAAAGTGTTGTGATTACAGGTGTCAGCCACCGCGCCTGGCAGATTATTTATATTTTAATTCTCACAGCAATCCTGTGAGGTTGGTCCTCTTATTATGCCCATTTATGAATAAGTAAACTGAGGCGTAAGAGAGGTTAAGAAACCTGCCTGTGTCTCACAGCTAGGAAATGAAGGAGAGTCAGGGATTGAGCCTTTCCTTGCTTTTAGCACCTGGACATATATCCATATTATCCCTATTTTACAGATGAAATAAATGACCCCTTGGAGATATTTGGAGACTTTTCCAAGGTTGCTTAATTAGCACATGATGGAGTCAGGACAAGAATCCCTGAATTCCTAAATGCCAAGGCAGTGTTCTCTCCTAGCAGGCGTAGAGTGGAAGGGTCACAGTAGGTGAGCAACCCTGCTCCTCCATTCACTGCTGGAGCTCACCTGGATGCAACAGAGCCAGAAAGGTAGGATTCAAGATTTTAGTACAAGTAGCAGCATTTTAATTTGACATAAATGACCCAGCTGAATGAGCACAAAATTAGGACAGTATGTGTCTAGAGACTGAATTGGTATTTATTATCCCAGCCTTATTCACGTTGTTCTCCATACATGGTTTCTTAGGTGTTGGGGGGCAGTCATCTGGACCATTTACTCAGCTTCTAGCCACAATTTCTATTTTTTTCTCTGGGGAGTACATCTTTTTGTATAATGATTCACTCAGAAGCCAAGAGTCCTTCCTACAATTCAAATTGTAACAGCAGTAGCTACTGTTTGTTGTTTATTTTCCGTTGTTTATTTATTAAGTATTATGTTAAATACTTCAGTATTTTTACAGATTTATGATGTAGTTGTCATACAAAGAGGTAGGTACACAGACATTTGCCAGATCATTCTCTGTCACACTGCTTAAAGAAAGAGAACGTTACAAATGCACTTTGAGCATCCGGTGTACACTTCAGTTGCATTTTCCTTCCTGCTCCTGAGAGATAACCACTATCTTCTTTAATGATTATCATTTCCGTGTTTATAGTTTTATATGTTTTTAGGTTTCATGGAAATAGTATTTTATTGTGTGTAATCTCTGCCGCTTGTATTTTTTCATTCAACATTTTGTTTTGTAAGAGTTGTCCATATTGATGAGTATTCCTCTGATAATTTTTGTATTTTATTGCTCTTTGAAAAATTCATTGAATGACTGTACCACTATTTATTCATTTTCCTGTTAATGAAACAGTGTTACTATGGAATTGTTGTACATGTCTCCTTGTACACAGACTTCTCTGGATACATATATCCAGGAGTGGAATTACTATGTAGTAGGATATGGACATCTTCAGATTGACTAGGTTGTTTCCTGTAGCGGTTGATTCAAGATGCACTCCATCAGGCAGTGTCTGAGTTCTCATTCTCTGCATACTAAACAACAGTTGGTGTCGTAAGACTTTAACATTTTTGTTAAGTAATAGTCTTATACTTTTTTTACGTGTATTTTTCTCATTATGTACTGTAAGTCCACTAATGTCAGTTGAGGAGATTGAGCCACAGAGAAGTAAAGTAACTTGTTCAAGGCCATGCAGTCAGAAGATATCTGGCCCCAGGAGAATCAATTGAATCTTGGAGGTGGAGGTTGCAGTGAGCCGAGATGGCAGTGTAAAGCACTAAGGAGCTTAAGCAAAACTCCCTCTAGAACTGTGGCTTTTAGAATCTTCATTTAGTAGAAAAGAAAGGCTTCATCAATACTCAAATTTCACCTTGATACGAGAGAACTTCAAACATTCTCCAGCAAAAGGCCTTTTTTTTTCCCTAAGGAGTTAGGACTATGGGTATGCACCTAAGAGCATCTGGACCCCTCAGGTAGAGTGAGAGAATAGAGAATGTCTCAGGACCTCTCTGGGCAGTAAAGCAGAACTAGGTCTTATTTATTTATTTATATTATTTTATTTATCTATCAATCAATCAGACAGAGTCTCACTCTGTCACCCAGGCTGGAGTGCAGTGGTGTGATCTTGGCTCACTGCAGTCTCTGCCTCCTGGTTTCAAGTGATTCTCATGCCTCAGCCTCCTGAGTAGCTGGGATGATAGGCATGCCACCATGCTTGCCAGGCTGGTCTTGAACTCCTGGCCTCAAGTGATGCACCTGCCTTGGCCTCCCAAAGTGCTGGGATTACAGGCATGATCCACTGTGCCCAGCTTGAACTGGTCATTAGTGAGAAAATGAGAGAACTAATTAAGAACCTGGAACCAACCTGGGTAACATAGACCCTGGTTCTACCAAAAAAAATAAAAATAATTAAAAAAATAGCTGGACGTGATGGTAAATGCTTGTGGTCCCAGCTACTCTGGAGGCTGAGGTAGAAGGACTGCTTGAGCCCAGGAGATCGAGGCTGCAGTGAGCTGTGATTACACCACTGCAGTCTAGCCTGGGCAACAGAGTAAGACCCTATCTTAAACAAAAACAAGAACAACCTGGAAACTTGGGTGATAGGCTACTTCTAGTGAGTATGAATGCATATGATTACTTTGTGACTAGGAAAAGGTTAATGAGTTAAGGTTAAGGTTACTTGCTAGGCTGTTTCTTGCACATTCTGTCTTCACTGGATCTGTTAAGCATTCTGGGACAGGAATCTTAGTACTGTGCAGCACTACTGAGCTAAAGACTGAGTTTGAGAGCGCCATCTGGTGGCTTTCTGTAGACATCCAATTTCATGAAAGAGGGACTTTCCCAGTGCCCCTATATCAGATATTATAAAAACACAAGAAAAAAAAATTAAACCACTTCAAGAACATACTCTACCATAGTTTTATCTCTGCAGAAGAAAGACAGGATCTCACTTAGTAGTGTAAGTAGAACCAATAATAAAAGTTATTATGCCAGGATCTTAGGATATTTCCAGTCAAGATGCCATTTTGGAGAGACACCGATCATTGGAATTTCATCTCCCAGTCCCTAATTTGCAAGGTATTATTTAGAGAATTTGACTATTTGTTTTTGACTTACATATTTTACCCTACTTGAATTAGTTATTAAGATTTCATGAGAGCTGTTAGTGGTACACTACATACATCGCTGGAGAGTTATAAAAATAGCATTGCATCCTTTTTTTAACCAGTCTAGATCACATCTATGAGAATTCACATCACAAATTTAATGGTTTGGCCCAAAATAGTAAATTTCTTTCCACAAGTAACTTGGCAAGTTCTAAAAAAATCCCTCAGTGACTCTGTTCAATTAATTATGGAGTACATAGGGAATTGAAAATTAAAATAAGCATGAATGGAGGCCATGTGGATCTTATTTTGTCTTTTAAGCACTCATAATACCTACTATCTCATAGGGATTTTAAGAAGTGGAGATATAGATACAGATATAGACATATTTTTTTGAGACAGAGTCTCACTCTGTTGCCCAGGAGTGCAGTGGTACAATCTTGGCTCAATGCAACCTCTGCCTCCTGGGTTCAAGTGATTCTCATCCCTCAGCCTCCCGAGTAGCCGAGACTACAGGTGCCCACCACCATGCCTGGCTAATTTTTGTATTTTTAATAGAGAGGGGTTTTCACCACGTTGGCCAGGCTGGTCTTGAACTCCTCACCTCAGGTGATCCACCCATCTTGGCCTCCCAAAGTGCTGGGATTACAGATGTGAGCCACTGAGCCCAGCCAAGAAGTATAATTTTTTTTTTTTTTTGAGACGGAGTTTCCGTCTTGTTGCCCAGGCTAGAGTGCAATGGCACAATCTTGACTCGGCGTGATTTCGGCTCACCGCAACTTCTGCCTCCTGGGTTCAAGTGATTCTCCTGCCTCAACCTCCCAAGTAGCTGGGATTACAGGCATGTGCCACCACGCCTGGCTAATTTTGTATTTTTAGTAGAGACGGTGTTTCTCCATGTTTGTCAGGCTGGTCTTGAACTCCTGACCTCAGGTGATCTGCCTGCCTCGGCCTCCCAAAGTGCTTGGATTATAGGCGTGAGCCATGCACCCGGCCAAAAGTATAATTTTTATAAGACACTTTTAGGCCGGGCTTGGTGGCTCAGGCCTGTAATCCCAGCATTTTGGGAGGCCGAGGCAGGCAGATCACCTGAGGTCGGGAGTTCAAGACCAGCCTGACCAACATGGAGAAACCCCATCTCTACTAAAAATACAAAATTAGCCGGGCGTGGTGGCGCATGCCTGTAATCCAGCTACTAGAGAGGCAGAGGCAGGAGAATCACTTGAACCCGGGAGGCGGAGGTTGGGGTGAGCCGAGATCACGCCATTGCACTCCAGCCTGAGCAATAAAAGCGAAATTCCGTCTCAAAAAAAAAAAAAAAAAAGGCCGGGTGCGCGGTTGCTCATGCCTGTAATCCCAGCACTTTGGGAGGCTGAGGCGGGCGGATCACGAGGTCAGGAGATCGAGACCAGCCTGGCTAACACAGTGAAACCCCATCTCTACTAAAAATACAAAAAATTAGCCAGGTGTCGTGGTGGGCGCCTGTAGTCCCAGCTACTTGGGAGGCTGAGGCAGGAGAATGGCGTGAACCCGGGAGGCGGAGCTTGCAGTGAGCCGAGATCACACCACCGCACTCCAGCCTGGGCAACAGAGCAAGACTCCGTCTCAAAAAAAAAAAAAAAAGACACTTTTAATTCCGTAGAGACGACTATAGTTTAAAATGTTGCTGGTTTGTACTCTATTATCCTGTTTATTCACTTAACATTCAAATAAATTTGAGTTATTCTGTGTATTAGAACTTTATTTTTAAAGTTCATCTTAAGCAATATCAGTGATAATTACAAAACTTTAAAAGTCCACATATTTTGCTTTTTCTAAGAAATCCCTTTTCTTCCCTTCCAGGTAACAAATATACTCTGGAGACTAGACCAAACCAAGAAGGCATTGATGTAAGACAAGAGCTACTGAAATTCCATTCTGCTTACTATTCATCCAACTTAATGGCTGTTTGTGTTTTAGGTCGAGGTAAGAACCCTTACAATTTTTTATAGAATTGGATAATATAAGTTTTTAATGTTGGCTTTTTCACAGTGTTAGAAGATGGATATAAGATAGAGCTGCTTATTTGCTCAGCATCTTTTGAAAATGATCTACTTGTTAGAGAATACATAGGTGGGGATTTTTATGTTTAAATCATTGTGTTCCCAAAAGAAGTTTAAGTGGAGATCTGAAAAAAAATACAAATTACTACAGTAATAGGTGCTCTAAGCATATAAAAGCAAGGCAAGCCCAGCCTGGGCAACATAGTAAGATCCTGTCTCTACCAAAAAAAATTTTTTTAAATTAGTGGGATGTGGTAGTCTGCACCTGTAGTCCTAGCTGCTAGGGAGGCTGAAGATCGCTTGAGCCCAGGAGTTAAAGGCTGCAGTTAAAGGCTGTGATCACCACACCACTGCACTCCAGCCTGGGTGGCAGAGAGAGATCTCATATTAAAAAAAAACACACAAAAAGGACAAAGATTGGCAGATTTGACCTTATAACAATTCAAAAAACTGGAAAAAAAAAAAGCAGATGATGATAAACTTGGGAAACCATTTGGAATGTAAACAATGGTTTGATTTTTAAAATGCAGATTAACTACTAACATTGTTTCCTGCTGTTAAATTATCACAGTTTTGTTTTGAAGTAATACCCACTGCCGATGGTGTTGCTTTTTTATATTGGTAATGATGGTATCAATTGCTCTAGTCTTTCTGGAGGGCAGTTTAACAGTATCAGTCTTAAAAGTAAAGATGCATTTTTACTTTTAAAAATGCAATCTCAGGAAATAATCAGAGTTCAAATAGGAGATATAAAAGGATGTTTCTGTCAGTATAGTACATATTAGCGAAAATTTAGAAATCTAAATGTTAATAGGAGATTGGCTAAATACTGATTTTATAATTGCAAATAGAATATCTTATAGAAAAATAACATTTCCTATTCTACTTTCCATCTTACCTGCTTTTTCTTTATAGTATTAATACCTCAGGTATTAAATATTTGTGTGTTTTTGTTGTCCACCCTACCAAAGTGTAAATTACTTGAGAATAGAAACTTTGTTTTGTTCACTGCTTTATCCTCAGTACCTGGGCTCGTGCTTGGCACATCATAGGTAAATATATATTGAATGAATAAACAGTTTTATGACAGCATTTTAATACCATGGGAAGATATTCTTAATATATTCTCATATATATGAATATATGTTCTTATATGTGCATATATAACTAAACATTTTTAATTAATATATGTATATTATATATAAGAATATAATTTTTAAAATGTTCTTAATATATTAAAGAGAAAACAAAAGCTGTTTACAAAAACATGTGCTATATGGTCCCATTTTGGGATTTATTAAAAATTCCAAGACATATCCCCCCCACAAAATTTTTAAAAACTCTAATAGGGTCCAGGCACAGTGGCTCACACCTGTAATTCCAGCACTTCGGAAGGCCGAGGCAGGTGGATCACTTGTGGTCAGGAGTTTGAGACCAGCCCAGCCAACATGGCGAAACCCCATCTCTACTAAAAATATAAAAATTAACCGGGCATGGTGGCGGGCACCTGTAATCCCAGCTAGTTGGGAGGCTGAGGCAGGAGAATCACTTGAACCTGGGGGGTGGAGGCTGCAGTGAGCCAAGATTGTGCCACTGCACTCCAGCCTGGGCAACAGAGTGAGACTCCATCTCAAAAAACAAACGACAACAAAAAACACCAAAAACTCTAATATACCATATATGGTGTAGGTAAAAGACAAAATGGAAAAGCATGTACTAGAAATTTAATAATGTTGTATAGTAATTAAGAACTCACATTCTACAGTCCAACAACCTGGCTTTTCATTCCAAATATACCACTTACTTAGCTGTGTGGCTATGAGCTAACAAACTTACTTAGGTTTTTCAAACTTCAGTTTTCACATTTGTAAAGTGGTGGGTGGTACATTGTACCTGTTGTGAGGTTTAATTGAGATAATACAAAGTGTTTAGCAAGGTGCATGGCACATAGCAAATGCTCCATAAACAGTAGTAGCCACTCTAGCACCTTTATAATCATGAAATTATGGTAACTTTTGTTACCATAATTTAGCTTTTGTTTCTAAGTTTTCTGCTATTGGCAAATGTTACTTTTATAGTTAGAAAATAAACTATTTTTTAAGTTGGTAGCAAGAACCAGGGTGTAAAATGGATTCAGGGAGTGAGGACAGTAAAAAAAAAGCATACTCTGTAATGCTATGTGCTTGCTTCAGGTAGGTGGGTTTAGAATGTTAAAATATCACTTGCTGTTTAGAACCCAGTCCTGGGATTAGGTGCCAAAGCTGGGTGTTTTTTTTTTTTTTTAATCTATGTTGTATTTGAGATTAAACACATGATTTCAGTAAACATTTAATAGGCAAGTAACAATGGCAATAGATGAATCAAACCTGATCCCTGTCCTCAGAATGTTCTTGGTTTAGTGGAAATGACAGAATAAGAATCTAAAAAATAAAGTGTCTCAATTCTCTGATCCATACACATCACTCTCCCATTGTGACTGACTTCCTGTGCTGAACCAGAGAGAGATGTCTTTACAGTATAGAGGTATGAGGAGGAAACTGGATCTCTTGGAGGATTAAAAGATAATCCACTCCTTCTTTTGACGGGAGGAGAGAGGAAGAGTAACCATGTGGAAGGATCTCTGTCACAAGGGAACAAAAAGTTTTTCTGTTCTTGCCTGGAGCTGTCTCCCTAGTTGTGGAAGCACTAATTATCTGAACACTTGCCACATAGGTAATCATCAAGTACAGACACTGAGGTTGCCAAACCTTGATGATATGAAGGTGAGTGGGACTCAGTTCCCTGATGTCTGGGGAGCTCACAGTTTAGTGGGGTAGACAGACTGTGCAATAGTGTTTAGCTCCCTTACCTTTAAAAAGTGACACTGTGAATTTATGCTTTTAGGGTAGAAATACGCAAGAGGAAAGATACACCTGGTAGAACCTTGCTCAGGGTGTTGCTGTCACCAGTACTGCAGGCCCACAAACCTTTATTGACTGCTCACCTTGTTTCAAGTCATATGTCCCATCTGCAAAAAGATGTCTCTGACATCTCTTGCTACAATATTCCTTCTCCATTCCTAAATTCACTTGTCATATAATAGGCAGCCACTGATCTGCCTTTTATTTGGCTCTGGACATTTTGGAGTCCTTCATACATGTCAAAAAAATTGAGGCAAAAGTAGGTATATTTTATAAATAAAATGCAAATGCCTACACTTAAAGGCACAAAAGAGAATTTTACACCATATAAAGGCAGCTCTCAAATAGTCATTTAGTACTCTCGAGAATTCATGGAAAAGTTCCAAATGGGTCATAGAATATCAAGGCAAGAATCTTATTTGATTCAAATGCTTACTGACAGTAACAGGTTATGAATGTTTATACCATTTATAAATAACCTATTTTTGAGGAGACAGAATCAAGATGAGAGGTTATCTTGTTTATAAAAAGACAGGTTTTGGCCAGGCATGGTGGCTCACATCTGTAATTCCAGCACTTTGGGAGGCTGAGGTAGGCAGATCACTTGAGCTCAGGAGTTTGAGACCAGCCTGGGCAACATGGTGAAACCCTGTCTCTATTAAAAATACAAAAAACTAACAGGGTGTGGTGGCACACGCCTGTAATCCCAGCTACTGGGGAGGCTGAGACATGAGAATCACTTGAACCTGGGAGGCAGAGGTTGCAGTTAGCTGGGATTGTGCCACTGCACTCCAGCCTGTGCAACAGAGCAATACCTTGCTTCAAAAAAAAAAAAAAAAAGTTTTTTTTTTTTTTTTTAACACTGCTTTCTTTTTAGGATAATAGTAATTTGTACAAATGGAAAAAATTTAATTCCACACAGAAAGGTATAAAATAAAAAGCAAGCTGTTCTTTATTCCATCCTATGACTGCTGTGCCCTCTTCTCAAAGATCTAACTCATTTCTTGTTATACTTCCAAAAGTAGAATTTTGCTAATATCATATATATGATATATGTGATATATCATGTATGTGATATATATGTGATATATATCATATGTGTGATATGTATGTGCTATATATCATATATGTGATATGTATGTGCTATATATCATGTGAGATGTATGTGCTATATATCATATATGTGAGATGTATGTGCTATATTTCATACATGTGAGATGTATGTGATATATATCATATATGTGAGATGTATGTGATATATATCATATATGTGAGATGTATGTGATATATATCATATATGTGATATATATATACACACACACATATAAAATGTGCATTTTGGAGTCCTTCATACGTGTCAAAAAACTAAAGTAAAAATAGGCGTCTTTTATAAATAAAATGCAAATACATTTAAAGGCACAAAAGATAATTTTATACCATAGAAGGCAATTCTCTGTCTATGTATAAGGTGAACATTATACTCTATCTGCTAGTAGTTCAGTATATATGCCTGTTGGGAATCATAGTCATTTTTCCAAATGCAATTATTATTGTTTCTAATATTTGTTTTAATTTTATTATAATACTTGTGAAATAATATTTTGAATAATATTTGTGAATAATTTTTTAAAGTAGAAACAGATAGGTGTGAGGTGTAATCATTTTCACATTTTCCTTTCAGTAGTACTGAGACTTTTCAGGAGATCCTAAGATTTTAAGCACTCCCTGTTGGATGTTATGATTCGCTTAAGTTCTGTTTTCCTTGTCTGTTTTCTTGTAGAATCTTTAGATGACTTGACTAATCTGGTGGTAAAGTTATTTTCTGAAGTAGAGAACAAAAATGTTCCATTGCCAGAATTTCCTGAACACCCTTTCCAAGAAGAACATCTTAAAGTAAGTGCATAAATTTTGGTATTTTGTCTTCTTAATTTATGGACATAATATATACCTAGTTTACCATAGAACAGGTGAAAATTTTTGGAGGTTTCATTATTTATGTTGTGTTTTTTTTTTTTTTTTTTGGAAACAGAGTCTTGCATTGTCACCCAGGCTGGAATGCAGTGGTGCGATCATGGCTCACTGAAGCCTCAACTTCCCTGGCTGAATTGATCCTCCCACCTCAGCCTTCTGAGTAGTTGGGACTACAAGTACACACTACCACACCTGGCTAATTTTTGTATTTTTAGTAGACACAGGGTTTCACCATGTTGCCTTGACTGATCTCGAACTCCTGATCTCAAGTGGCCCACCTGTCTCAGCCTCCCAAAATGCTGGGATTACAGGCGTGAGCCACTGCACCCAGCCCCTATGTAGTGTTTTTTGTTTGTTTGTTTCTGTTTTTGGTTTTTTTGACATGGAGTCTCACTCTGTTGCCCAGGCTGGAGTGCAGCGGCGCGATCGTGGCTCCCTGCAACCTCTGCTTCCCAGGTTCAAGCAATTCTTCTGCCTCAGCCTCCTGAGTAGCTGGAACTATAGGTGCATGCCACTGTGCCTGGCTAATTTTTGTATTTTTAATAGAAATGGGGTTTCACCATGTTGGCCAGGCTGAGGTCGAACTCCTGACCTCAGGTGATCTGTCTCCCTCAGCCTCCCAAAGTGCGAGGATTATAGGTGTGAGCCACCGCACCCGGCCCCCATGTGGTTTTAAATATTTGTCGGGATAATAAAATCAATCTCACATTTATTAGGATCATGAATCACCAAAAACATATCAATATGTTCTGGTCTTTACATGCTAAAAGTAGTTTTGGTAGCTGTAGTCTTAATAGACTGTTGAAGCTGTTAACCTGTACCTGAAGATAAGCATTCAAAACCATTAATATTTAGCTGCATGGTTCAGGGGGTCAAACATGGACTATATACCGACTGTAATGAAATTCCACTAGGAGAGTGCTGAGTCATTTATTTCTTTGTGGTCAGTGTATCATTTTCTGTGGCAATTGATTTGCTCTTAAATTTGGGATTCTCCCATGAAAATCATTCTTCATAGTTTAGAAATATTTTCTTCAGTAGGAGTCGTATATAGCTAATCTCTGTGATTTGTTTTCTCCAGCAACTTTACAAAATAGTACCCATTAAAGATATTAGGAATCTCTATGTGACATTTCCCATACCTGACCTTCAGAAATACTACAAATCAAATCCTGGTCATTATCTTGGTCATCTCATTGGGCATGAAGGTCCTGGAAGTCTGTTATCAGAACTTAAGTCAAAGGGTAAGTCTCCTGGGCAGCATCTTCTGAGTGTCCACCACATCTTTTCACTCTGGCTCTCATTTTCTCCTGAATAGTGTCCTATGAAGGAACATTGTTAGATGTGACCATTTTGGGTTAGTGAGTGAGATGGTGGTTGTTGGCACGCTGTTGCCTTTTTTTTTTTTTTTTCTTTTTTAGATAGAGATGGGGTTTCGCCATTTTGCCTAGGCTAGTCTCAAACTCCTGGTCTCAAGCGATCCGCCCATCTTGGCCTCCTAAAGTGCTGGGATTAGAGGCATGAGCCACCGCGCCCAGCCAGTAGTCTACTCTTGACTGGGAATTGATTTGAGGAATCTTCAGGAAAGCCCCCACTTCTGCACCATCTTAAACTGCTTTTCTGAACTGATTTTTTTTTCCCAATCTTTTCGCAAGAGGTTCATTCTGATATCTTAGGAACATACAGTATGAATTTTTAAAATTTTTCTTATCTTCAAGGAAGCCACATATGCAATCAATCGTATTGATTTCCTTTGAATGTTGCAGGCTGGGTTAATACTCTTGTTGGTGGGCAGAAGGAAGGAGCCCGAGGTTTTATGTTTTTTATCATTAATGTGGACTTGACCGAGGAAGGATTATGTAAGTATTGATTCACCTTTTTACTTTTGAATGAAAATTTACTTTCTATGATGTTTTTTAACTTCTTCATGCTGTGGATCTGTTTTATGTTGAAAGCTACAACACTTTAATTCATACAACTTATCCATTGTATTTTTCATATGTAACTTGGCCTTTGTTTCATGGATGATTCTTCCCCCCTTAACAACTGATCATTATGTTGCACTTGTTAAATGTGGACTTGGCTTTTTATTTGCTCATTTACTGCCCCAACACCCTTTCTGTCACATATCTCTGAGCCCAGAGGGCCATGTATGTGGGACACGTAAAGCCAGTCTCAGGGAGGTGAGGACTGCATTTTCTAAGAGGGACCATCTTCCACTTATCTGACTTTACCTTAGGAGTGAGCTCACTGCTTTGAAGGATTCAAGGACTGAATGGTTTTTAAGTGTGCCCCTTTTTTCCAGTACATGTTGAAGATATAATTTTGCACATGTTTCAATACATTCAGAAGTTACGTGCAGAAGGACCTCAAGAATGGGTTTTCCAAGAGTGCAAGGTACTTTTGTTTCACCAAAATTTTTCTTAAGGAATCTGTTTTTCAAGAGCAAATACATGTGAATTAATTTAAATTTAAGGCCCAGTTAAACTTTTAAAGTTTTTTTCCTAACTGAAGTCTAAAATTTTGCAATGTATAATAGTATTAGTTAAGGCTTAGTTGTACTAGTCTGATTTGCTACTTGGGGCACAACTAAGGGGAAAGGCATCGTGTAGCCCTTTTTAGGATGGAAAAGGGAAGAAATCAAATGCTTTTCCATCACTCAGAAGAAAATCAGCAGTTTCTTGAGCTGGAATATGTCAGGGATTATGTTACTCCCTGCCTGAAGCTGCATGAGCTCTGTCGTTTTCAGATCTTTAAATCTGTAGCAAACTCTCAAAGAAGTAATGAATTGCTTTATGTATGATTGTGTTATTAAAAGTGATTTTATTATTGTATGTATGGGAAGAGGCTGGCTTTTTTTTTTGCGTAAAACAAATGGTGTTTGTCTTTCAAATTTTTAAAAGCCTTTTAAAAAAGGGTTTTTAAAAATACGTGCTTTAAAGCCTATCGAGATTCTCAAATGTATTTTAGTATGAGAAACATCCTTTTTAACTAGATAAAAGTTTAAAGGTATAATCTCTGCTTCTGAAAATTATGACAATAACTCCTAATCTGGGTGCTGTTCTCTGAATGAGTCACCAAAATCATCTATGGTGGAATTGTTGGATCTCACAAGGTTCTTTCACACAGTTTTTCTAAATTCTTTGGCTATTAGTTTCAACAACTTAGGCTATCGAGCCATATCCTGTATTTGTTATTTTCATTGAAAGTTGTTTACCTATTTTGCTTTTGGTTTTAAGCCTAGATTGATGGATTAAATTTTATACACATTAAGAAATTTTTAAAATATTCTATACATTTCTAAATCAAGCATAGCCATTTTTTCAGAAAGTGTGATAAAGTTAAATATGGAGTAGAAAGCTTATAGTGCAAGCCAAACACTTAAAAAAAAAAAAAAAGGTTTCTAAATAAGGGTGGCCGTATCTAATTGGATTAACTTTCTATTTTAGGACTTGAATGCTGTTGCTTTTAGGTTTAAAGACAAAGAGAGGCCACGGGGCTATACATCTAAGATTGCAGGAATATTGCATGTAAGTTTGTTGTTATTTTACTGTATACATTGCTGTGTGGAGTATTTCAGCAATCTTGCATATATTTTCAGTAATAAGTGAATGATTACAATTGAAGCTGAGGTATAAAGCTTTCAACTTTGTAGCAACAGGGCAAATGTTGATGTCAGGAGATGTTTAAAATCTTAATTTTCATCATCGTGAAATTTATTTTATGTAATATTTTTATTAAATATGCATTTTGCTTATTGGCTTTAAATATATTTCAGTTCTACAGCATATCAGGTGTTACTTATATGAAAGCTATTGATCATTTACTTTTTTAAAATTTCCATTGCTACCATCCTAGTCTGAGCTATCATCATTTCTTGCTTGGGCTACCATGATAGTCTTTTACCTGCGATCCCTATTTTCCTCTTGGTCCCCATTGTAGTTTATTTTTCCAGGCTCGTGATCTTTTGAAAACTAAAATCTGAATGTTTCACTCCTCTGTTTAAATTCCTTCAGTGGTTTCCCAACAGAGTTGGCATAAAATGCAAAATTTTCCTTGGCCTACAAGGTGATGTGGCCCCAGCCTATCTGGCCATCTTCTATACCACTGTCCAGCCCACCTCTCCCATTTGCATTCCACTCCAACTGTACTGGCTCTCTAATTTTCAAGCATTAAGTTTATTCCTCCCCCATTGCTATTTTCTCTACATGAAACACTGTTCTATCTGATCTTTGCCTGGCTAGGTTCTTATCATTTCAGTCTCCACTCAGAGTTCTTCTCCTCAGACCTTCTCTGACCTCCCAATCTAAAATAATGCCCCTGCCCCTTTTTTTATTGTTTTCATAGCATCTCTCACTAACATTACAATATTTGTTTGTTGTCTGCCTCCCTCCCAATTACAATGTCTGTGTGCTTCTTGGAGGACAAAGGATTTCATGTGTCTTACCTACTTTTGTATCCATAGTGTGTGGAACAGTGTCTGGCACATAGTAGATGTTCATTAAATATTTATTAGATGAATGAATCAGTCAGTGTGTCTCAGTATATTGGAAGTTGCTCTTACCAAAAAGCATCTTCTGCATTGTTTTTCTACACTGGCCAAAAATATAAGCCATTTTTTTTTCCACAGCCGCTTCCTAAATGTTTGTCTAATTTGTTTCATAGAAATTTAGGAGGAAATTCTGTTCATAAAAATGTGTGTACTTTATATTTTAAAAATCCTGTAGGTGTCAGCATTTTAATATCGAATTTTCTTCATTAACAAGTACTCAGTTTTTAACCAGAAACATTCGTGGTTTTCCCCGAAAGAAATGTGATTTTGCTCTCTACAATGGAAGTATGTTTGGGGATTAACAGTATATTTGGCAGAATCATCAAACAATATGAAACTGCTTAACAATGTGGTAGGAAAGAGACAACGATTTAGGGCTACAGAAAATTTTTCCAATGGAGTAAAATTTAACTGAAGAGAGAAAGGGTGTACAGTAATGAATTTAATGTGTTACAGATCTGCTTTAATAAACTATGTAGTAGCTTTGTATATTTTATTTATTTATATTTTCCTTTTTAAAAGTATTATCCCCTAGAAGAGGTGCTCACAGCGGAATATTTACTGGAAGAATTTAGACCTGACTTAATAGAGATGGTTCTCGATAAACTCAGACCAGAAAATGTCCGGTGAGTCACCATACAGATTTTACTATTATACACTAAATTTTCAATAATGATTAGAATCTGAAAAAATTTGAAATTGTGAATAAAATGCTTTTAAACATTTTATCAAGCATTACAAAAGTAGAGAATAGTATAATGAAGCAACACCAAGCTTCAACCATTGATACATGGCCAGTCTTTTTTAATCTATACCCATCCCTCTTCAGTCATCCCCCTTCCACCCTAAATTATTTTGAGGCAATATCTCTAAAAGATGAGGACATTTTTAAAAACAAATATAATTTTATTATCATAAATAAAATAGAATAATAACCTGTCTTAACCTGGCTTTATTCTAACTCAAACGCCCAAAGTATCAGCCCACCTATCTGACTCATATAAGCAAATGAAGGCACCCTCTTTTTCTTAAGCCACAGTAAAGATTACAATCTCAGAATCCTCCTGATTGACCAGTGGTTAACCTGGAAATCAAAAGTCCAAACTCTTATAGTAGCAGAGGTATTCTTGCTAGAGGAAAGTAGTCCTTAAAGTGCTTGTGAGCCACCACATGATATTCCTCCCATAAAACTGAATTTCATCTATGTTTTCTAAAGTCAAATGATAGAGGGAATATAATTGAATGACATGTTTTACATTTTTAATTTTTCTCCTCTGTTAGGGAAGTATTTTTGAAATTCTACTGGCAATTTGGTTATTGAGTAAGTTTTTTGGAACAGTTGTTTTATGAATAAGATCAACAATGTGATAGAACTTTTTGTAAAAAAAAAAAAATCTTTTTGGGCTGGGCGCGGTGGCTCCTGCCTGTAATCCCAGCACTTTGGGAGGCCAGGGCGGGCGGATCAGCTGAGGTCGGGAGTTCGAGACCAGCCTGACCAACATGGAGAAACCCCGTCTCTAATAAAAATACAAAATTAGCCAGGCATGGTGGCATGCATCTGTAATCCCAGCTACTCGGGAGGCTGCAACAGGAGAATCGCTTGAACCCAGGAGGTGGAGGTTGCTGTGAGCCGAGATCATGGCATTGCACTCCAGCCTAGGCAACAAGAGTGAAACTCCGTCTCAAAAAAAAAAAAAAAAGTCTTTTTGACAGAACTATCCTATCAGAATCTTTTCCTAGTTACCATTGTTTGAACTTTTCCAGACATATTATCAAAGCTTCATTAGCGATAATTGCATATATATGACTTGCACTATACTGTTTAGGTTGAGAACAATAATTAATGTCTTCTAATGTTCAGGTGGGCTTGGCCTATCTATTGTCACTCCTAGGTGGTTGGTGGACTCGGGTGACTTTCTTCTAGGAAATACTATTAGCCAGATTTTACCTGACCTCATGCTAGGATTCAGCTAAATATTCTATTTTTTGGGAAGCCAAGGCAGAGGAGGATCACTTGAGACTAGGAGTTTAAGACCAGCCTGAGCAGCATAGTGACACCCTATCTGTATTTAAAAAGTTTTAATGATTTTTTTATATTATGATACAGTGTTTGGATGAGTACAGATAATTATCTAGCTTCAAGAACAATTTTTTATAGAGATAGGGTCTCACTGTGTTGCCCAGGTGGATCTCAAACTCCTGGCCTCAAGCAGTCCGGCTTAGCCCCACAAAGTGCTGGGATTACAGCCGTCGTGAGCCACTGTGCCCAGTCTAGAATTTTCTTTTCTTTTTTCTTACTGAGCCTAGAATTTTTAAATTGGAATAAGATACCATGGTTTTGAGGTTTAAAAAATATATTAAGGGTCAAAATTTAGAAGTCTTTTTCAATGAAAATAACATGTGAAATTATTTAGAAATTAAATTTCTGGTTTGAGGTACCCAGTAGGTTACAATGTTTCCTACGCAGTTTCTTGCCAATATTTTAAGTCCCCATTTATTGCCTAATCCTTAATTACTCAAGAATTGATTATGATACAGAAAATCTTACTGAAAAACTAGACAAAGTTACTGACAGCTGTGAATTCATTAGAGATTGCTGAGTTGATCATTCTGCCTTTAACAGCAAATGCTCTTTTTCAACTCTAGATAATTTACTGAGGAATTGAAAAACGAAGAAATCTTTCCTTTTCCATTCAGTGAACAACAGAGAAAGTTGTAGATTAAATATTTGTATAACGTAATATGTTAAGTTATTCATGCCTGACGTAGTTTAGTGGGGGATGGCGAGATATAGTTCACATAATTTAAATGGTTTAAAGTGATATATGCACTGATACACATAATTGCATATGTAGAAAATCCTAAGGAATCTACTTTCCCCTTCAAAAATCTGGAACCAATAACTGAATTCAGCACAGTCACAGGTTGCAAGGTCAACATACAAAAATCAACTGCATATCTATATATAGCAACAAAAAAATAGAAAATTAAAAGAAGTATTTATAATAGCAACAAAAGCATAATATTACTAGGAATGAGTTTAACCAAAGATAAGCAAGACTTCTACATAAAAAACTAAAAACAGTAGAAGAGAGCAAATATTAGCCGAGAAAAATGAAAGAAGACCTAAATAAATGGAGAAGCATACTATAGTCATACATTAGGAGACTTGATATTATTAATATGTTAGTTCTCTCCAATCTGATTCATAGACTCAATGTAATCATAACCAAAATCCTGGTAGGCTGTTTTTCTTTTTCTTTTTATTCATTTATTTAGAGACAGGGTCTTGCATTGTCACCCAGGCTGGACTGTAGTGGCGGGATCATAGCTCACTGCAGCCTTGACCTCTTGGGCTTAAGTGATCTCCTGCGTCAGCTTCCTGAGTAGCTGGGATTATGGGTGCAAGCCACTATACCTGTTTGTTTATTATTATTTTTTTTTAGATGGAGTTTCATTCTTGTCACCCAGGCTGGAAGTGCAATGGTGCAATCTCGGCTTACTGCAACCTCCGCCTCCCAGGTTCAAGCAATTCTCTTACCTCAGCCTCCTGAGTAGCTGGGATTACAGGCACCCGCCACCACACCTGGCTAATTTTTTTATTTTTAGTAGAGATGGGGTTTCACCATGTTGACCAGGCTGGTCTCGAACTCCTGACCTCAGGTGATCCGCCCACCTCAGCCTCCCAAAGTGCTGGGATTACAGGCGTGAGTCACCGTTCCCGGCCTTTTTTCTTTTTTCTTTTTTTTTTTAGACGGAGTCTCGCTGTGTCACCAGGCTGGAGTGCAGTGGCGCAATCTCGGCTCACTGCAACCTCCACATCCCAGGATCAAGCTATTCTCCTGCCTCAGCCTCCCCAGTAGCTGTAACCACAGGCACGCGCCACCATGCCCAGCTAATTTTTGTATTTTTAGTAGAGACAGGGTTTCACCATGTTGGCCAGGATGGTCTCGATCTCTTGACTTTGTGATCTGCCTACCTTGGCTTCCCAAAGTGCTGGGATTACAGGCGTGAGCCAATGCACCGGCTTTTTTTTTTTTTTTTTTTTTTTTTTTTTAATGACAGAGTCTTGCTCTGTTGCCCGGGCTGGAGTGCACTAGTGTCATCTTGGCTCACTGCAACCTCCTCCTCCTGGGTTTAAGCAATTCTCATGCCTCAGCCTCCCAAGTAGGTGGGATTACAGGCATGTGCCACCAATGCCCAGCTAATTTTTTAATTTTTTTGTAGAGAGAGAGTCTCACTATGTTGCCCAGATTAGTCTCGAACTCCTGAGCTCAAATGATCCTCCCACCTCAGCCTCCCAAAGTGCTGGGATTACAGGCATGTGCCACTGCACCTGGCCTTTTTTTTCTTTTTTTCTTTTTCTTTTTTTTTTTTCTGAGACAGGATCTCACTCTGTCGCCCAGGCTGGAGTGCAGTGGTGCGATCTCAGCTCACTGCAACCTCTGCCTCCCAGGTTCAAGCGGTTCTCTTGCCTCAGCCTCCCAAGTAGCTGGGATTACAGGTGTATGCCACCACGCCCAGCTAATTTTTGTGTTTTCAGTAGAGATGGGGTTTCACCATGTTGGCCAGGCTGTTTTTCCTTTTTTCAGAAATTGGTTCCAAAATTTATATGGACATACAAAGGACCTAGATAAGTCAGAACACTCCGGAAAAAAAAAAAAATCACCAAATGTGGGAGGAATTAAACCACTAGATTTGAGGACATTAGTATAAAGCTTCAGTAATTAAGACACGGTAGTATTGACATCATATGGATAGACAAAGAAATCATTGGAAGAGAACAGAGTCCAGATATAGTTCCACACATACATGGTCAGTTGATTTTTTTGTTGTGATTAAAAAACAACTTCCCTTTTCTCTCTGCCTTCTGATAATCACTATTCTACATTCTGTTTCTATGGGTTTAACTACTTTCGATACCTAATGTAAGTAGAATCATACAACATACCTTTCTGTGCCTGGTTCATTTCACTTACTATAATGTCTTCAAGGTTCATCCATGTTGTAGCATATGACAGGATTCCCTTTCTTTTTAAGGCTAAATAGTGTTCCATTATATGTATATACCATATTTTCTTTATGCATTCATCTATCAGTCAGTTGGGGTTTTTTTTTTTTTGAGATGGAGTTTCACTCTTGTTGCCCAGGCTGGAATGCCATGGTGCGATCTCAGCTCACTGAAACCTCCATCTCCCGAGTTTAAGCGATTCTCTTGCCTCAGCCTCCCGAGTAGCTGGGATTACAGGCACGCACCACCATGTCTGGCTAATTTTGTATTTTTAATAGAGACGGGGTTTCTCCATGTTGGTCAGGCTGGTCTCGAACTCATGACCTCAGGTGATCCACCGTTCTCGGCCTCCCAAAGTGCTGGGATTACAGGCATGAGCCACTGCACCCGGCCAGTCAGTTGATTTTATTTTTGAGAAGAGCATCAACATAATTGAGAATGGAAAATCTTTTCAACAAATGGTGCTGTTCTACTAGCTGCGTATCTATATGAAAAATGATGAAACTTGACCTTTGCCTCATACTATTTATAAAATTTGAGATAGATCATAGACCTAAATATAAACACTAAATCTATAAAACTTCCAGAAAAAATAGAAAAATATCTTCAAAACCTTGCGATAGGCAAAGATTTCTCAGATAGAACATGAAAAGCAGTAACCACTAACGAAAACACATTGACCGTGCACAGTGGTTCACACCCATAATGCCAGCACTTTGGGAGGCATAGAGGGAGGATTGCTTGAGCTCAGGAGTTCGAGACCAGCCTGGGCAACATGATGAAACCCCATCTCTAAAAAAGTATGCAAATTAGCAGGGTGTGGTGGTACGTGCCTGTAGTCCCAGCTACTCAGGAGGCTGAGGCAGAAGGATCACTTGAGCCCAGGAGGTGGAGGTTGCAGTGAGCCATGATCATACCACTGCACTCCAGCCTGGGCAACAGGGTGAGACCCTGTCTTAAAGAAGGCTGGGTGCGGTGGCTCATGCCTATAATCCTAGCACTTTGGGAGACCAAAGTGGGTGGATCACCTGAGGTCAGGAGTTCAAGACCAGCCTGGCCAACATGGCAAAACCTCATCTCTACGGTAATTCCAGCTACTTGGGAGGCTGAGGCAGGAGAATCGCTTGAACCTGGGGGCCGGAGGTTGCAGTGAGCCAAGATCATGCCACTTGACTCCACCCTGGGCAAAAGAGCAAAACTCCATCTCAAAAAAAAAAGAAAAACCACCAATAAAATGGACTTCATCAATATTAAAAACCGCTCTTAAGTGATACATGCATTTACTTACATCATTAAAATACATTGAAGAAAAATACCCAGAACACACACTAATTTTTACTTTACTTGCCACACTGGTTTTAATTTACTTGCCTCATTTAGGCAAGTAAAACAGTTTAAATATTTGTATTTTCCTCAGTGTACCTATATTTCCAGGGGGGAAAAATCAGCCTAAATCCGGTTGAATTTTATCATATACCTTCTACAAATAAAACCTCTTACCAACATGAGGAGAAAGAGCTATAGATTTACTAATAGAACTTGTTAGACAATCTGTTTTCCAGGTTCAAGCAATTTTCTTGCCTCAGCCTCCCAGTAGCTGGGATAACATGCACCCGCCACCATGCCTGACTAATTTTTGTTTTTTGTTCTTTGAGATGGAGTTTCGCTCTTGTTGCCTAGGCTGGAGTGCAATGGCACGATCTTGGCTCACTGCACCTCCGCCTCCCGGGTTCAGACAATTCTCCTGCCTCAGCCTCCCGAGTAGCTGGGATTACAGGTGCCTGCCACCACGCCCAGCTAACTTTTTGTATTTTTAGTAGAGATGGGGTTTTGCTATGTTGGCCAAGCTGGTCTCGAACTCCTGACCTCAGGTGATCCACCTGCCTCGGCCTCCCAAAGTGCTGGGATTACAGGTGTGAGCCACCATGCCCGGCCTGTATTTTTTTTTAGTAGAGACAAGATTTCACCATGTTGGCCAGGCTGGTCTCAAACTCCTGACCTCAAGTGATCCACCCACCCCGTCCTCTCAAAGTGCTGGGATTATAGGTGTGAGCCCCCATACCCGGCCTCACTAGACAATCTTTAAGATTCCTTCCAGTTACTAATTTTGTGTGGTTTTGTCACCTACTACTAGTCATGAGATCTTGGATACATCATTTTTTTCTTTCAATGTTTATTGAATCACTTACGTGAAACCTCAGAGTTGACAGTCCTGAAAGGGGGACTTGTGAAAAGTTAACTTTATATAATGTCATGAATACTGGCTGTCATTTAATTTCCTTGAACCCTGCTCATCTGCAAAGTGGGGATAGTGCTTTATCTGTATGATGTAAAATGATTTAGCAAAGTCAAAAAGTGTTGTACAAACACAAGGTAATGCTATATTAAAGTTATACCATATAATAAGGATGTGCTTTTTCATTTTTGTAAGAAAAAACCATGATTTAAATTATAATTCTTGCTGCTCTAGAGCCAGTAATTGACCCAGCAACACTTCGTAGGAGTGCATTTGCTGGAGCATATGTTTTACTTTTGAAATTGCATATTTCTAAATTTGATATCTTATGCAATTAAATACCTCTTTTTACTCTCACATTTAAAGAGAAAGCACTTTTCCTCTACAGGATTGGTCTCTGTGACTGTTAACAGTTGTAACTGTAGTAGGTCAGTGATACATGGTGCAAAACAGCCTGGGATAATATTGCCAGCTGCCAGACCAGACTAGGGTGGCTCAAGGGTAAGATTACCTTCTTTAATACCCGCTGAGACAAGTTTAACATTGCAACCAGGTAGGGAAATAAACAGGAAACTCTTAAGAATGAAAGGAACCTTAGAGGCCATTTAATCCAACTCCTGTTAGGTATACACTTGGCCCTCCATATCCGCAGGGGATTGGTTCCAAGACCCCCATGGATATCAAAATCCAAGGTGCTCAAGTCCCTTATATTAAATGGTGTAGTATGGTACTGTGTATCTGTTCTGCAGTATCCCAGCTAAGTAGTTACCAGCTTCAGTTTAACTTCTTCCAAGGATGGGGAACTCATTAAATACCAAGGTAGCCAGTTTCATTTTTGCCAGTCCTAATTGTTAGACAATTATTTTGAATTTTGAGACTTGATTACCTGTTCAAAGGTGTTTACCTATTATTACTCAATGATCATTGTCACCCACCTCCCCTGATCCTATCATTTGGTGCCTGTTTTACCATATTAAATCTACAAAGACAGCTATAGAGTCTTTGTCATGTGCCTTCCTTTAGTCATAAATAATTCCATTTATTTGGGAGAAGTTATTCTTAATTAGTCCATGAAAGTCCTAGTGATAACGACGGTTTTCTTGTCTAAATGTCTGACAGTCTGACAGTTAACTGTAGAATTTTGTCAGGGATCAATTCCTAATTTACTGGCTTATGGTGTTCAGGCTTCACTCCTTTTTTCTTTTTGAAAGTTACAGCATTTGCCCATCTCCATCTCCAGTTTTCTGCCTCATCTCGTGTTCTCCAGCATTTCTAAAAGATGATGGACAATGATTCTGTTAGGATTTGGTAGTTGCCTAAGCATTAGAAATTGTGACTTATCTGTGTTTGGAGATGTGATTTCTCCTTTTTTATTTTTATATTTTTTGAGACAGAGTCTTGCTCTGTTGCCCAGGCTGGAGTGCAATGGCACAATCTCGGCTCACTGCAGCCTCGGCCTCCTGGGTTCAAAGGATTCTCCTGCCTCAGCCTCCCGAGTGGCTGGCATTACAGGTGCCCACTACCACACCTGGCTAATTTTTGTATTTTTAGTAGAGATAGGGTTTCACCATATTGGCCAGGCTGGTCTTGAACTCCTGACCTCAAGTGATCCACCGGCCTCAGCCTCCCAAATTGTTGAGATTACAGGCATGAGCCACCACACCTGGCTAGAGAGGTGGTTTCATACTTGGCTCATTCACCTATCTTCAACTCCTTTTTTCTGTGTTTGGTCCACCTTTACAGTTTAAAGAGCCATGTTTATTTCAAAGACCAGGTAAATAAGAGAGGAGTAGTCCTGCCATCTGTTAACATGAGATTAACTGATTACATTTTGCTATAGGTCATGTGTCCTATTAAATTATGAGTTTTTCCAAATAGGAACTATATTTTGTCTTTCCCAGAATTTGACCTGGTAAGAACTCAGTAAAAGTTGACTGAATTTTCTAAACTTTAAGCCTAATCTTTCTTGACTTTTTTCTTACTTTAAGAAACACTTTAGGCCAGGCGTGGTGGCTCACGCCTGTAATCCCAGCACTTTGAGAGGCTGAGGCAGGTGGATCACCTGAGGTTGGGTGTTCAAGACCAGCCTGACCAACATGGTGAAACCCCATCTCTACTAAAAATACAAAAATTAGCCGGGCATGGTGGCAGGCACCTGTAATCCCAGCTACTCAGAAGGCTGAGGCATGGAAATCGCTTGAACCCAGGGGGCGGAGGTTGCAGTGAGCCAAGATCATGCCACTGCACTCCAGCCTGGGGGATAGAGCAACCCTGTCTCAAAAAAAAAAAACACTTAAAAAATGGTTTTTAGCATTTTTCATGAGCCTCAATTCCTTTAGCACTTTAGCTTTCCTATCACTATTTAAGTATGATTTTTGAATCTCATCAATAGATTTTTTTTTCAACTTTCTGTCTTTTGTGTGTATCCTTTAAAACTCTAATTTGATATCATGATAGTGTAGAATTTTACTAGTGGAAGGAGAGGGTTCATCTAATTTGAATCCCTATTTAAAAATTATTGAGGCCGGGTGTGGTGGCTCACGCCTGTAGTCCCAGCACTTTAGGAGGCCAAGGTGGGTGGATCACCTGAGGTCAGGAGTTGGAGACCAGCCTGGCCAACATGGCGAAACCCCGTCTCTATTAAAAATACAAAAGACTGGGTGCAGTGGCTCATGCCTCTAATCCCAGCACTTTGGGAGGCCGAGGTGGGCGGATCACAAGGTCGGGAGTTTGAGACCAGCCTGGCCAACATAGTGAAACCCTGTCTCTACTAAAAATACAAAAATTAGCCAGGCATGGTGGCGTGTGCCTGTAGTCCCAGCTACTCAGGAGGCTGAGGCAGGAGAATCGCTTGAATCCAGGAGGCGGAGGTTGTGGTGAGCCAAGATCGCGCCACTGCACTCCAGCCTGGGCAACAGAGTGAGACGCCATCTTAAAAAAAAAAAAAAAAAAAAAAGCCGAGTGTGATGTAATCCTAGCTACTATGGAAGCCGAGGCAGGAGAATCGCTTGAACTCAGGAGGTGGAGGTTCCAGGGAGCCGAGATCATACCACTGCACTCCAGCCTGGGCGACAGAGCAAGACTCCGTCTCAAAAAAAAAAAAGAAAAATTAAAAATTAATGAAACTGAAGTTTAGAGAGGCTAAATGGCTTGTGCCTAACTTAGATCTGTGATTTTGGCAAGATTTCAAAGAAAGTGATTCAGAGTATCTGCCAGAATCTCAGTTTCTTATTGCCAGGTCTGTGCCCTTTCCACTAATTGTTTGAATTAATCACAATTACCTATGAAGCCTCTTCTCATTCTTTGGACATCTTTTCCCTATTCTGTGTTAGGCATCATTTGTAAAAATCTCAGGAGAGTTTATTCTTTGGGAACCATATTGCCTTTTCATGTCTGTAGTCAGGAGACCTTTTGTTTCCAGATGAGTTCCATCCAGCTTCGACAGCTGCATTCGCTCCAAACATTTTTAAATGTACTTGAAGTCAACAGCATTCATTCTAGCCCGCTGTTTCCTTTTCTTGCTGTTGTAAGTTTTAGTATGAAAAGGTTGTGTTTTCTCATGTTTCATTTTTTAATTTCTTTCTTTTTCTTTAAATAGAGACAGGATCTCACTGTATTGCCCAGGCTTGCCTTGAACTCAAGGGCTTAAGTGACCCACTCGCCTTGGCCTCCCAAAGTGTTGGGATTACAGGCTTGAGCCACTGTGCCTGGCCTGTTCTCTCATTTCTAAGGATCACATCATTACCATATTGGCAGCCTTTTCTTCCCCCACACTCTAGCCACATTAAAAAAAAAAAAAAAACTGGGCTGGGCATGGTAGCTCATGCCTGTAATCCTAGCACTCTGGGAGGCCAAGGTGGGAGGATTGTTTGAGCTCAGGAGTTTGAGACCAGCCTGGGCAACGTGGTGAGACCTCATTTCTACCAAAAAAAAAAAAAAAAAAATTGGCTGGGTATGGTGGTATATGCCTGTAGTCCCAGCTACTTGAGAGACTGAGGCAGGAGGATCACTTGAGCTCAGGAGTTCAAGGCTGCAGTAAGGTATGATCACACCACTGTACAAGACCCTGTCTCGAAAAAAGGAAACCTTATTTTTTGGTATAATTAGATTTTCGGCAGATGGTCTAAAATGCTACAATATTTGTACTAGTTTTTCTCAACTGTCTGCGGTTGTGTATACTATAGGTGTCTGTACTTCAATTATTGTGACCTTTTCTCCTAATTCAAGTGCTCTTCCCTGTACTTTCACACTCTGGTTCATAGGTATCTATATGGGTTTGATGTGTGTATACTCTGTCTGTACCGTTACTTTCTTCCCTGTCTTTATTTATTACCTCATACATACCCTTTCATTGTATATTTCAATCTGGAATTCCTTAATGATATACTAACTCTTGGTCTGCAAAGGTATCTCTTTTTGTTAGTCTGGTATTTGATCTGTGCCTAGTCTGAGGAACTGTGCTTGTCTGTTTCCTTATAATAACATTTCAAATGTTACCCATACACCTCACTTTGGTATATAGCTATCCAAATCCCTAAGGACTGTACTTGATGAGTCTGCCTTTTTCCCCTCCTTTTTTTTTTTTAACCTGAGCATTACTGCACAGCCTGAGTGTCTGCTTTCTGTGTCAGATAGTCATCTTCCAGAGCATCTGGCTTGGCAGCTTGTTTACTTTCTCTCTCAGAACTGAGTTTAAGGTTTTCTTGTTTCAGAGGGCAAGTCCACTCCACTCCAGCTTGGGTGTCAGAGTGAGACCCTGTCTCTAAAAAAAAAAAAAAAGAAATCAAGCGTTTCATGGAAGAGTAGATGGGAAGACCATCTGCCAGATTCTTCTACTTAGTATATTTTTTAGAAGTCTCCTTGAGAATCAATCCATTCATTTTCTGAGAAATCAACAAAAGTGGAAGCCCGAGTTCCTAGGCCTGAGTCTTCATAGGCTCTATCATGTATTGAATGCCCTTAAGAGATACCATACACCCTTCATATAGCTATATGATTTCTGTGAACTCTCTACACATACACCTCAAACGGGATTCTTGAACTACCAACATGCATCACTTCCTTCTGACGCAATAATAGAACTCTTTTATCTGTCAAATCCTCTGATTCCTCTGTATCTTTCTCTGGAACGTATTTCTTATTTAGCATGTTTTCTAGAACTGGTAGTGGTTAGTGACAGATAGGCCAGATCAGGAACACCTACAGCTGGAAGATTAGTCGGTCATACTGACAGGTGAGTCATCTTGCTTTAGGATATCTACCGAAAAGCAGATGACAAGACCAAGTCCAGTCAGCCAGGTAGAGTATTTTGTCTAGAATGAATAAAAAATAGACAGTAGTTCAGACTACTAGCGTTGAAGTTGGGGAGGTTCAACAAGGGGCAGGTATTTGGAACAGAGATTGGGATTCTCAAAATGAATGAGTATCATCAGAGGGGAGTTTTGATTGCAAGTACTAGGCTTTCAGCTGTGAGGCCAACATTCAGAGGCTAGAATCAAACCTCTGGGGGTAGGTGAGAACAAGCAGGAACAGATATTATTTGAATTGGGACCTAATTATTTGAATTGGGAATTGGGACTTAAGGGAGAAGTGGAACCAATAGCAGGACTGACTTTACACCAAGTTGCCCAAGCTAATTGGCTAGAATTCCTTGACCCACAAGATTCAAAATAGGATTGGTCCCAGCCTGTGGTTGAGTCCACTGGTGAGGGTGTAGTGATTCCAACTTCAATGATTAAAAGGCAGTAGAGGCGGAGTGTCCCTGATAGTGCTACACAGGGATGGCTTAGAGTTCCACTTGTTCAGAACTTCTTTTGCTCCTCTAGTCTTGTCATTTTTTGTTCACTTATCTTTTGACATCACTTTACTTCTGCCTTCCCTCCTTGAACACTTTTTTCTTTTCTTTTTTTTTTTGAGACAGAGTCTTGCTCTGTCTCCCAGGCTGGAGTGTAGTGGTGCAGTCTCGGCTCACTGC
This sequence comes from Homo sapiens, assembly GCF_000001405.40. NCBI lineage: Eukaryota > Metazoa > Chordata > Mammalia > Primates > Hominidae > Homo > Homo sapiens. The sequence continues at coordinate 92,492,198 of NC_000010.11, read as the reverse complement.
ATGCTCCGCCTTCCGGGTTCACGCCATTCTCCTGCCTCAGCCTCCCAAGTAGCTGGTACTATAGGCACCCGCCACCACACCCGGCTAATTTTTTGTATTTTTAGTAGAGACGGGATTTCACCATGTTAGCCAGGATGATCTCGATCTCTTGACCTCGTGATCTTCCCGCCTTGGCCTCCCAAAGTGCTGGGATTACAGGCATGAGTCACCATGCCCATCCTTGAACACTTTTTTCCATCTGACTTCTCTTCTGGGCTGTTTCTACTGTCGCATCAAAAAAAGCTTTTAGGCTGGGCACAGTGGCTGACACCTGTAATCCCAGCACTTTGGGAGGCTGAGGCAGGCGGATCACCTGAGGTCAGGAGTTCAAGACCAGCCTGGCCAACATGGTGAAACCCTGTCTCTACTAACAATACAAAAATTAGCTGGGCAAGGTGGTAGGCACCTGTAATCCCAGCTACTTGGGAGGCTGAGGCCGGAGAATTGCTTGAACCCAGGAGGCAGAGGTTGCAGTGAGCCAAGATCGCACCATTGCACTCCAGCCTGGGTGGCAAGAGCAAAACTCCAACTCAAAAAAAAAAAACAAAAACAAAAATTAGCCAGGCGTGGTGGCGGGTGCCTGTAATCCCAGCTACTTGGGAGGCTGAGGCAGGAGAGTTCTTGAACCCGGGAGGCAGAGGTTACAGTGGTAGACATTTTTTGGTCTTGTCCCTTTCTCCCCTAGTAGCAGGAAGGCCTGTGTATTTGTAGTAGACATATTTGATGCTAGTCTCTGGCAGGGAAAAAAACATAGAGCACAAATGTAGCAAGCAATAATAAAAGTTTCTTGGGTATGTGTGTCACGTTTTTAAAATCTCTGGATGAGCCAGCAGGTTTTATTAGTCATTCCTGTTAATTCTGCACCTGAGATACTCCTAGGAAGGAGTACTTTTTTTGCCTTTTTGGTTTTTTTTTTTTTAAAGAGACAAGGTTTTGATTTGTCACCCATGCTAGAGTGCAGTGGTGTGATTCTAGCCTACTGCAGCCTCAAACTCCTGGGCTCAAGCAATCCTCCCACCTCAGTTTTCCAAGTAGCTGGAACTATAGCTGCGTGCCACCCCACCTGGTTAATTATTACAATTTTTTGTAGAGACGGGTCCCACTATTTTGCCCAGATTGCTCTTGAACTCCTGGGCTCAAGTGAGCATCCTGCCTCAGCCTCCTAAAGTGCTGGGATTTCAGGCATAAGCCACTACATCCGCAACTTCTTTGCTTTTTTTAGGACTGTTTTTTAACTGACTGTTTTTAACTGACCTTGTTACATTTTTTTCCCCTAGCTACTCTTCTTTTTAAATTTTAGTCAGTAGCAACCTAGAGGAATCTCTCCTGCGAGCACTTTTTCATACTAAAAATAATGGACTGTAACTAAAGGATAACAGGGACTATGATCAGAAACCTCTATTCATGTATTGCTTGTTTGGACTAAGCCTTACAGGATTTGCTGGGTCTTAAGAGGCCCAGCACATTCTTGGATATTGTTTATATTGTCCTGAGTCAGGTTCTTTAAATTCATATATACAGTATGAGTTTACAGGGTTTTTTTGTTTGTTTTTTCTATCTCTAGGGTTGCCATAGTTTCTAAATCTTTTGAAGGAAAAACTGATCGCACAGAAGAGTGGTATGGAACCCAGTACAAACAAGAAGCTATACCGGATGAAGTCATCAAGGTAGGGTTAACTCATCTATGAATAAGCCTGACATGTGAGGAATCACAAGAACATTGCTCCCTAGATCCACCAACTAAGGCCCCAGAGTGTGGAAGACTGATGACCTAGTGTTATCTGTACCATCCTAAGAGAAATCAACAAGTAGATAGGGAGCTGGAGTTTAGCCTTTTCATGAAGACATGGTACTCTAGCCACCTTCTCATGTGTCTATCAAACCACCAGGGTTGTGCCTCATGCCATAAAATGTAACTAAAGTGCAGAGTACATGGGCACAGGCACCAGAAAGGCAAGAAGCGATGGAAGTAGGAAGCATGAGAAACCAATGCAAGGGCTCCAAAGAGCTCACAGTCTTGCTGTGAACACAGGCTGAGAGCAGGCTCTAGGATTCATACCATCTTCACTTCAGGAGGTGCTATGTTTTATGCCTCATGTTATAGCACCGTTCTTTTTGTCAACATAGGAGAATTATGATTTTCAGAAAAGGTATGTTAAAACAATATTTTGTCCCATTCATCAGTAGTCAGGATTTTGCTTGTGAATGTTACCTACTTATCTAGTACTTTTTCTTTCTTTCTCTTTTGGTTCTCATTGGCTATGTGCCTTTGAGACTGCGTCCCTTATTCCTGGGAAAAGACCAGAAAACTTTACTCAGGCTAGATTCTAGTTAAACTCAAGTAATGGACATTTTAAAAATGTACCTGTGTAATGACATACAAAAAAAGGAATTAGTTTAAGAAAGAAGATCATCACTGGTACTTCACAGATCTCTGACATATTCATGATACAGAAGATCATTGAAGCCCTCCAGTGTGTGAAAATGTCCATCTCTCTAAACTGAGAGGAAAGCTGATCTTCCATGAATTAGTGCTGGGTCTGAAATAGTCCTAAAAGAAGAAAGAATCCCCCTGTTCACTGGACTCTGACCATAACCAACCTGCCCTGAATGGGAATTTTATTTTTTTTTTTGAGATGGAATCTCGCTGTGTCACCATGCTGGAGTACAGTGGCATAATCTTGGCTCACTGCAACCTCCACCTAGCTCAGCCTCCCGAGTAGCTGGGACTATAGGCGCATGCCACCACGCCCAGCTAATTTTTGTATTTTTAGTAGAGACAGGGTTTCACCATGTTGGCCAGGATGGTCTTGATCTCTTGACCTTGTGATCCGCCTGCCTCAGCCTCCCAAAGTGCTGGGATTACAGCTGTGAGCCACCACACCCGGCTGGGAATTTTTTAAGAACACATCTATCTGGGAACTCAGTAGTGAAATTACTTACTAAGTGTTTCCTAGTCCCTAGTATTCAGCTGTTCTGGAAACCTAAGATACCACTTAAGAAATATGGCCAACGTCCCCAGTGCCGAAAGTCACAAATGCAGGAACTAAGAACCGTAAAATCTGCAAGGCTGTGCCACACCAGCTAGAGATCAAATTACTGAATCCAGAAATCCAGAATTATTGACAATTGGTTTTTTTTTTTAAATAGACAGGGCCTTGCTCTGTTGTCCAGGCTGGTTGCTTTTTACTCCTGGCCAGTTGCTTTTTTTTTTTTTTTTTTTTTTTAAATAATGAAAAGCCTTATAAATTAGGTTCAACAATCAGTGGCCTGTGATCTGTCCCACTTAGCTTTTGGAACTAGAACAGGAAACAGATCCAGTCTACTACAGGTTGTGTGAATCCCAACCTAAATCTCAACTTTGTTTTTTCTTTTTTTTTTTTTAGACAGAGTCTCGTACTGTTGCCTGGGCTGGAGTGCAATGGCGCCATCTTGGCTCACTGCAACCTCTGCCTTCCAGGTTCACATGATTCTCCTGCCTCAGCCTCCCAAGTAGCTGAGATTACAGGTGCACACCACCATACCCGGCTAATTTTTTGTATTTTTAATAGATATGAGGTTTCACAATGTTGGCCAGACTGGTCTCGAACTCCTGACCTCGTGATCTGCACATCTTGGCCTCCCAAAGTGCTGGGATTACAGGCGTGAGCCACCGCGCCTGGCCTCAACTTTGTTCTTAACCTTGTGCTTGAACTACTGGTTCACTTAAAAGTTCACATGATCATCTGGGAGAGGTGTGGGCCAGTTCTTAAGAAGTACTGAAAGCCGAGCGTGGTGGCTGATGTCTGTAATCCTAGCACTTTAGGAGGCTGAGGTGGGCAGATTGAGGGGAGTTTGACACCAGCGTGGGCAATACAGTGAAACCCCATCTCTAATAAAATACAGAAATTAGCTGAGTGTGGTGGTACACGCCTGTAATCCCAGCTACTCAGGAGGCTGAGGCACAAGAATCGTTTGAACCTGGGAGGTAGAGGATGCAGTGAGTGGAGATCACGCTGCTGCATTCCAGCCTGGGCAACAGAGTGAGATTCTGTCTGAAAAAGAAAAAAAGAAGTACTGAAGTGAGGCCGGGCATGGTGGCTCACACCTGTAATCCCAGCACTTTGGGAGGCTGAAGTGGGTGGATCAGTTGAGGCCAGGAGTTCAAGACCAGCCTGGGCAACAGTGAAACCCAATCTCTACTAAAAATACGAAAATTAGTCGGGTGTGGTGGCACACACCTGTAGTCCCAGCTACTTGGGAGGCTGAGGCACAAGAATCACTTGAACGCAGGAGGTGGAGGTTGCAGTGAGTTGAGATCATGCCACTGCACTCCAGCCTGGGCGGCAGAGCAAGACTGTCTCAGGAAGAAAAAAAAGAGAGAAGTACTAAAGTGAAAGACACCTCCTTTAGCCTGGCTTTCAGGCCATTCATGGATATAACTTAGTATAGCTGAAAGTATGGCTCTTATATAAATGACCTATTGTCTAGCAGTTGTGGGAATATATTCCTGAGCAGATTATTCTCCATTCTTTAAAGAGCTAGAATAAACATGATCTGCATATGGACCAGTCAGCTTTTCTGTGTTCCATAGTCTCAATTGTTCCTCAGCTGGTCATTTTGGAGATGTGGAGAGGAAGAGTAGATATATGAGTGCAAAATCTTTGCTAGTACTAGAAAGACTAACTCAGGTTTCAGGAAAACCCATCGATAGATTTGGTAGTACCTCTTTTATATATGATGGAAAACAATGCTGTGTGACATTTGTGCACTTAATATTTGCCCATATATTGAGCAGAGATACTATTTTAAACTCTTAAATCAGACTCTTACTGCATTTGTGTGTTTCATTATTCATCCAGAAATGGCAAAATGCTGACCTGAATGGGAAATTTAAACTTCCTACAAAGAATGAATTTATTCCTACGAATTTTGAGATTTTACCGTTAGAAAAAGAGGCGACACCATACCCTGCTCTTATTAAGGTAATGTGTTTGAATCAGTGATTTTAAATTTGGGGGACAGACCTAATACATGGGGGACTGGGTAAATGATTTCTTACATTTGGTACTATGTTGATTTGGGGAGGCTCACATCCTAATAGGTGACAAAAAAGCTGCAGAAAGAATAACTACAAAAAATATTAGAAGGTTAAAAATATTAAAGCAAGCAAACAAAACTAAACAGTGTAGAATCTAGGGAATCACTTTCTTTGTAGGAGAAAAAAGTAAGTCTGAGCTGTAACCACAAGTCTGTGGAAAGGTCTGTTCCTCTTTTCCATGTCTGCTGAAGACCCAATAAGGAAGTAGGTTTATGCTGCATCATGGACATTAAAGATAAGAAAGGATCTCTAAAGCCTGAAAGAGAGCAAGTCCAGGGGGAGCTGTTGGATTTCCTGCCCTTAAAAACATTCATTATGACATAGTGACTATCTCAAATTAATGGAATGATAAACTAGTGCAAAGGGCTGTTGAGAAGTAGGGTTCCCTCCCCATCTTTTTCAGAATGTCCTTTTCATGCTATTATTTCAGAACTTGAGTAAAGTATGTAAAAAATTGTATCAAATTATTACAGCACATTCTCCCTTCTAAACGTATTTCTTCTCCCTTCTAAACGTATTTCTTCTCCCTTCTAAACTGTTTCTAAACTCATGACTGTAGGCACACACACACAGATGTTTCTTTTTATCTTCTTCAGATGACCTAACATTTGGAAGAATTTAGATGAGTTCAATGAGATAACAATTAGTGTTTAGGAACACTAAAATTTGTCTTAAGCAACTAGATTATTAATGAGACAACCATTTTTCTTTATTTTCTTTTCTTTTTTTGAGACAGAGTCTTGTTCTTGTTGCCCAGGCTGGAGTATAATGGCATGATCTCGGCTCACTGTAACTTCCGCCTCCCAAGTTCAAGTGATTCTCCTGCCTTAGCCTCCCAAGTAGCTGGGATTACAGGCACCCGCCACCACATCCAGCTGATTTTTTGTATTTTTAGTAGAGACAGGGTTTCACCATGTTAGCCAGGCTGGCCTCGAACTCTTGACCTCAGGGGAGCCACCTGCCTCGGCCTCCCAAAGTGCTGGGATTAGAGGCATGAGCCACCACGCCGGACCCGTTTTTCTTTAAAAATGACATTTTAAAGAGTTTTATATTAGCTTATGCAAAGAGAAAGTTCATTTACCTCAGCTGTTTTTTATGTATTGTTTATCTTATCTTATCTTATTTATTTATTTATTTATGGAGACAGGGTCTCTCTGTTGCCCAGGCTGGAGTGCAGTGGTGGGATCATAGCTCACTGCAGCCTCAAACTCCTGGGTTCAAACCATCTTCTGGCCTCAGCCTCCTAAGTAGCTGGATTACAGACGCACACCACACCCAGCTAGTTTGTTTTTAATTTTTTGTAGAGATGGGATCTTGCTATGTTGCCTGGGCTGGTCTAGAACTCCTGGCCTCAAGTGATCCTCCCCCTTCAGCCTCTCAAGTAGCTGGAATTATAGGTGTGAGCTACCATATCCGACTTTTGCTGTTTGTTTTAAATAGGCCTTCCCAGAGCAAACTAACGAGAACATTAAACCATTTATATCTCTTCCCAGAGTTTCAAGGTAGTTTCAAGTGACTAAAGCCATTCTTAGCATAGCATGAGTGAAGTGGAGAGGCAAGATAAGTAGCTTATTTGTTCATCCTTGGCCATGTTGGTTATCCATGGTTGCATATTAAATTATTCCAAAATTTAGCAGCTTAAAACCACAACATTTAAGTTAGGCCAGATGCAGTGGCTCACGCCTGTAATCCCAGCACTTTGGGAGGCTGAGGCGAGTGGATCATGAGGTCAGGAGTTCGAGACCAGCCTGACCAAAATGGTGAAGCCCCGTCTCTACTAAAAAAAATTAGCTGGGCGTGGTGGCGCGTGCCTTATCCCAGCTACTCAGGAGGCTGAGGCAGGAGAATCGCTTGAACCCAGGAGGTGGAGATTGTGGTGAGCCGAGATCACGCCATTGCACTCCAGCCTGGGTAACAAGAGCGAAACTCTGTCACAAAAAAAAAAAAAAAAAAAGAAAGAAAGAAAGAAAGAAAAAGAAACAACCCACAACAATTATTATCTCACACAGTTTTTTTTCCTTTTTTTAAAAGACTCGCATTCCATTGCCCAGGCTGGGGTGAAGTGGTGCAGTCATGGCTCACTGTAGCCTTGGCCTCCTGGGCTAAAGTGATCCACCCACCTCAGCCTCTTGTGTACGTAGGACTACAAGCACCCACCACCACGCCCAGCTAATTGTTCAATATTTTTGTAGAGGTGGGATCTCACTATGTTGCCCAGGCCGATCTCAAACTCCTAGGCTCAAGCGATCCTGCCTCAGCCTTCCAAATTTCTGGGATTATAGGCATGAACCATCATGCCTGGTTTCTCACACACAGTTTCTTTTTTTCTTTCTTTCTTTTTTTTTTTGAGACAGAGTCTCTCTCCGTTGCCTAGGCTGGAATGCAGTGGTGCAATCTCAGCTCACTGCAACCTCTGCCTCCCAGGTTCAAGCTATTCTCATGCCTCAGCCTCCTAAGTAACTGGGATTATAGGCATGTGCCACCATGCCCAACTAATTTTTGTATTTTTAATAGAGACAGGGTTTTGCTGTTTTGGCCAGGCTGATCTCGAACTCCTGGCCTCAAGTCATCTGCCTGCCTTGGCCTCCCAAAGTGCTGGGATTACAGGTGTGAGCTGCTGCACCGTATCTCACACACAGTTTCTTTGTTTTGTTTTGTTTTTTGAGATGGAGTCTTGCTCTGTTGCCCAGGCTGGAGTGCAGTGGCATGATCTCGGCTCACTGCAACCTCTGCCTCCCGAGTCCTGGTTCAAACTATTCTCCTGCCTCAGTCTCCTGAGTAGCTGGGACTACAGGCACGAGCCACCACACCCTGCTCATTTTTGTATGATTAGTAGAGACGGGGTTTCACCATGTTGGCCAGGATGGTCTCGAACTCCCGGCCTCATGATCCACCCACCTCGGCATCCCAAAGTGCTGGGATTATAGGAGTGAAGCCACCGCGCCTGGCCCTCACACAGTTTCTGAGGAGGGTCAGGAATCCAGCAGTGACTTAGTTGGGTAGTTCTGGCTCAGGGCTTGTCGTGAGGTTATAGTCAAGCTGTTGGCCAAGGTTTCAGTCATCTGAAGGTTCAGCCAGGGCTGGAGAATTCTCTTCCAAGTTCAGTTATGTGGTTGTTGGCCAGCCTTAATTTTTCACCACATGGACCTCTCTGTAGAGTTGCTTGACATGGCAGCAGGCTTCCCCCAAAGTGAGTGATCCAGGAGGGAAAGTGAGTGATCAGGATGCAAGCCGCGGTGTCTTTTATAATGCAGTCTCAGAGGTATACCATTAATTCTGTCATATTTTGTTAGTAAGGCAGACCAACCCTGGTGTAGTGTGGGAGGGGACCACCCAAGGCTGTGAATCTCAGCAGGCAAGGATTGTTGTGGGCCACCCTGGAAGCTGGCTGCCATACGCTTGCAAGGGACTTCTGCCTCTGCCTTCCTCCTAGTGTCCAGAAAGACGAAGACAGGACAGTTGGTATTGGCTTCTCTGATCTGTCTCTTCCTTCACTGTACCCCCATCTCCCTAATACAGGGGAAATAGAAGGCAGATTTCACTCTGCTACAGGAGTCTGCAGTCTTTGTCTCCAGCTTCCTACCTGCTGACTCTTGAGTATGCTTCAAGGCCCATGGGACAGCAACTCCAGAACAAAACTCTAACTATTGCTTCTGTCCTCCTCCTCTTGAAGAGTGATTTGATTGAACATTTTTGCTGAATGCGCCTCTATTTCCCTAACCAAATTGTTTCTCCATCACAGGATACAGCTATGAGCAAACTTTGGTTCAAACAAGATGATAAGTTTTTTTTGCCGAAGGCTTGTCTCAACTTTGAATTTTTCAGGTATGTAAGATGAATCTAGCTTATAAAGCTTATAAAAATCAACAATTACGTTTCCAGGAGTTGTCTGTTCTTCTTAAACATCCATGTCTAGAAATAAAAGGAATTAGAGTTATTTCACCTAGAAAAGGAGAGGCTGAAAAAAATAAATAAATAAAAGTAAAGAAAAGGAGAGGTTGGCCGGGCACGGTGGCTCACGCCTGTAATCCCAGCACTTTGGGAGGCTGAGGCGGGCGGATCATGAGGTCAGGAGAGTGAGACCATCCTGGCTAACACGGTGAAACCCCGTCTCTACTAAAAATACAAAAAATTAGCCGGGCATGGTGGTGGGTGCCTGTAGTCCCAGCTACTCAGGAGGCTGAGGCAGGAGGATGCAGTCAGCTGAGATCGCACCGCTGCACTCCAGCCTGGGCGACAGAGCCAGACTCTGTCTCAAAAAAAAAAGAAAAGAAAAAAAAGGAGAGCTGTTGCTGTTAAGAGGTATTTTAAAAACCAGTGTTGTTAATTCTTTTTTTTTTTCTTTCCCCATTAATGAGTATGCCCTTTAGCTGAAATGATTTATGTTAGCTATTGTTAGGATGACCTTCTTAGCCTTCAGGGTTTTGGATTCTGAGGAGGCCGTAGATTTACCCAGAAGAAGACTCATTGAAGAAAGAATAAATAATTTGGGGTGTTTTTATTGCTTTGGCTTTGTATTCCTGGAACTTGTCTAGAAGAGGAGGTACTAGTTACTAAATGATCCTGAGTCTTGTTTTGTCCTTTGTCTGGAACCCTTAGATACTGCTTCCTCTATTTCTGGCTTGATTACTTAAACATTACTAATAAAAAGGGAGAAGATGTTTAGTAAAATTTATGAATAATGCTATTGCAGTAATTTCTCAGTGCACCTTCAATTCATCTTTGTCTTCCTTTACTTATTTGTGTGTTAATCACCTGTTTCAGATTTTACTTTGTGAGTTTATACTTCATAATTTTATATTTCTAAAATTCAGTGGTTTGTAAGATAAGCCTATCATGGTTTATTTGTTCAGTAATGTTCAATATGATAATCAGCTTTTTCATTAATTTTTATTCAGTTGGCTTGACATGAAATTAGAGGTAGATAAGGTTTAAATGCTTTGGAAAGAGGGAAAGGAATTTGATTTTCCATCAACAAATATGTTGAGATTATAGTGATTATAAATATTGTGGTTTTATTGCATGAGATTCACAGATTATCTAGAACTGTGCAGAGATTTTTTATTGTTTACACCAAAGATGGGCTGTCAGGTTGTGGCTTATTATTGGTAAAGGGCATTACAAAGCTGCTTTTTATTTTTTGATATTTGAGAGTGATATTTTTAACACTCTAAGCAGCTTGTCACCACTTTTCCATTTGGCCTCTATGATGATGAATTTCTTTAGACTACCCTTTGAGAGACCATTTTACATTTTTGTGTTCTCTAAACTGCCTAGCGCATTTCCTAGAACTGAAAATGTCTGCCTCCCACACAAATCCCTCCCTCTGGTCTGTCTTCCTAGAGGTAACCACTGTTCTGTTTCTTGTACATTTTAATTGAAATTTTCATGTGTGTGTCTATATCCTTTCCATCTTTTCAGAAATAAGATTATATTATGTGTAGTTAGCTATGGTTTTTAAAACCCTGTGATCCATATTTAAGCATATAGTATCTGGTTACAAAATAACGTATTTTTAAAATTAACACATGAACCAGAATTTAGGTATCCCAGTTGAATCCTATTCTCTTTTAAAAGTTAGTTTAGGGTCTTCTCCACTTCACCAGCACAGCTGCTGTGGATACAGCTGTTTTTGTTGTTCTCTTTTTTTAGGAGACAGAGTCTTCCTCTGTCACCCAAGGCTGGAGTGCAGTTACTGCAGCCTCAAATTCTTGGGCTCAAGTGATCCTCCCACCTCAGCCTCCTGAGTAGCTGGGACTACAGGCGTATGCCACCTTGCCAGGCTGGATGTAGCATTTTAGGACACTCCTTGGAATTATTTTCTGAGCCTGAGCCATAGTGCTTTGAGACCCAAAACTTGGATTTTCTGGCTTTTCACTTCCACCTGAGAAAGGTGCATAGTTGCCTGTGGGGCCGACCTCTGTGATATCCTCTCTTTTGTTTTGATGATTTTGTTTTTGTGAATTGTGCCTTAAGTTTTTGAGCTGCTATTTGCCAAAAGAAGGAAATCTGTCATCATGTATCATACCTTAAAAAATTTAATGGCAGAACATTTATTCAGATTTTCCAGTTGGAGAATATTTGGATAGCTGTAGAACTTTGTCTTTGATTTTAATTCTCTAAGTGACTACACATTTTATCCCTATTTTTGCTTTTTTATCAGCTTTGATAAAATTGTTGGCTTTTGGCTGGGTGCGATAGCTCACACCTGTAATCCTAACATTTTGGGAAGCCGAGGCAGGAAGATCGCTTGAGCCTAGGAGTTCGAGACCAGCCTGGACAACACAGTGAGACCTTGACTCAACTTTAAAAAACAAAATGTTGACTTTGTTATCAGTACATTAGTTATATTTACTGTGCTACAAGTAGAGTGAAACTTTTAATTTGCTGCCAAACAAGCCAAGCAGGCACCTGCCTCAGGCCTTTAGCAGTAGCTATTTCTTCAGCCTGGGAAGTTCTCCACTCCACCCCTTAGATATCCCCAGGGCTCACTCCCTTGCCTCCTTCAGGTCTGAGTCCAGATGTCACATTGTAAGAGTGGCCTTGACTGGCCATCTTATGTAAAGCAGCAGTCTTTCTTCCCTGCTGCCATCACCCCATCATTCCCTATTCCCCTTACCCTGCTTAATTTTACCCCATAGCACTGTCACCAACTAATATGTCAAATTTAAATTTATTATTATGTGTCCCCTCTAGCTAGATTATCAACTCTGAGGTCAGGGAATTTGCCTGATTTGTTCACTCTTTATTTCCAGTGCCTAGAGAAGAGCCTGGCACTGTAGTAAGCATATAATACATATTTGTTGAATGAGTGAGACCTTTACTTTCTTCTGATAAAAGGTAAGCAAGGTTGTATAGTCAAAGGAGCAGGTCATTTAACTTGCATTTGAATCCCAGCTCTGCTGCCACGAACTCAGGGGACCTGAAGAAAATTATGTTTCTTATCTGGGAAATGAAGTTTAGTTGATCACTGTGGTGGTTTAGTTCTTGTACTCTATAATTCTTTCTTCTTTGTTCTTTCTCATTAAAATATTTTTCTATTTTATTTTTCCCTAGTTTTGGCTGCTGTTATATGATAGAAATTATCAATTATTTTACTGACAGTTCTCTAGCTTTACTGTTTTGGGGAAAACTCAGGGATAAGCTAACATTTTCACAGGTCTCAATTTTTCTAAGTTCATGTAATTACCACAGACACATTTCCCAGTCCTTTATTCCTGTCCACCAAGGATGTGACTTTATTGGAGAGAGAGGGAAGACATGCAAATGCTGTATCTGTTCTGTCGGCCGTGCTCCTCCCATTAGCCTAAGCACAGCCATGCATTTTGGCCCGTTCCCACTGCTCACATACCCTGCATTTCTAACTTGTCAGTTCTGCCACACCATCTGGGGTAGGCAGTTCCTTCTCCTTCTTCACTACTACCAGTGCGCACGCACACACGCACGCATGCACACACACACACACACACTCACACACACTTCAGGCTTCTTTTTCAGACATCTTCTTTTTTTTCCTCATAAGAAATAGCCTCAAGAATTCAACCATATCCTCAGGAAATCATATTAACCGGTGTTCAATATCTTGATCCATCTCAAAAGGCCATATCACATTGAGAAGTAATAAAATCAGCTATTTTACTGTCAACATTTTCTTCCAGCCCATTTGCTTATGTGGACCCCTTGCACTGTAACATGGCCTATTTGTACCTTGAGCTCCTCAAAGACTCACTCAACGAGTATGCATATGCAGCAGAGCTAGCAGGCTTGAGCTATGATCTCCAAAATACCATCTATGGGATGTATGTAAGTACCCACGCCTTAGAGCCTTCCACTCATCAACATTTTTTATATTGATTTGATGGAAGCATTTTTTGATTGAGGGTGTGAGTTTAATTTCTTTTTTTTTTAATCTTTATGGCTAATCATATTTTCTCATTTAATTTTTAAGTTAGCTTTTATTCTAAGTGTTCAACTACATACCATTCATATTATGCAAATTTTCCTTGATTTCTTTTTTTTTAAACGTCTTTCATCAGAATGTCATATTTTTCTACTCAAACAAAATTGGACCCTGATTTAGGTTTAGCTCTTACCCATTCTGTATTTGAAATCTTGGTCTTTGGCAAAGGAAAATGAAGTCTTCCTTTTGTAAAACCTAAGGTTGGCATATACTATTTCCCTAGAAATCCAGATCATGAGGCTGCATATCCATACTCTTCGGTCATGTTTCTTCATTACCATGCCACTGCTTGAGGTATCAAAGCATTTCTTTTGTTTTTCTTTTTGTTAGTCGCTACATTTATGCTGATCCTCTCCATTGCAACATGACATACCTGTTTATCAGGTTATTGAAGGATGATTTAAAAGAGTATACATATGCAGCACGCCTCTCAGGTTTGAGCTATGGCATTGCATCAGGAATGAATGCAATACTTGTAAGTAAAATGAAAACCAAAGAAAAGGCACCACCCCGTTTAAGCATTATGTTGAGCTTGGGAAAACTATTAACTTCGCATTTTTAAACAAGAAAGTTAATGGTTTTTTTCCTTGCATCTTTTTGATGATCAAAGAACTCAAATTAGTGTTAGTTCCACTAATGAATGATTTAATAAAGTTTAGTGCATCTTGTGAACATGTATGTGTGCTACGTTTATTTGCATGCTCTTCTGCCTGAGATGTTTAACATATTAATCCTGAAAGCATATTGTTCTTTCTATATAATTGAGTATATTAACATCCGTAAGTAGAAGATATCCATAGTTGTTGTGGTGATTGAATTTTACTTATAAATAGGCACCCTTTATTTCTGCAGACAGTAGTATAAAGTTTCTATGTTCAGATACATCTGACATTTTAATTTAAAACTTATTTTGTAGCATGCACCATTACCTACTTTATGTGTGTTTTAAAATAAGCATTTATTAAATCCATCTAAGAAATAACTAGATCCTTTCTTTGGAATGTGTTTCCAAGCTTGCTTATATCTCAATTCCGAGTTAACATCCCTTTTATGGCACACATTCATCTTCACTTTTCTTGAAAATATATTGCATATTTTAGTAAAAATGAAAACAAGAGCATTTTGGGGTACTCGTTGTTTAAATTCTTACACAAAAGATTGTAGGAATTTTAAATTTTATTTATTTTCCAGTGACTTTTTTTTCTTCACATAAATAAATTCTCTGGTAGCTTTTGTTTAATGTATAAGAATGTTTATTAATCTAACCATTCCCAGAGTCCACAGAAGTTTGAAGCTCAGAGATCAAAATTAGCTCCAAATAGAAAAGTAATCATCTGTTTTCTCTTTTTTCTGTTGATTTTTAGTAGCATATTACCATCAAAACACATAATTTTTATTTATGACAAAATGGGTTTTCTGCTAATTGTCAGTCTAGTTCCTACAGTAGGAAAAATGATGTGCTTGCCGTGGCCAGTGGCCTTCCCTCCTGCTGAGGTTCTTGCCTATCATCCTGTACAGCGTAGAGACTTTCATGATATTCTAGCTGCAGTGATATCCCCTACTGCTTTGCGTGCCACCATGTGGAAATATCATGATAGAAATTCTCCATTCCCCACTTTTCAAAATGTTAGGCATTTAGAGACAAAGTAAATTTTGCTAAGTTGGCTGGGCACGGTGGCTCACGCCTGTAATCCCAGCACTTTGGGAGGCCAAGGCAGGCAGATTGCTTTGAGCTCAGGAGTTCGAGACCAGCCTCCTGGGCAACATGGCAAGACCCTGTCTCTACAAAAAATACAAAAAATTAGCCAGACATGGTGGTGTGTACCTGTAGTCCAGCTACTCCAGAGGCTGAGGTGGGAGGATCGCTTGAGCCTGCGGAGCAGAAGTTGCAGTCAGCCGAGATTGTACCACTGCACTCCAGCCTGGGTGGCAGAGCCAGACCCTGTCTCAGAAAAAAAAAAATGTGCTAAGCCAAGGTCCTGATGATACATACAGTGTATCCTTTTTACACATTTGTTTTGCCATTAGCTTTTGGAACACCAACAGAACTTACCAAATAAGCAAGTGGTTAGAATTGTGGATCCTGCCTGGCACGGTGGCTCATGCCTGTAATCCCAGCACTTTGGGAGGCCGAGGCAGGTGGATCACCTGAGGTCAGGAGTCTAACTATGTTGCCCAGGTTGGTCTTAAACTCTTGGGCTAAAGCAAGCCTTCCATCTCAGCTTTCCAAGTAGCTGGGACGACTTGTACGTGCCACTATGCCCTGTGATTTTTATCTTCTTACCTCACCTGTAGAAACCTTAAGTCTGCCTTTCATTAGATATTCTTTTTGAAGAAAAAACTTAGCCACATTCTACAATTAATTTTATAAAAAGAATTTGAGTTTTGATGATATAGTATATGCCACCATAGTTCGGTGTCAGGTGAGTTTACTTACTGTTGGTTTTGTTTCAGAAAAGTAAAATTATGCTTTTGGGTATAGAGATTGTTAATGGCCAGGCACTGTGGCTCACACATATAGTTCCAGCTACTTGGGAGACTGAGGCAGGAGGTTCACTTGAGCTCAGGAGTTTGAGTCTAGCCTGGGTACCCTAGCAAGACCCTGTCTCGAATAAATAAATATATTTTTTAAAAAAGATGGTTAAGGCTGGGCATGGTGGCTCACACCTGTAATCCCAGCATTTTGGAAGGCCGAGGCGGATGGATCACCTGAGGTCAGGAGTTCAAGACCAGCCTGACTAACATGGTGAAACGCCATCTCTACTAAAAATACAAAATATTAACCAGGCGTAGTGGGGCACGTCTGTAATCCCAGCTACTCTGGAGGCTGAGACAGGAGAATTGCCTGAACCTGGGAGGCTGAGGTTGCAGTGAACTGAAATCGTGCCGTTGCACTCCAGCCTGGGCAACAAGAGCGAAACTCTGTCTCAAAAAAAAAAAAAAAGATGGTTAATGTTATCTTCCTAAGTGTTACACTATATATATTTATGACACATTAAATTGAATTTGTTTCATTTTTTACATGTCTGTTTTGGGATTTTCTACATGTTTAAAAATCAAGTCGTTTATTTGGAAGTTGTTTTGTGATATTTTTAGACTTTTAATACCCTGAATTCTTTCTGTAGCTTTCAGTGAAAGGTTACAATGACAAGCAGCCAATTTTACTAAAGAAGATTATTGAGAAAATGGCTACCTTTGAGATTGATGAAAAAAGATTTGAAATTATCAAAGAAGCAGTAAGTTTTCTGAACCCTGCTTTTTTATTCATAAGATAATATTGCTATATTATAAAAAGTTTTCATAATAGTTTTTATAATATAAAAGAAGCAAGGAGGAAAAGAAGAATTCATAACCCTGTGGCATTCATCTCACCTTGTCATTGCAAAATCCTATACTCCATCCAGAAAGAAATCCTAGTAGACTCTGGTGGACACCTGGCCTCTTCTCTGTGGGTGCCAAGAGCTCACTGCAATTCAGAGTTGCAGCTCTGAATTTCAAAGAGAAGCACTTAGTGGCTGTCAGGGCCTCCTTGAATGTTCCATCCCAACCTCTAGTTCAGAAGAACACGCAATTCAGCAGACTGAGGTCTGCTTTACCTCAAGACCTTGTCACATTAGAGCACACTATTTGGGTTTGACATATCTTCCACTTACATTCAATTCATGTTTGGCCCAGTAATGGAAGTATGGGATGAACAGCTGCTTCTGAAGCTAAACTATGACCTTTCCTTGTATACTAGAAGAAACTACCATCAGTTTTCAAATAAAGATTCCATATTTTATATGGCTACCTATTTATGTTGCTTGCTTATGGAGACTTTGGGGATGGCTTTATAGCGTAGAACCTAAAGATTCCAAAAGACTTCCCTGAAAACTAGGGATAACTTTCTGAGGGACTAAAGATATCCCATAGTGAAGGCACTTATAGTCCATGTCAGATGCTGAACAAATGTAGCTTGGACAAAGAAAAAGCATGCACTTTTATGTAAAGATCGGAGAGGAATAAACCCCATTCTTAATTATATAACTTCAGAAAGGGGAAAGAAGGGAATATCCTAGTAATACAGTTTATAGAGAATTGAAATTTGATTATAACTGGACTTTTGAAATGATTTTTAAAAGATTTATAAAATTAATGAACGCATGTCTCTTTCACTAGTATATGCGATCTCTTAACAATTTCCGGGCTGAACAGCCTCACCAGCATGCCATGTACTACCTCCGCTTGCTGATGACTGAAGTGGCCTGGACTAAAGATGAGTTAAAAGAAGCTCTGGATGGTGAGACTTTCTACTTAAAGCTTAATGCTTTCTTCATTTTTTTCCTAAATTCATTTTGGTTTATTCTGATATTGACTGTTTATACTTTTAAATAACTTGTAGTTCTATTAAAGCTGGCTGTGTATATGTTTTATAAAAACAGTGGTGGGCAGGATGGCTATAGTTAACAGTAACATATACTTTTAAATAGGTAGAAGGAAGATATTGAACATTCCCAACCCAAACAAATGATAAATAAACTTGAGATGATGGATATGCTTAGTACCCTGATGTGATCACTATACATTATATGTATATATAATAACATTATATACTCTATGAATATCTACAATTATTATTTGTCAATTAAAAATAAAATGTAAAAAAACAGTGGTGGCTTTGAAGTGGTTTTTGCATTCAGGCAGGTTAGCCACATTTACTGTTTTCAATCTGGACCTACACCAGTTAATTATTACTACTTTTAGATTTCTGCAGAAGGGCTGGGTTGCACATACCTGTAATCCTAGTACTTTTGGGAGGCGGAGAAAGGAGGATCGCTTGATCCCAGGAGTTTGAGACCACCCTGGGCAATATAGTGAGACTCTGTCTCTACAAAAAATAATAAAACTATTAGCTGGATATGGTGGCTTACACCTGTGGTCCCACTTACTCAAGAGGCTGTGGTTGAGAGGATTGCTTGAGCCCGGGAAGTTGAGGCTGCAGTGAGCCATGATTACGCCACTGTGCTCCAGCTTGGATGACAGAGCAAGACTCTGTCTCTGCCTCCAAAAAAAAATTTTTTTTTCTGCAGACTAAATGCTCTGACCCAAGTACTAACCTTGTTAATATTGAAGGATTTTTATTTGGTGTTTTTTTTTTTAAAGACGGAGTCTGCTCTGTTGCCCAGGCTGGAGTGCAGTGGTGCAATCTCAGCTCATTGCAACCTCCACCTCCCAGGTTCAAGCAGTTTTCCTGCCTCAGCCTCCCGAGTAGCTGGGATTACAGGTGTATACCACCACACCTGGCAAACTTTTTGTATTTTTAGTAGGGACAGGGTTTCACCATGTTGGCCAGGCTGGTCTTGAACTCCTGACCTCCGGTGATCCGCCTGCCTTGGCCTCCCAGCATGCTGGGATTACAGGCATGAGCCACCGCGACCGGCCAATATTGAAGTTTTAAGAAAAAGTTAGCTGAACTTCAAAGTCTTAACACACAATGTTCAGGTTTTTTTTTTTTTCCTGCTTTAGCATCCTTAGATCAGTTCAGTTAAAAATTGGAAAATGTGAAAGCCTAAAGAGTCATCTTTTGTTGTTTTTTTCCCTAGAATCTTAAGTCTAATTTTCAGGAGTTTGGCTTGAAAATCCAAAATTCCTTAAGAGCAGTGATTATACCTGCCTTCCATACCCCTTTACTTAGTATCTAGTATAATATTATGCCCTCAGTGTGTATCTAATGAATGCCTATTGAATGTAAAGAAATTACTTTCAGGATTTCTTTACTGGAAAAAAATGTAGATTGGTATCACCCTTTATTATTGTTTTAGATTTTTTACTTCTCAACATTACCTCGCCAATTAATCTTTCTTCCTATGTGCTCAGCCATAAGCATTAAAATGCAATAAAAAGAATTTTGGGCCGGGTGCCGTGGCTCACACCTGTAATCCCAGCACTTTAGGAGGCCGAGGCAGGCGGATCACGAGGTCAGGAGATGGAGACCATGGTGAATCCCCGTCTGTACTAAAAATACAAAAAATTAGCCGGGCGTGGTGGCGGGTGCCTGTAGTCCCAGCTACTCGGGAGGCTGAGGCAGGAGAATGTCGTGAACCTGGGAGGCGGAGCTTACAGTGAGCCGAGATAATGCCACTGCACTCCAGCCTGGGCGACAGAGTGAGACTCTTGTCTAAAAAAAAAAAAAAAAAAATTCTGGGCTGGGCATGGTGGCTCACGCCTGTAATCTCAGCAACTTTGGGAGGCCGAGGCGGGCGGATCACAAGGTCAAGAGATCGAGACCATTCTGGCCAACATGGTGAAACCCACGTCTACAAAAAATACAAAAATTAGCTGGGCATGGTGGCGTTCACCTGTAGTCCCAGCTACTTGGTAGGCTGAGGCAGGAGAATCGCTTGAACCCAGGAGGCAGAGGTTGCAGTGAGCCGAGATCGTGCCACTGCACTCCAGCCTGGCAACAGAGATTCCATCTCAAAAAAAAAAAAAAAAAAAGAATTCTGTTGAATGTTTTAATAACCTTTTGTGACAAGTTCTTATACTTACGTAACACTATGCTTTTGATGTCATCAGTGACACAAATCGAGCAAAGTACTGAAAGTCATTATTTTGTTGATTGCCTCAGGCATTGGATAGGAGACTAGATTATAAAAATCACTTACTAGAACAGGTACATTTTTTTATCAGGACAGTTAATATGCTTTTCTTTGCAAAATGATTATGGTCATATGCAATTAATAGCAAGAATTATACCTTTTAAAAATACCACACAATTAATTTTAAATGTTTTCCAAAACGAAGCCTACTTTTATAATGATCAAAAAGCAAAGGTTTGAGGGTTTTATTCACCCTTCGTTAGAATCTAGGTCAGATGGCATGTTAATTTTAAGCAGAATAAGCTCTATAGTATCTCAGAGGGATATGAAGGCTTCCTAAAATGGATTTTGTAAAGAGAATAGTCAGTTCTTTTTTTATTTAAATTTTCTGCTCAAGTAAATAATTATTCCATTTTGATATATATACTCCTACAATAATCCAAAATGCCAGAATGGCTTAATTTGGAAACAACTCAGTGTGAGAGGCTGCCTCTTCAGTGACTCTAAATCATTCAGCTATCCAGGTGCCAGGGTAGCAAGAACTTCAGGGTTCAGTGTGGTCCAGCAGCATTTACTGACTGCCTGCCATGCACCCAGCCCAAGACTGCAGGTGCTTGAGATTAAAAAATGATCAATTAAACATGGCAAAACCCCATCTCTACAAAAAATACAAAAATTAGCCAGGCGTGGTGGTGCATGCCTGCATTCCTAGCTACTCAAGAGGCTAAGGCAGGAGAATCGCTTGAACCCAGGAGGCGGAGGTTGCACCACTGCACTTCAGCCTGGGTGACAGAGCAAGACTCTGTCTCAAAAATAAATAAATAAAAATTTAAAATGATCAATTAGATGGGGTTTCTTTGATCAAGGAGCTCCAGTCTGGTGGTGAAGCATAAATGTAAGTAGATCATTTTAATAGAGAGAGACAAGGGGGTAAGTATTGTGGTGGAAAGCTGCAGAGAGTGCCGAGGGAGCCTAGTGAAGAGGACCCCTAAGGCAGTACAGTGGAATAGAATGAACATCCACTTTGGAATTGACCAAGGATCAAATCCCAGCTCTGCAATTTACTAGCTTAATGACTTTGAACAACAAACTTAAATTTTCTTAACTTCATTTTCCTATCTTTAAAGTGGGGATAATAGTAGCTACTTTATAGTGTGAAAGATAACATCTGTAAAATTCCTGATCTGTGGTAAGCACTTGTTATTTGCATTCCCATGTTTCTCCTTAAATGTCTATCACTGATTTTAGCATCCATTGGTAGATCTTGCATGTAGCAGTTATTACTATGGTGTCCTAATGGAGAAGGGACAGCTCTTCCTTACAGAAGGATTAAATTAATATATGTAAAAAGAAAGAGGGAAATAGAAAAATTGCCATTAGAACTCCATAGTAATAATTGCTACAGGCAATAACTACCAATGGATGCTAAAATTAGTGGGTCAAATTTAAAGAAAAAGAAAATATTTGTATAATCTCATTTACTTTTCCCAAAATAAATATTTAGTAATTACAAAGGGAAAAATAGGTGTAGATGGGCAAGTGGGCTTTTCCAAATTGCATATAGAGCACATATGAGTTATTAAATTATAAATAAAAGAATAAAATAATACATTTACAGTGAGGACATCTGGCAGACACCACCTTAACCAAGTGATCAGTTTTAACATCACTAGTACTACAACATATCAACTTCATGAGTCCCCTGATAGAATGCAGTGAGAAAGGCGCATTACCTTTGTGGTATTCTTTGTGGTAATACAGACATGAAATCTAATTGTGAGAAAACACCAGACAAACCCAAATGTGGGACTTCTATAAAATAACTGAACAGTACTCTTCAAAAGTCTTAAGATCATGAAATATATGGAAGGACTGAGAAACTGTCAGAGATTAGAGGGAACTAAAGACATATGACAGCTAAATGTAATGGAGGGTTGTGGATCAAATCCTGGAATAAAAAAAAAGATAAAAATGGGAAAAATCCAAATAAAGTCTGTACTTTAGTTAATAGTATTATACCAATGTTAATTTCTTAGTTTTGATGGTTATGAAAGATGTTAACATTAGGGAAAACTAGGTGAAGTGTTTACAGGAGCTCTGTGTACTATTTTTGCAAGTCTTCTGTAAGTCTCAAATTATCTCAAACAAAAAATCCCTCATAGGTAGCGCTCACTATGTCTTCTTACACCTTTGCAGATGTAACCCTTCCTCGCCTTAAGGCCTTCATACCTCAGCTCCTGTCACGGCTGCACATTGAAGCCCTTCTCCATGGAAACATAACAAAGCAGGTGGGTGGTTGAGGTTTTAGCAATCTTTTGTGGATCATTGCAAGATATTTTTTCCCTCTAGTCTTTCTCAAGATTGTTAACCAGCATGGTGTGATAAGGAACACATTAGAGTTTACTCAACCCTCTTGCTCTGTGGAGGAAGGTAGAGGGCACAGGGAAAGTAGAATGATGGTGATTAACTGAGGACCTAACTTTCATGGCTGCCTCCTCTGCTGTTTTCTACCTTGTGCAATCATAGGAGGAAATGGGAGTAATTATCCCTACTCTGTATAGGGTGGCATAATTGTATAGTAGATAAGAGCACGTGCTGTAGAATTAGACAGCCTGGATTCAAATCCTGGCTCTGCTATATACTAGATCTGTAATCTTTTGAAAATGTCTTAACTCTGTGCTTATCTGTTTTCTTTTCTGTAAAATTAGAGTTACAGTAGCACCTACGTCATGTGTGGTAAGGATTAAATAGTACATGCTAAGTACTTAGCACATGGAAAGCACTACAAAATTTCCGTGGCAGTCTGTCTCAAGATCCCTCAGTCTCGGCCGGGTGCAGTGGCTCACGCCTATCATCTCAGTACTTTGGAGGCTGAGGCAGGAGGATTACTTGAACCCAAGAGTTCGAGAGCAGCCTGGGCAACATAACTCTACAAAAAATTGAAAAACAGCCAGGTGTGGTAGTGCATGCCTGTAGTCCTAGCTACTCAGGAGGCTGAGGCAAGAGGATCTCTTGAGCCTAGGAGGTTGAGGCTGCAGTGAGTTATGATTGTGCCACTGCACTCCAGCCTGGGTAACAGAACGAAACCCTGTCTCAAAAAAAAAAAAGAAAAGATCCCTTGGTCTCTACCACTCTGCTATACCCCCTCCAGAACAATATGCCCAAGGTCAGATGCTAATAAGTGGCAGAAGCAAGATTCTTACCAAGGTCATTTTACCTACAATAAAGCCTATGTTTGCCTCCCTTGCTTTTCTGTGACCCCAGGTGTCTGTAGTCAGGATCATTTCACTTGAGACCATCTTTGGCAGTGCCTTTTTTCCAGCATCAGCATCAGTGTTGATGATTGTTTGGGTGTCTGTTTCTTTCACCACTACCATATTGACTCTATTGCAAAATGACCATACTGACAAATTCAATTTTTATCCATTTGAATAGGATCAAATATATTTAAGGTTTTAGAATCCACTTTTATGATAAACAAAGCCAGTTTATTTCACAAACAAGATATGTTTATGTTTTTGTAATATGCTGGGACATATCTTTTTCCATAGGCTGCATTAGGAATTATGCAGATGGTTGAAGACACCCTCATTGAACATGCTCATACCAAACCTCTCCTTCCAAGTCAGCTGGTTCGGTATAGAGAAGTTCAGCTCCCTGACAGTAAGTAGAGATGTTGTAACTTTGGGAATGGACTATTTTGACATAACAGTGTGGGTGATTACAGGTGGGCTGAATTTGGTATAGTTTTACGCCAAAGATTTACTTGGGAACCTCTCCTATTTACAGAATTATGATTAGAGATAGGTAATTCTGCCAAAAAAATTTTTGGTAGGAGGGCCAAATAAGTAAAATTGGAGATAGGCAATAATTTTGAAGAGAATGATACTGGAATTGACGGGTACTTGAATGAAGGGGAATTAGGAAGTAAAAATATCACAAAGGTATTGACTATGAGTCATGAAATAAAATACATTTATAAAAATGGAAACTGGAATTATAATATTTAATTGGAAACCCATAGGATTCTTTGGCAGAAATAGTTTTAGGAAACCCACAGGTGCAGATAACATGTAATCATTACAAGTATATTTTTATAAGGGATTAACAAAGACTTTTATTGAATTTATATATTGGGGTTTACAATGTTGGGTTACTTTTACATTAACAGTGGCTTCTTCTGATAAAAACTCATTAAGCATTATTGTCAATATTGCTCAAAACTGTGTAATAGAAGGTATATTAAATGAAGGAAGAGAAGCTTTTTTTGGCCAAGCTTGATTGTTTGGTTGTTCCCTATGCATGAACCATCTGTGCTGCCTTTTCCCCCCAGCTATTTTATCCTCCCAAAATGGTGTTCTCCTTTCCCCCTTCTTCTTCATGGGCCAGTGCCTACATCCTACTTCTCCTTCCAGGCCTATTTTATAAGCTACTTATTCCACTAAACTTTTTCTAAAACTCCCAGCTAGAAATAATCACATCTACCTCTGGACTTGCAGCACAATTTTTCTGAACCTCCCTATTCAAGCTACTTAGCACTTCTCTTGTGTTGGGATTGAAGTGCATCTCCATCTTCTTGTTAGACTGTACATTCCTTAAAGCCAAAGTCTGTGTCTAGTTCATTTGAGTAGCTTCTAAAGCAACTGGAACATATTATTACTTCAGGATACCTTTGTTGAATGCTTAGAGATACGTTGAGCCCAGCTCTGCTGTTGTGCATGACCAGTCATCACAGATCTGGTAGTGGTTTATTTCCAACTTTTGCCAGTTTATTCCTCAGTCACTAAAACCAGGACAAGACTCAGGATGTGCTGATCCCACTACAATTAGAGAAAGACTCAGGATATTCTATGCAAGAGCCATAACAGTTGACTTCAAAGTGAGGCCAGTGTAGAAACAATATTTCAAAGTGCAATTCATCCTTCTTACTTCTTTTGACTCTACTTCCCTCTTTCTGTCTCCTTTCCTAGGATCTTAATCTCTTTTGCCTCCTAAGTACCCTCCCAAATTTCTCCATGTTCAAAAATAGCCCAGTTCACATCTCATTCTCAAAATGCTAAGTGGTAGGAAATCATGCTGAATTAGCCAGCTGATCAGATGTGAATCTTTAAATAGTTCTTCACTTAACTCTCCATGGAAAGGCACTTAGTATTTAAAAGTAAAATATTCAGGCCTGGGTGGTGGCTCATTCCTATAATCCCAGCACTTTGGGAGGCCAAGGTAAAAAGATTGCTTGAAGCCAGGAATTTGAGATTAGGCTGGGTAAAATAGAACTTGTTTCTACAAAAAATTTAAAATAAAAAAAATTAGCTGGGCATAGTGGCGCACACCTGTAGCTACTTAGGAGGCTGAGGTGGGATGATCGCTTGAGCCCAGGAGGTTGAGGCTGCAATGAGCCATGATTGTGCCACTGCACTCCAGTCTGGGTGCCAGAGTGACAGACTGTCTCAAGTGAAAAGGAAAATTTTCAAGCATTATAAAGGAGATGTTTTATTTATCTTTATTTTTGTTATTATTTTTTGAGACGGAGTCTTACTCTGTCACCCAGGCTGGAGTATAGTGGCACAATATCAGCTCACTGCAACCGAGAAGATGTTTTAGAATATATATGAAAAGGGCCAGGCAGCCGGGTGCAGTGGCTCACACCTGTAATCCCAGCACTTTGGGAGGCTGAGGTGGGTGGATCACCTGAGGTCAGGAGTTTGAGACCAGCCTGGCCAACATGGTGAAACCCCGTCTCTACTAAAAATACAAAAATTAGCTGGGCATAGTGGCAGGCACCTGTAATCCCGGCTACTTGGGAGGCTGAGGTAGGAGAGTTGCTTGAACCCAGGAGATGGAGGTTGCAGTGAGCCGAGATTGCACCACTGCACTCCAGCCTGGGTGACAGAGCCAGACTCCGTCTCAAAAAAAAAAAAAGAAAAGGGCCAGGCGTGGTGGCCTACATCTGTAATCCCAGCATTTTGGGAGGCCAAAGCAGGCGGATCACCTGAGGTCAGGAATTCAAGACCAGCGTGGCCAACATGGCAAAACCCCGTATCTACCAAAAATAGAAAAATTAGCCAGGTGTGGGGGCACATGCCTATAGTCCCAGCTACTCAGGAGGCTGAGGCAAGAGAATTGCTTGAACCCAGTAGGCGGAGGTTGCAGTGAGCTGAGATGGCACCACTTCACTCCAGCCTGGGTGACAGAACAAGACTTTGTCTCAAAAAAAAAAGTACAAAAAGGCTAGAAGGATGTGAGGTGGGTGAGGGAGAGAGGCTTACAGGCCACGTTCCTCTCTCTCTGCTTTTTTTTTTTTTTTTTTTTTTGAGACAGGGTCTCACTCTGTGTCTTGGTCTGGAGTGCAGTGGTATACTCACAGCTCACTGCAGCCTCAAACTCCTGGGGTCAAGTGATCCTCCCGCCTCAGCCTCCCAAGTAGCTGGGACTATAAATGTGAGCCATGGCACTGGCTCCCCTCCTTCTGATGAGAGGGAACTTAGTGCTGCCAATTTATAATTAGTAAGTTTGACTGTTGGTCAAAGTTGGACATGATCAGAAAAGTGAAATCAATGAAATACAACTCCAGGCTTCTCTACCTCCCTTTTCTATTAATGTCTAAATTATCATCTGTAAGTGTGGGCAGACATAGCATTGACTTTATTAAACCCCAAATAAGTTTTTGAACTTGCTGCTGTCTTTTTGAAACTTCCTAGGAGGATGGTTTGTTTATCAGCAGAGAAATGAAGTTCACAATAACTGTGGCATCGAGATATACTACCAAACAGACATGCAAAGCACCTCAGAGAATATGTTTCTGGAGCTCTTCTGTCAGATTATCTCGGAACCTTGCTTCAACACCCTGCGCACCAAGGAGCAGTTGGGTGAGAGGAAAGTGGGGAAATAGCAGGGTACTGTAGACTTTGATGAATTATTTTCCCTGTAAAACATTTTCCACATTTTCACCTAACACTGTATATCAGGCATGGTCTACTTAGAGAGACTTGAGAAAACCTTATTACAGAGAATCCACTTCTAAAAGATAAGCAATCACTATCTTATGGACATTAAAGCAATTATTTATGAGATGATACTGCATATTACATACATGTCAATAAAGAGGGCATTTTAGGTGGGGGAAAAGGATACTAAGGACAAGCTTATGGGTAGCAAGATGAGAAATGAGCCATCCAGAGGAGCTTAGATTCACTAAAGCCTGAGTTCCTTGAGGGCAGGTATTATCTCTCATTCGTCTTTATATCCCAAGCCTGGGACATACAGAAGGCACAGCAAGTGTTCCCAGTTTTAGATACTGTTAAAAGTCTTGAGGTACTGGCAGATTTGATCAATGAGGAAAGAAGCTCAAAGAAGCCCCAGTAATGACAGAAAGGAACCAGTGAAAAAAGGATGAGTCTCTCCAAGTACCCATCATTGTTTAAATACCCATTGTGCTAGGTGCTGGACATGGAAAATGGATGCTCTGGATGGTCCTTCCTTTCGAGGAGCTCACAGTCAAATCAGGATGGCAGGCCTGTAAAGGAATAATTTTAGTACAGCATGGTAAATGTTATTATAAGAGCTCAAACTATTGGCCGGGCACGGTGGCTCACGCCTATAATCCCAGCACTTTGGGAGGCTGCGGCGGGTGGATCACCTGAGGTCAGGAGTTCAAGACCAGACTGGCCAACATGGTGAGACCCCATCTTTACTAAAAATACAAAGATTAGCTGGGCGTGGTGGTGCATGCCTGTAATCCCAGCTACTCAGGAGGCTGAGGCAGAGAATCACTTGAACCCGGGAGGCAGAGTTTGCAGTGAGCGGAGATCGTGCCACTTGACTCCAGCTTGGGTGACAGAGCGAGACTCCATCTCAAAGAAAATCAAACTGTGAATGGCTATGTTGAAGATAGAAACTTCCTCAGAAGTGAGACCCAGAGGCACCACAGCTGTTGGAGGTGGTAGATCAGGGCAGGGCAGCTGAAGGAGATAAGCCAAGAGCTTGGTTTTGAAAAGGTGTTGAAGGAAGGTAGTGCATGTCCTCATGAGATAACATGGAAGTATGACTTTTAGTTAGCTTGATCTCTAGAGAGTTGCATTCTGAATTAATTGGTTCAGGAATGGATTATCTAACAAGAAATACAGTAGGAGAGCCGTGTTCATATGCGGAACTTGGATGTTAAAGGAAACACAGCTAGGACTGTCACTAAGGGATGAAAATGAGTCCAGCATTTTATATTCTGGGAGTAACTTTAGCATAGATTGAAGAGGATTAACTCACAGAGAGTGAGGAGTGACAAGATGGGAGTTTGAATAATGAATAGGATTTTTTTCCTAAGAAGAAGAAAAAGTCATCTCCAACTTTGTAATTCTTCAGAGAGCTCTTCTGCTCTGTCCTTAGGAACTGAAACCATCTTAAGTGCTCATATTTCTTTAAGAGGTGAATACTCTAAAACCTTAAACTAGATTTTATTTGCTCAGACAGGTTAGTTTTTGAAGGATTAAAAATGACCCAGGTCTCAAATGCCACGGTCATGACTGGCTGATGTCTGTGTTTCAGGCTATATCGTCTTCAGCGGGCCACGTCGAGCTAATGGCATACAGGGCTTGAGATTCATCATCCAGTCAGAAAAGCCACCTCACTACCTAGAAAGCAGAGTGGAAGCTTTCTTAATTACCATGGAAAAGTCCATAGAGGACATGACAGAAGAGGCCTTCCAAAAACACATTCAGGCATTAGCAATTCGTCGACTAGACAAACCAAAGAAGCTATCTGCTGAGTGTGCTAAATACTGGGGAGAAATCATCTCCCAGCAATATAATTTTGACAGAGGTAAGGTAAAATTAGGGCTCCAACATTTATGGCATTCAAGTAACATTTGATTAAGGCCATTCTACAAAATGGTATTCATTTTGTAGGTGATATTCCGTTACCTATTTGGGGAGTTGGGGTGGGGGGATGGCTGGCACTTCCAAAGAACTGTTACTTAATTTAACCCCAGTTTTCTGTTAGAAACCTTATCTCTTTTTTTTCCCTCCAAACCTAGACCTGGATCTACCCATATCTCACAATAAAGTATTAATAATTCAATTTCACATTTTTGTTTCATCAGTGTATCCTGAGATTCTGATCACAGATACCTAAGTATCTATTTCCCATAATACTAAAAAAATGAGATAATACCAGATTGAACCCCTTTGAGGCAAATGCTGCCCTTGAGGCACAGGAGTTCAAACATTTGCCTGTAGGGATCTCCAAAGATTTTTCACTCCTTTCAGATTTGGGAGAGCTGTGATTCTTGAAGTCTCTTGTCTTGAATCAGCTTCCTTTCACCTTGCTTCTAGAGCATAGATTAACAACGGATTGTGCTAAGCTGTACTAGAAGTCAGAGGATGTGGGTTGTGTTCTTACTCTGACACCAACAAGCTAAAAATCTTGGTCAAGACACCTTTTTTGGACCTCAGTTTCCTTACCCATAATTTTTATTTTTGTTTTGTTCTTTCAGAGAGTATCTCACTCTGTCAGCCAGGCTTGAGTACAGTGTGTCATCATAGCTCACTGTAGCCTTGAATTCCTAGGCTCAAGCGATTCTCCTGCCTCAGGCTCCCAAAGTGCTGGGATTACAGGCGTGAGCCACCACGTCCAGCCTACTTATAATTTATCTAGCAGTTGGATTCACTATTAATGATAATACTGTCTCTCATTTATTGAGCATTTGCCGTGTACCTAGCAGTGTTATTGTCATGTATCTTTTTCCTAATTCTCACTGCAGCCCTTATTAAGTAGTTATTATCCCCAATTTCCAGATGAGGAAACTGAGGCTTAGAAAAGTTGAGGTGACTGGCCAAGATCCAAAAGCTCATAACCAGAGAGCCAGGATGTGAATCCAGGCTGGCCTGGCTCCTGAGCCAAGGCTCTTACCCATTGCACTACATCCACTTATTATTTTTTTTTTAAGATGGAGTTTCGCTCTTGTTGCCCAGGCTGGAGTGCAATGGCACGATCTCCGGCTCACCGCAACCTCCACCTCCCGGGTTCAAGCAATTCTGCCTCAGCCTCCCAAGTAGCTGGGATTACAGGCATGTGCCACCACTTTGTATTTTTAGTAGAGATGGGGTTTCTCCATGTTGGTCAGGGTGGTCTCGAACTCCCAACCTTAGGTGATCCCCCTGCCTCGGCCTCCCAAAATGCTGGGATTACAGGTGTGAGCCACTGCACCTGGCCTTTTTTTTTTTTTTTTTTTTTATGAGACAGTTTTGCTCTGTCGCCCAGGCTGTAGTATAGTGATGTGATCTTGGCTCACTGCAACCTCTGCTTCCCAGGTTCAGGTGATTCTCATGTCTCAGCCTCTCCCGAGTAGCTAGGTCTACAGGCATACTCCACTATGCCTGGCTAATTTTTATATTTTTAGTAGAGATGGGGTTTCACCATGTTGGCCAGGCTGGTCTCAAACTTCTGGCCTCGAGTGATCCACCTACCTTGGCCTCCCAAAGTGCTGGGATTATAGGCATGAGCCACTGTGCCCAGCCAACATCCACTTACTTTTATTTGAAATCAAAGCAAATGGTCACGTAAAAATGTGGATGCTTGGCTAGGCACAGTGGCTCACGCCTGTAATCCCAACATTTTGGGAGTGCGAGGCGGGCGGATCACGAGTTAGGAGATCGAGACCATCCTGGCTAACACGGTGAAACCCCGTATCTACTAAGAATATAAAAAAGAAAAAAAAAATTAGCTGGGCATGGTGGCGGGCGCCTGTAGTCCCAGCTACTTGGGAGACTGAGGCAGGAGAATGGCATGAACCCGGGAGGCAGAGCTTACAGTGAGCTGAGATCGCACCACTGCACAACAGCCTGGGTGAGAGAGCAAGACTCCATCTCAAAAAAAAAAAAAAATTGTGAATACTTGGCCAGACGCGATGGCTCACGCCTATAATCCCGGCACTTTGGGAGGCTGAGGTGGACAGATCACTTGAGGTCAGGAGTTCAAGACCAGCCTAGCCAACATGGCGAAACCCCATCTCTGCTGAAAATATAAAAATTACCCAGACGTGTTGGCTTGTGCCTGTAATCCCAACTACTCAGGAGGCTTAAGGCAGGTGAATCACTTGAACCCAGGAGGCAGAGGTTGCAGTGAGCCGAGATCGAGCCACTGCACTCCAGCGTGGGTGACAGAGTGAAACTCTGTCTCAAAAAAAAATATATATGGATACTTAAGAGTCTTGGAGTGAAGTATATTGTCATTTAGTGTACTGTTCTGGGCTGCTTCATATGAAAATGTTAGTAAAATATTGTTTGATTACTTTTTCAGATAACACTGAGGTTGCATATTTAAAGACACTTACCAAGGAAGATATCATCAAATTCTACAAGGTAAGTCAAATTCATATATTTAGATTTTGACTGATATGAAAGTATTATAGGGCTGGGTATGGCGGCCTACACCTGTAATCCCAGCACTTTGGGAGGCCAAGGTGGAAGGATCACTTGAGGTCAGGAGTTAAAGACCAGCCTGGCCAACATGGTGAAACCCCATTTATACTAAAAATACAAAAATTAGCTGGGCGTAGTGGCATACGCCTGTAATCCCAGCTACTCAGGAGGCTGAAGCATGAGAATCGCTTGAACCTGGGAGGCAGAGGTTGCAGTGAGTGGAGATCATGCCACTGCACTCCTGTCTGGGTGACAGAGCGAAACTGTGCCTCAAAAAAACCAAAACACCTATTGTATGTGCTATATTGTGTGTTGCTGCTTTGAAGCCATTCAGGCTGGATTTATGAAGGTGTTTTTGTGGATTTGAGTTTTTTGACACAAACGCTTAATGACTTTTAGAATAAAGATAGTTTTTATTGAACCAAGTACTGTTTTCCTCTCCCTCTAAACCAAGTTTGCTGAACCTGCAGCCTGCGGGCCATGTACAGCCCACATTATGAGATATTTTGCAAATTTTTTTTCTTTTAGCTTATCAGCTATTGTTAGTGTATTTTATGTGTGGCCCATGACAATTCTTCTTCTTCCAGTGTGGCCCAAGGAAGCCAAAAGATTGACCCATGCTCTAAACCAAGGACTGTGACAGCCCTTCCTGACTTCCAGATCTACCTTTTTAGGCACCCTTTCAGTTTCTTCTCTCTGTTCTCCACCCTACTCTGCAAAGAATATTGCTGAGCTTGTTTGGTGGGAAGGAAGAACAAAGAAAACAAAAGAACTTGAGAATCAGATTATTTTCCAAGCTCTGACAACTATAAATTATCTTCACCCATTTAGGTGCCACTGTGGCTGCTTTTTAAAATAAATGATTACTCACCTTTGAATTGTGGTCAGAGATATTATAAGTTTTACATGCTTGCGCTCACTTAGGAAGTCTATCAAAAAGAAAGGGAGGCACCACCATTAAAGTCTTCCCAGCAAGCTTTAAGAGATTCACACCGGCTGGGCGTGGTGGCTCACGCCTGTAATCCCAGCACTTTGGGAGGCCAAGGTGGGTGAATCACGAGGTCAGGAGTTCAAGATCAGCCTGGCCAACATAGTGAAACCCTGTCTCTACTAAAAATAATAATAATAAAAAAATTAGCTGGGCATGGTGGCGGGTGCCTGTAATCCCAGCTACTCAGGAGGCTGAGGCAGAAGAATCACTTGAACCCGGGAGGCGGAGGTTGCAGTGAGCTGAGATCGCACCACTGCACACCAGCCCGGGCGACAGTGCGAGACTCTGTCTCAAAAAAAAAAAAAAAAAAAAAAAGAGGTTCACACCATCTAAATCTTCCCCTATATAAAAATTCTAAGAAGGATAGCAAAATTTCCATTAGGTAGGTATATGAATGTGTAATAAGTATGCTAAATGCAAAAACTCAAAATTTGTGCTGCAATGGAATTGCACCTAAAGTGTTACATATGTTTTTTGTAATATATTGGGGCCTCTAGTTTGTGTAAAATACTCATATGCCTATTTTTCAAAATAAGGAGCAAAATTATACTCTGTGATTACCATAGTACCTTAGAATTGTCCCTTAATGTTCTAGCCATTTCTGGTTTGTATCTGTCATTATGTTGTTTGGACGGGGACTCAGTCCTGCCCTGTGCCCACATCCTTTTAGAGAGATACTCTACAGTATTTTTTTCTAGGGATGTACTATAGCTACCAGCATAGGAGTCAGTGCTTACAGTTCTCATTAGAATGACTTTGTGAAGTTAGTGGTACAATGAGGCTTGATCACATTTTCTCCTGTACTAGGGTTTCTAATGTTTATTTAATTCACCACTCCTAGTGCTGAGTGAGAGGGTAAGGAAAAAGTAACAGTCTTTGACCCAAAGGTGCTGATAGTTTCTTTGAGGAAAATGGTGATTTTGTATCATCCATGAGTTGCTTACACCTCTCCCAGCAACTCTTCTGCAAAATTATTAAGGCTGTATGCAAACAAGTATTAATATAGCTGATATCACCTTAACAATAAGAAAAGGAGACTATAGTTTCAGAACTGAGCAGCAGAAGCCAGTATTTTGAAAGCACCTTTTTCAGCAATGAGATTTGACCCATTTTGGCTACAAAAATGGATGGCTGGACAAGTGATTTTCTTTACCTCATGGCTTCCTTTGCATTGTATAGAGGAAAAGAAGTGTCTCATCTAAATTACTCTTGTTCTTTTGCAATAATAGCCTGTAGTCCCAGCTGCTGGGGAGGCTGAGACAGGAAGATCGCTAGAGCCCAGGAGTTCAAGACCAACCTTGGAAACATAGCTAGACCCTGTTTCAAAAAAAAGAGAGAGGGGCTGGGCGTGGTGGTTCACACCTGTAATCCCAGCACTTTGGGAGGCCGAGGTGGGCAGATCACGAGGTCAGGAGTTCGAGACCAGCCTGACCAACATGGTGAAACCCCGTCTCTACTAAAAATACAAAAATTAGCCAGGCGTGGTGGTGCACGCCTGTAATCCCAGCTACTCAGGAGGCTGAGGCAGGAGAATCACTTGAACCCAGAAGGTGGAGGTTGCAGTGAGCCAAGATAGCACCACTGCACTCCAGCCTGGGCGACAGAGCGAGACTCCATCTCAAAAAAAAAAAAAAAAAAAAAAAAAAAAACAGAGAGAGTATTTATAACCAGGCCTAAGCTAAGTCTGGAACAGCATTTCCCTAGCTGTGTTCCATGGTATGCAAGATATTAATAGGGGTACCTAGGAAAAGGGTTTCATGACCATACAAGTTTGGGAAAGACTATTCGCATTCTTAGAGAATCAGAGTGTATTGGTATTTTAGAAATTATAAGAAGTCCCACAGTAAAGACTTTAGCCTGCATTTATTTAATTTTGACTAACATTTTCTAAACTGATTTCACCATGCATCCTTTTTTACACAGAATACCTATAAATATCTCCCAGGACTGTAGTGTTCCTTAGAACATATTAATAGTTTGCAAGAAGGTGCAGTTGTTTGTTTTTAGAAAAATGAGGATTGTCCAGAGTTGGTCAGAAAATCGGGAACAATCTGAAACTGGAGAAGGTGTTCTGCTGTCTGCTGATGTGGGTAGACAAGGGGGTAATGAAGGTTTGGGTGACAAGAGATGGAGAAGAGATCTTTGGAAGCAAACTTTTTACTCCAGTAAGATGAAGTTCTTAGATGAGGTACTACATGTTAATAGAGGCAGACCTGGGCTGAGTTCCTGGAAAGAGGCTGGAGAGGTCAGAGCAGGCCTGTGAGAATCTGGGCTGTTTTGCCTGCTGGCAGGGAGTAGAGTGGGGAGCCACGGGCAGGATTGCTGTGCAACATCAACAGGGCTTCCTTGCAGTCACATAGGACCAGGCTTATTAGTAACTGCCCAGTTACTAGTAACTAGTAACAGTTATTAGTAAATAACTGTTGAGTGGATTTGGTTTGGCTGATGATTTCTTTCCTCTAAGGATATGAAACGTTGCTTGTGGCTAAGGAATAAGAGGAACTTTGTCACAATTTTGTACCCCTTTAGAAAAGACAGTAGAAGTCTGCTGTTAAGGGAAAGGTTGGGACATACTTCCCCACAGGATCCACCTGCCAACTTAGCACTGCTGGCATTCATGGTAGTAACTAAGGGGAATCCCTCCAAGCAGCATGGTGGAATGGAGAGAGCAAGCAGACTCTAGCTTCTGACACCATCACCTATGAACTGTGTGACCCATGTAATTCATGTAAGCTGCTGTGTCTTAGAGTCCATGCCTCTAAAGTAAGAATCATCATGATGCTTAGTTCACAGAGAATTAAGTGAGCTGACATAGGAGAGTGCCTGATATAACGCAGGACTCAGTAATTGTTAGTTTCCTTTCTCTTTTGGTAGATGAACCACAGTTTACAAGCAGAGTCTGAGAAGGTTCTTAGAGGAGCAGGCACTCGTGCTTGTCCCTGACTAAGCTCAGACCATTGTCTCTGTAGACACTAAAGATCACCAAGTGCAGCCCTGCACAGCCCATCCCAGTGAGTACTAGGCTAGGTTTTTAATCCTAGCTCAGGCACTTATTAGCTGTAGGAGTTTGAGCAGTTTTTTAATCTCCTTGGATTCAGTTTTCTCATCTGTAAAATTGGGTTAAGGATAATTCTTTCCTTAGAGTAAGAAAAGGAAAGGAAAAAAAAAGAATAATTCTTGCGTGCCTTGCTAAATCTTTCTAGAGCTTAAATAAAATAATGTAAGTGAGGGGAAAGAAAGGGAAGTATCTTTTCTTTTTCTTTTTCTTTTTTTTTTTTTTTTTTTTTTTTTTTTTGAGACAGAGTCTTGCTCTGTCACCCAGGCTGGAGTGCAGTGGCGTGATCTCGGCTCATGGCACATGGCAAACTTGCTTCCTCGTGTCAGGCAATCCTCCCACCTCAGCCTCCCAAGTATCTGGGATTACAAGCATGTGCCACCACATTTGGCTAATTGTTGTATTTTTGGTAAAGACAGGGTTTCACTATGTTGGCCAGGCTGGTCTCGAACTCCTGACCTCAAGTGATCCACCTGCCTCGGCCTCCCAAAGTGCTGGGATTACAGGCATGAGCCACTGCACCCGGCCAGAAAGGGAAGCATCTTTTCTATATCTGACTGTGTGATAGCTGATTCTTCATAGTCTTCAGAGAACACCTCATTGTAAGTTCTTTAGTGGAGCAAAAGGGTGACCCTGCTCTTCTTTGTGCCTAGGAAATGTTGGCAGTAGATGCTCCAAGGAGACATAAGGTATCCGTCCATGTTCTTGCCAGGGAAATGGATTCTTGTAAGTATCAAATGTTGCCTTTTTAGGCTCATGTTGAGCCATCTGATGGTTGGCCTTTGTCATAGCTACATGCCTTATAGAACACCAGAAAGTAAAAGAGGTAGAGAACGGAAACTGGAGATAAGGTCTGCAGATATAAGGGGAAAAGAGAAATGAGGTAGTGAAGGAGAGAGGCAATACCAGGTGATAGAATGCCGAGCTAGCCACAGCATCACAGGAAAACACAGCTGCTTGCTGTTGGGGTGTCTCCAAACAGGCTGCATGAACCACTGCATGTGGGGAGTATGGGTAAGCAAGTTAACTTCCCAGTCCTTTCGTTTCCTGGCTTTTACTGGCCAAAGTTTGTCCTGTGGCCATTAACTCCCTTGCTTTCTGGGCAGTTTAGTAAAACTAGTAAGTTTACTAACAGTTTAGAAACCTAGCAAGGTCCTTCTGGGTGGACAGAAAGTCACATTAGACCTGGGCCCTAAAACTGCTGTGGCCAAAGTTTTATGACCTCAGGAATATCATGAGCCATCACTGGGTGGCTCTGGATAGAAGGCAGGACAAGTACTTAAGGCCTTGGGTAGCAGGCAACCTTTAGAGGATCTGAGAAGTACATGAACGGGGCTGGTGCGGTGTTTTTAATTAACTGAGTCTGGTTTAGTTTTTTTTTTTTGTTCTTTTGTGATAGTATCAATAAGTACAAAGTATTAAACCTTTTATTTTCTTATAGGTCCTGTTGTTGGAGAGTTCCCATGTCAAAATGACATAAATTTGTCACAAGCACCAGCCTTGCCACAAGTAAGAAATATAACGTTATGTTAGATTGTACTGACAGAGGACTTTCTATTTAGAAGAAGCAGCTTGGTTTTTTTTGTTTTTTGTTTTTTGTTTTTGAAATGGAGTCTCACTCAGTCACCCAGGCTGGAGTGCAGTGGTGCGATCTCAGCTCAGCTCACTACAACCTCCACTTCTTGGGTTCAAGCAATTATCCTGCCTCAGCCTCTTGAGTAGCTGGGATTACAGGCACACGCCACCATGCCCAGCTAGTTTTTGTATTTTTAGTGGAGATGGGGTTTCACCATGTTGGCCAGGCTGGTCTCAAACTACTGACCTCAAGTGATCCACCTGCGTCGGCCTCCCAGAGTGCTGGGATTACAGGCACGAGACACTGTGCCCGGCCAGAAGAAACTTGTTCATTGGGAACTAAAAGTGATGAACTAAAAGTTTCAGGTCACCAGGTGTTGGAGCTTCTACTTTAGTTCTTCCCTGAACATCTAGTCACTCAGCCTCTACCCTTGTCTGCCTTTGCCTCCTGTTTGAACAGTTGTGTTATTTTGCAATGGATCATTTCTGGCCACATCTGTTCCCAGCACTGAATACTGGAGAGAGACTTCTTAGTCTCTCCCATGTTACCTGCGTATTTTAATCATCTAGAAGGATTGACATTAGCTTGCAAGAGGAGGAAACTGGCAGTGTAACTAGGCTTTTTGTGGGTGGGCACACCAGCCTCTGCTACTCTGCTGAAGCCTTGATGCGAAGCCTCTAAGTCCTTGGTGAGCCAGCCCTTGTTTGCCCAGAGGAAAACCAAAAGGACTAAGGACACTTACCATAGGTTTGTACAGACCAATTCACGACCCTCCAGACATACTGATCCAGAAGAAAGGTCAGCAGATCAAGATACATGGGTTATTAGGTAGAGCGGCCTCAAGCCAAAACAAAAAAACAGTATATTAAGTAGAACTGAGGTATGCTCCCAGTGTCCGCCAAAAAAAGTTGATGTCCTTATTCTGATGTTTAGGTTAAATACACTAAAAGGAAACTTTTTTCTTTGCAGCCTGAAGTGATTCAGAACATGACCGAATTCAAGCGTGGTCTGCCACTGTTTCCCCTTGTGAAACCACATATTAACTTCATGGCTGCAAAACTCTGAAGATTCCCCATGCATGGGAAAGTGCAAGTGGATGCATTCCTGAGTCTTCCAGAGCCTAAGAAAATCATCTTGGCCACTTTAATAGTTTCTGATTCACTATTAGAGAAACAAACAAAAAATTGTCAAATGTCATTATGTAGAAATATTATAAATCCAAAGTAAATTACAAAATCTTATAGATGTAGAATATTTTTTAAATACATGCCTCTTAAATATTTTAAAATTTTTCTTTTGATTACTGAGAGAAATTTCCCCAATATAACAATGCTTAAAATGAATGATATTCCTATAGAATCTTCCTTCCCTATTCTGTAAAATAGTCACTTGTCCGAAGAAAGTTAAAAGTTAGCTCTTTTCTAAAAGCCTCCTAGCTTGACATAGAAGGCTTCACAACATTTAGAAAGGTAATAACTTTTTAAAAATTGATCCTCAAATTTGCTTTCTACTTGATGGTTTCATGTAAATCAGTGGAAAACATTACATTTGGCAGATGATAAAGCAATGTCATCTTTTATTAGTGAAATGCTGGTTATATAAGGCATGGTTTTAATCTTTTTATAAAATTTGAACATGTTTTTTATGCCAACTCGTAAAATGCTAGAAAACCCTACTTATTTACAATGCTAGAAATACAGACTTACCTTACATCAATTTTGTCCTAAACCGAATTTCTCAGGATTACTGTGGTTTCTTTCATTCTGATTGAATTATATTGACCTACTTCTTCATAGTTGGTTTGCAGTGTTCCATGAGTTTTACTTTTCCTCATCAACATATTGCTTTAACACAACATATTTATTTAACACGTACAAATAGGGTCAACTTCAGATCCTACTGAGTGTGTGACATGCTTTTCCAACATCAGCTTTTTGTAACCACCTGTATAACTTTTTATTACAGTGAAATTGCAGTCAGTATGTGAACCAAAATATCTTGCCCCTTTATGAATTTAAAAGGCAGCCAATACAAAGCCACCTTTTTGGAAATATAAAAAGTAAAGCCTTGCATTCTTATATAGCAGGTCTTCATAAAACTCTAAAATCCCTTGTTGCTACCAGTCTAATCTTGCCTTAAATGTTAAGTTATTTTTTGAATATATAAATATAAACATATAAACACAGATGATGACTGGAGTAGACTTTTAAAAAAATATTTTTTTCATGAGATACTATTTTAGGTGAAATTGTTACTGTAGATTTAACAGCTGTTTTGAAATATTTACTGTTATTAAAACTTGCTTCAAGAGAAATTGTGAATATATTTCCATATACAAGCACTAGTAACAGTAAGTGGCCCTGTCATCCACTAACTCAGGCAAAGTAAAGAATGGCATTTTTGAAGGACATTTTACCTCCCCATATGATTTGATTGGCTAGGACTTTCTTCTGTAAAGTCATACCTTTTCACATCTTAAGTTTTTACATTTGCCATTTTCCAAATCTCAATTTTGGGCAAGAACGATATAGTCACAACTATGGGGCTGCTTTCAAAAGCGGGGCTCCATTTCTACTGTCAGATCAATGTGGTGCTGTAACCATCTTTTTATCCCTACCTTCAAGAACCTCCTTATATGAAGCCTGTCTTTATCCATCAGAAGGTGTGTGAAATCATCACTTCCTTCTGGTTTTATGTATTTGTAGACTATGCAGCTTTTCATTAAACTGCAAGTATATACAAGACAGATCTGAAATTAGGCCTGAGTGTTCCGATCCACCACTGTACTAGTAAATAAAAATCCACCTACCTTTTATGTGGAAAATTATGTGCTATTGAGTAACTTTTAGCTCTTTTTTAAAAAATGGGTGAAATTTAAGTGTCTTTTTTATGAGAATGACACATGAAGAGATCTGAGAGCAATCTCATGTAGTCTTCCATGAACCTGCAATTGTTTGGTATGCGTCAGCATTTTCCAATTTCCAGGTTGGATCTAGAGCTGCTGTTGATCACTCAGGCATACTAATGGATTCATTTAGATGGGTCCAAGCTGCAGTCCATGAGCAATAACAGACTACCCCAGATACTGCAGTTTACGCAGTGCTTAGTAAATGAGATTTGTGGAACTAAGTTATTAGTTACCTGAGGCTTCTTAAGAAAGTCTTCTTTTTTGACCAGTTGATGTGAAAGAGGGAGCATGTGACACAGCCAGTATGGTGGAGTGCTAGGGTTATCCTGTTTACAATAAATCGCCTGAATTTCACCTCTGGAGTCTGCATTTGTATTATTTTTCCAGTTTTAGTGAAATAGTACAGTGGCCAGTCCTCAGCCTACCTCTCAACATCCCAGTTTGACCAGATTTCTTGCTTTCATTGTTCATAATGCAGAAAGCAGTGAATTATATTAACATTTTAAAAGTGTTTCTGGGTAACAATGATTTTTGTCAAATAGAAGACTCAATTTCACAACCTTAAGAATAGATCACTTTTGTAAAACAAGAATCTCAGTATTTGATGTTGGACTCCTTGCTGTGAGTATTGTCACTGACTCCAAACCCAGAAAGATTTGTTCCTGCCCTTACAGGGATGAAAATAAAAAGGATAGAAAAAATATTTCTCTCCTCTACAATGAGTCCTTACATCTTCTTGCCACATCTCCAGCTGCAGTTTAGGCAGATATCTTGTTCAATCTCTGTCTTCTTGATCCCTGTCAAAATAATTTTTCTACTCATATAGTGGCCAGTTGGCTCAGGCAGGCATTTCAAGAGGAATCTGCTTGTTCCTCACTTTTCCAGCATAGGACAGTGGTCCAGCCCGCACAGTCAGCATTGTTCTCAGGGACGATGTGGCAGCCCCACACAGAGGCCAAGAGCAACAGAGCAACTCCAGGATTTATGAGTTGGGACAGTCGTCCTCTCATTCATGATACATGGAGGGACTCAGGGGACTCAGCAGGTCCCCCTGTTGTTTTTTAGGGTTTTTGTTTTTGTTTTTTTTTGAGACAGAGTCTCGCTCTGTCAGCCAGGCTACAGTGCAGTCGTGCGATCTTGGCTCACTGCAACCCCCGCCTCCTGGGTTCCAGCGATTCTCCTGCCTCAGCCTCTGGAGTAGCTGGGATTACCTGTGCGCGCCACTGCGCTCTACTAATTTTTTGTATTTTTAGTAGAGATGGAGTTTTGCCATGTTGGCCAGGCTGGTCTCAAACTCCTGACCTCAGGTGATCCACCCGCCTTGGCCTCCTAAAGTGCTGGGATTACAGGCATGAGCCACTGCACCCAGCCCACAGTCTTTCAACAGGGAGGATAGTGATAAAAAATTTCATCATCCCAGATTTTCAGAGGTGGAAATAGGCTCAGAAAGGCTGAATAGTTTGCCCAGGATCATCCAGGAAGCAGATTCAAACCTCCACTCAGCTCTTTGGACTTTAGATCTCATTGTACCATGTGGATTTCCTGTAGTAATAGCTTCCAAGCCGATGAACATCCTTGTAAAACAAATAGACAGTTGCTTTTACATGTGTATATAACTTTACCTTTTTCTCATTTACTGTCTTACTTGATCTCTTAACCTTGCCTATTTTGGGGGGCATGAGACCAGATCTCACAGTCTTACACA
This sequence comes from Homo sapiens, assembly GCF_000001405.40. Lineage (NCBI taxonomy): Eukaryota > Metazoa > Chordata > Mammalia > Primates > Hominidae > Homo > Homo sapiens. Next base: position 92,450,895 of record NC_000010.11, on the reverse strand, counting down.
GTCCACTTCGCCAGGCTACTTTGAGACCAGTTGTCACTACTGCCTGCAGAATCTCCTTCCCTTCCTTTTGGGGGTAATCCAGGTCTTAAACCAGTGTAAGCTCTTTTTCCTATTGCTCTGGAGTGATAGTTTCTAGGATCTTTCAAGAAGTTTGGAAGAGGCCAGGCATGGTGGCTCATGCTTGTAATCCCAGCACTTTGGGAGGCTGAGGTGGGTGGATCACTCACCCACCTGGTCAGGAGTTCAAGACCAGCCTGGCCAACATGGTGAAACCCCATCTCTACTAAAAATACAAAGTTAGCCGGGTGTGGTGGCAGGCTACTCAGGAGGCTGAGGCAAGAGAATCGCTTGAACCTGGGAGGCGGAGGTTGCAGAGAGCGGAGGTTGCAGTGAGCTGAGATCGTGGCACTGCACTCCAGCCTGGGTGACAGAGTGAGACTCTGTCTTAAAAAAAAAAAAAAAAAAAGTTTGGAAGAGGAGTGTGAGGAAGAGTCATTTTCACTTGTGACACCACCACAGAGACAGCCACTGCTTGCATGGTGTTTCTCTGCAGTCTTCTTCCTGTGCATATAGGAAGGGGTCACGTACTCAGTGTGGGAACTCTTCCCCTCAGTAGCCTATTTATACTGAGCATTTTCCACATGGATACCCTTGAAAAAAGTATGTCTTTTGTTGTTGTTGTTGTTGTTGTTGTTGTTGTCGTTGTCGGCGGCGGCTCTTTGGTATCGTATTGTTTGTTTATTGAATCCTCTGTGGGGGTTTTACGGTGTTTTCAAGTTCTGATCTGTGATAAACTTTCTTGTGCAGAGTATGTGTGTGATTTTCTGATTATTCCCTTAAATTGCCAGGTTATGGAATATGAATATATTATTTAACTTTATATATTGAAAAGTGTTTAATCTACAGAAAAGTTGTTGAAATAGTCCAGTGAATTCCCATATACCCTTCCCCCTGTATTGACCAATGTTGTTTGTTTCATATCCTGTCCGTTCTCTCTCTTATGTGTGTATGTGTGCGTGCGCACGTGTGTGTTTTGCCAAATCATTTGAGAGTAAGTTGCAGATGTTATGACTCCTTACCCCTAAATACTGCATCAAGTGTCTTCTAATAACAAGGTCAGTATGTGATAAGGAATTTTCCGTCACTCAGAGGGAAGTCTGGCCTTTGTCTTCTTTCTCTTTGCTATAGACAACTATATACCAGTAAATCTGACAACTTAGATGAGATGGACACGTTCCTTGAAAGACACAAATTGCCAAAAGAGACATGAAAAGAAATAGAAGATTTGAATATTTCCTTACCTGTTAAAGAAAGTGAGTCATAATTGAAACCCTTCCCATAAAGAAACTTCCAGGCCCACATGACTTCACTAATGAATTCTATTCAACATTTAAGGAAGGAATTATACCAATCTTACATAACACTTTAGAAAACAGGGAAGCCCTTCCCAACTCACTTCACGAGGCTAGTATTACCCCTATACCAAATCAAAGATATTTCAAGAAAAGAAAGCTCCAAGCCCTTAAAAACAATTCCAAAAGTCTTTAACAAAATATTAGCAATTTGAATCCAGCAATATATAAAAATGAATTTTTTATATAATTGATTTTCAAATATTATAACAACCTTACATGATGACCAAGTGGAATTTTCCCAGGAATTCAAGATTGCTATATTATTTGAAAATCAGGGCTGGGTGCGGTGGCTCACGCCTGTAGTCTCAGCACTTTGGGAGGCTGAGGTGGGCGGATCACAAGGTCAGGAGTTCAAGACCAACCTGGCCAACATGGTGAAACCCTGTCTCTACTAAAAAAATAACAAAAATTAGCCGGGCATGGTGGTGTGTGCCTGTAATCCCAGCTACTTGGGAGGCTGAGGTGAGAGAATTGCTTGAACCTGGGAGGCGGAGGTTGCAGTGAGCCAAGATGGCGCCACTGCACTCCAGCCTGGATGACAGAGCAAGACTCCATCTCAAAAAAAAAAAAAAAAAAAAAATCAGGCAGGGTCCGGTGGCTCACACCTGTCCAGCACTTTGGGAAGTCAAGGCCAGCGGATCACCTGAGGTCAGGAGTTTGAGACCAGCCTGGCCAACATGGTAAAACCCTGTCTCTACTAAAAATTCAAAAACTAGCTGGACATGATGGCACACACCAGAAATCCCAGGTACTCAGGAGGCTGAGGCAGGAGAATCGCTTGAACCCGGGAGGTGGAGGTTGCAGTGAGCTGAGATCACGCCACTGTACTCCAGCCTAGGCGACAGAGCAAGACTTAGTCTCAGAAAAAAAAAAAAGAAAAGAAAAAATCAATTATTGTTATTATGGTAACAGAAATAAAACACATTATGGATTATTTCAATAGATACAGTAAGTATTTTAGAAAGTTCATGATAAAAGCTTAAAGAGTACAAGGTAACTTTCTCAACGTAATAAAGGGAATTTACAAAACATCTACAGGTAACTTTTTTTCTTTCCTTTTTTTGAGATGGAGTCTCATTTTATCGCCCAGGCTGGAGTGCAGTGGCACAATATTGGCTCACTGCAACCTCCACCTCCCAGGTTCAAGCGATTCTCCTGCCTCAGCCTCCCGAGTCGCCGGGATTATAAGCATCTGCCACCACGCCCGGCTAATTTTTGTATTTTTAGTGGAGATGGGGTTTCACCATGTTGGCCTGGCTGGGCTCGAACTCCTGACCTCAGGTGATCCACCCCACCTCAGCCTCCCAAAGTGCCGGGATTACAGGCGTCAGCCACCACGCCCGGCCTACAGGTAACATTTAATGATAAAATATTGAACACTTTCCCCCTTAGATCTGCACCAAGATACCACTTCTCTTCAAGTAGTAAGGCATAAACATTGGAAAGGATGAAGTAAAACTGTTCACGGACTACATGATCACATACGTAGAGAATACTAAAAATCCTACCACTAATAACAATGAACAAGGTGCAGGATATAACTCAACATTAACAATTCAATTGTCTATATACTAGCAACAAAATTAAAATAGAATTTTTGATCACATCAAAATATAAGGAATTTAGGGGTAAATTTCTAAAAATGTGTGAAACCTGTACACTGAAAACTTCAAAGCATTGCTAAGAGAAAAATTTAAAGATCTAAGAGGATGTTTGCTCACATTTATGGATTGGAAGGTGATGGACAGGAGGAAAAATATTTATTTCTCACTTGTCTTGGGATCGTAACTGAGGTCCTATGATACTGTAATGTAATAAGATATGCCAGGCTCAGTGGCTCATGCCTTTAATCCTAGCATTTTGAGAGGCCAAGGTGGGAGGATCACTTGAAGCCAGGAATTTGAGACCAGCCTGGGCAACATAGCGAGACCCCCACTGCCATCACTACAAAAAAATAAAATTTAGCCAGGCCTGGTGGTGCAAACCTGTAGTCCTAGCTAATTGGGAGGCTGAGGCAGGAGGATCCCTTGAGCCCAGGAATTCAGGGTTAAAGTGAGCTATGATCACACCACTGCACTCTAGCCTGGACGACAGACCGAGACCCTGTCTCAAAAATAAAATCAACTGGGCACATTGACTCATGCCTGTAATCTCAACACTGGGAGGCTAAGGTGGTTGAATTGCTTGAGTCCAGGAGTTTCAGACCAGCCTGGGCAACATGGTGAAACCCCATCTCTACAAAAAATACAAAAATTAGCCAGGTGTGGTCGTGTGTGCTTGTAGTCCCATCTACTTGGGAGGCTGAGGTGGGAGAATCGCTTGAGCCCAGGAGGTCAAGGCTACAGTGAGCCATGATCGTACCACTGCACCCTAGCCTGGGCGACAGAGCAAGACCCTGTCTCAAAAATAAATAAAATGTACATGGACATGAAAAGAATCCTGAATAGCTAAGTTAATTTTGAAAAAAAAGGACAAAGTTATCCATCCTGATAGCAAAGCTTATAGAAAACTGTAGTAATCAAGACAGTGTGGTATTCCCCTAAGGAAAGGCATGTAGATAAAGGAAATAGAATTGAGAGTCTAGAAATAGATCCACACATTGGTTTCAGTTGTTTTTGACAAAAGTGTCATGGTAATTCAATGAATGAAAAATAGTCTTTCAACAAATCATTCAAGAATAACTGGATGGGCTGGGCGCGGTGGCTCACGCCTGTAATCCCAGCACTTTGGGAGGCCGATGCGGGCAGATCACCTGAAGTCAGGAGTTTGAGACCAGCCTGGCCAACATGGCAAAACCCCATCTCTACTAAAAAATACAAAAATTAGCCAGGTGTGGTGGGGGCACTTGTAATCCCAGCGACTCGAGAGGCTGAGGCAGGAGAATCGCTTGAACCAGGGAGGTGGAGGTTGCAGTGAGCTGAGATTGTGCCACTGCACTCCATCCTGGGCAACAGAGTGAGACTCTGTCACAGTAAATAAATAAATAAATAACTGGATGTCCTTTGGGTAAACAATTTAACCTTAACCCTTACTTCATAGTATATATAAAATTAACACAAAAAGGGCCAGGCTTAGTGGCTCACGTCTATAATCCTAGCACTTTGGGAGGCCAAGGCGGGTGAATCACCTGAGGTCAGGAGTTTGAGACCAGCCTGGCCAACATGGTGAAACCCCGTCGCTACCAAAAATACAAAAAAAATTAGCCAGGTATGGTGGTACGCACCTATAGTCCCAGCTACTCGGGAGGCTGAGGCAGGAGAATCACTTGAACCTGGGAGGCGGAGGTTGCAGTGAGCCGAGATTGTGCCACTGACTCCAGCCTGGGCGACAGAGCGAGACTCCATCTCAAAAAAAAAGTAGCCAGGCGTGGTGGCGCACACCTGTAATCTCAGCTATGTGGGAAGTCTGAGGCAGGAAAATCGCTTAAACCCAGGAGGCAGAGATTACAGTGAGCCAAGATCACTCCATTGCACTCCAGCCTGGGCAACAGAACGAGACTCCATCTCCAAATAATAAATTATTGGAAAATAAATAATAAAAAAAGTTAACACAAAAAGGACTACAGCCAGGCGCAGTGACTCACACCTATAATCCCAGTACTTTGGGAGGCTAAGGTGGGAGGATTGCTTGAGCCAGCCTAGGCAACATAATGTGACCCCACCTCTATAAAAAATTAGCCAGGTGTGGTGGCGCATGTCTGAGGTCCCAGTTACTGGAGAGGCTGAGGTGGATCTCTTGAGCCTAGGTTGTACTCCAGCCTGGGTGACAGAGCAAGACTGTCTCAAAAAATAAGTAAATAGTACTACAGATTTAAACAAAAACTAAAACTATGAAACTACAAGGAAATGGGAAATCTTTTTGGAAAAGATTGACAAATTGAAGTTTTTTAATTTTAAAAATGTCTTCTCTCCTTTATATGTTTTTTGTTGTTTGTTTGTTTGTAAATAGAGATGGTCTTGCTCTGTCACCCAGGCTGGAATGCAGTGGTGCAATCATAGCTCACTGCAGCCTCAAACTCCTGGGCTCAAGAGCTAGGTGCAGCTCAGCATTCCTGAGTAGCTGGAACTACAGGTGCACACCGCCACACCTGGCTAATTTTTAAAAATACATATTTTTTAGGCCGGGCATAGTGGCTCACACCTGTAATCCCAGCACTTTGGGAGACCGAGGCGGGTGGATCACCTGAGGTCAGGAGTTCAAGACCACCCTGGCCAACACGGCGATGGAGACCACCCTGGCCAACATGGCAAAACCCCGTCTCTACTAAAAACAACAAAAATTAGCTGGGCGTGGTGGTGGGCGCCTGTAATCCCAGCAACTCAGGAGGCCAAGGCAGGAGAATCACTTGAATCCAGGAGGCGGAAGTTGCAGTGAGCCGAGATGGCGCCATTGCACTCCAGCCTAGGCAACAAGAGAGAAACTCCATCTCAAAAAAAAAAAAATATATATATATATATATATATATATATATATACATATATTTATATATATTATATATACACACAGGGTCTCACTATGTTGCCCAAGCTGGTCTCAAACTCCTGGCCTCAAGTGATCCTCCCACCCGAGCCTCCAGAGTAACTGGGACAACAGGGGTAAGCCACTGCACCTCGCTAAAAATATCTTCTCTTCAAAAGATACCATTAAGAAAATAAGGCAGGCTGCTAACTGGGAAGATGTTTTTGCAATACATAAAGCAAACAAAGGACTTATATAAGAACATATAAGAAACTCTTAGAATTCTAAGACAACAATAAAAATCTGGTAAAGAATAGATGCTTCACTAAAGAAGATATAGGCAGCGGTCAATATGCCTATGAAAAAATCCTCAAGGTCATTGACTATCAGGGAAATGCAAAGTAAAGCCACAATGAAAGGCAAAACTATAATGAGAGAAGATCAGTGATTGCCTGGAATCTGGAACCAGGACATAGGATGAAAGGAGTTGAGGAAACTTTACAATGGAAATGTTCTTTTTTGTTTGTTTGTTTTGTTTTTTGTTTTTTGAGACAGAGTTTCACTCTTGTTGCCGAGGCTGGAGTGCAATGGTGCGATCTCGGCTCACCGCAACCTTAGCCTCCCGGGTTCAAGTGATTCTCCTGCCACAGCCTCCCGAGTAGCTGGGATTACAGGCATGCACCACCATGCCTGGCTAATTTTGTATTTTTAGTAGAGACGGGGTTTCTCCATGTTGGTCAGGCTGGTCTGGAACTCCTGACTTCAGGTGATCCACCCGCCTTGGCCTCCCAAAGTGCTGGGATTACATGCGTAAGCCACCGCGCCCAGACAGAAATGTTCTGTAGCAACTAAAAAGCTGGGGAAAAGTTGTTTGATATAAATTGATTATTTTACTATTTATTTTCTATTTTTTAAATCTGTTTTTATTGTTTTTAAATGTTTTCTTTTGGTTTGAGTTTTTTTACATGATTTTATTTTGTCTCCTTTGCTGGTGAAAAAAGTATTTTTTAAAAAACAAAATGAGATACCATTCCATGCAGACTGGCATAGCTAAAATTAGATGTACTGATAATGCCAAGTGAAAGCTTCTACCACATATTTAGAAAAATAGTTTTCAAAGTTTCTATTTCTGCTGTAGAGTAGACACACTTGTTCTTTTTCCTTTTTTTTTTTGGCGGGGGTACGGAGTCTCACTCTGTCGCCCAGGCTGGAGTGCAGTGGTGCGATCTCGGCTCACTGCAAGCTCTGCCTCCCGGGTTCACGCCATTCTCCTGCCTCCGCCTCCCGAGTAGCTGAGACTACAGGCGCCCGCCACCACGCACGGCTAATTTTTTTTGTATTTTTAGTAGAGACGGCGTTTCATCGTGTTAGCCAGGATGGTCTCGATCTCCTGACCTCGTGATCCGCCCGTCTCGGCCTCCCAAAGTGCTGGGATTTCAGGCATGAGCCACCGCGCCCAGCCTCTTTCCTTTTCTTTCTGTTTTTTTTTGTATTTTTTAGAGCTGGGGTCTCATTCCAGGCTGGAGTGCAGTAGCACCATCGTAGCTCATTGACAGCCTCGGACTCCCAGGCTCAGGCAATCCCCCTGCCTCAGCCTCCGAGTAGCTGGGACTACAGGTGCACGCCACCACACCTGGCTAATTTTTTAATTTTTTGTGGAGACAGGAATATCGCCATTTTGCCCAGGCTGGTCTCAAACTCTCCTGGGCTCAAGCAATCGTCCCTCCCTGGCCTCCCAAAGTGCTGGGATTACATGCATGAGTCACAGTGCCCAGCCACACTTGTTCTTTATTGTAGCAAAAGATATTTTGGGAAGTGTTTCAGAGGAATCTTTCCACAACTATAAGGTAGGGTGAGTTAGAAATATAAAATTACCCCGGGTTCATTGGCTGCCGCCTGTAATCCTAGCACTTTGGGAGGCCAAGGCAGGCAGATCACCTGAGGTCAGGAGTTCGAGACCAGCCTGGCCAACATGGTGAAACCCCGTCTCTACTAAAAATACAAAAGTTAGCCAGGCATGGTGGTGTGCGCCTGTAGTCCCAACTACTCGGGAGGCTGAGACAGGAGAATTGCTTGAATCTGGGAGGCGGCTGTTGCAGTGAGCCAAGATTGCACCACTGCACTCCAGCCTGAGCGACAGAGTGAGACTCCGTCTCAAGAAAAAAAAATTAAGATGTAATTATGAGAACACTGCTTCTGTCTCCTAGTCTTTGTGGGAGGATAGAATCCTAACTTCCATAATTGCCGGCTTGGTGTGGCCGGGCATGGTGGCTTATGCCTGTAATCCCAGCACTTTGGGAGGCCAAGGCGGAGGGGATTGCTTGAGCTCAGGAGTTCAAGACCAGCCTGGGCAACGTGGCAAGACCCTGTCTCTACTAAAAATACAAAAAATTAGCCAGACAATCCTCCCACCTCAGCCTCCAGCTACTCAGAAGGCTGAGGTGGGAAGATCACTTGAGCCTAGGGGTACAGTGAGCCAAGATCATGCCACTATACTCCAGCCTGGGTGACAGAGTGACACACTGTCTCAAAACAAACAAAAAACATAATTCCCAGCTTGCAGACACAGTCTATTCACATTTACACCGACCAACCCTTTGTAATGTTTCACTTGCGTTCCCTGTCGCTCCCCCTTCCTACACCCTCATTCTCCCTTTAAAACACCCAGGCACCTTGTATAAATTAGAATGGAGTTCAGCTGTTTCCACTACTGTCAATAGTTACTGAATAACATCAGTTGTCACCACTTCAATTAAAGTCCAGCTTTGTTTATCTTTGATAGCCTGGGTTAAATTTATAGGAGGCCATTATTTTGGACTGAGCTCCTACACTAAGCCCCAGCAGACCAAACCAAAATGGAATCACTCATGCTAAAGTGCCAGACAATCAAATTGAAACTTTTTTTTTTTTTTGAGACGGAGTTTCGCTCTTGTTGCCGCAATCTCGGCTCACAGCAACCTCTGCCTCCCGGGTTCAAGCGATTCTCCTGCCTCAGCCTCCCAAGTAGCTGGGATTACAGGCATGAATCACCACACCTGGCTAATTTTATATTTTTAGTAGAGACGGGGTTTCTCCACGTTAGTCAGGCTGGTCTCAAACTCCCGACCTCAGGTGATCCGCTTGCCTCGGCCTCCCAAAGTGTTGGGATTACAGGCGTGAGCCACCACACCCAACCTAAACTTTTTTCTTTTTTTTTTTTTTTTTGAGACAGAATCTCTCTCTGTCACCCGGGCTGGAGTGCAGTGGTGCAATCTCAACTTGCTGCAGCCTCTGTCTCCCGGATTCAAGCAATTCTCCTGCCTCAGCCTCCCAAATAGCTGGGACTACAGGTGTGCACCACCACACCCAGCTAATTTTTTGTATTTTTAGTAGAGATGGGGTTTTGCCTTGTTGCCCAGGCTGGTCTCAAACTCCTGAGCTCAGGCAATCTGCCCACCTCAGCCTCTCAAAAGTGCTAGGATTACAGGGGTAAGCCACCACGCCCAGCCTCCAACTGAAACTTTAAGGAAGCAGGAAAACCCCAAGTAGACCATTTTTCCTAAAAACATGTGATTGCAGCAACCAATCAGAAGGAGCCCAGTCAGGCCGGGCACGGTGGCTAACACCTGTAATCCCAGCCCTTTGGGAGGCCAAGTGAGCGGATCACCTGAGGTCAGGAGTTTGAGACCAGCCTGACCAACATGGTGAAACACTGTCTCTACTAAAAATACAAAAATTAGCCAGGCGTGGTGGCGGGCGCCTGTGATCCCAACTACTCAGGTGGCTGAGGCAGGAGAATCGCTTGAACCCAGGAGGCAGAGGTTGCAGTGAGCTGAGATTGTGCCACTGCACTCCAGCCTGGGAGACAGAGCGAGACTCTGTCTAAAAAAAAAGAAAACAAACTATAGGCCAGGTGCAATGGCTCATGTCTGTAATCCCAGCACTCTGGGAGGCCGAGGTGGGCAGATCACCTGAGGTCAGGAGTTCAAGACCAGCCTGGCCAACATGGTAAAACTCTGTCTCTACTAAAAATACAAAAATCAGCCAGGCATGGTGGTGCATGCCTGTAATCCCAGCTACTCCAGAGGCTGAGAGAGGAGAATCACCTGAACCCAGGGGTAGAGGCTGCAGTGAGCCGAGATCACACCACTGCACTCCAGCCTGGGCAACAAACAGAGCGAGACTCCATCAGAAAAAAGACAAAAAAAGAAAGAAAAGAAAAGAAAGAGAGAGAGAGAAAGAGAAAGAGAGAAGGAAGGAAGGAAAGAGAGAGAAAGAACGAAAGAAGAAAGAACGAACGAATGAAAGAAAGAAAGGAAGAAAGAAAGAAAGGAAAAGAAAGAAAGAAACCAAACTATAGATTTATAACATTTTCTCAGGTAAAATGTATGCAAATTTTAAAACAAGACACATATCATTGACTAAAGATTCAATAGGCCACAGGTTGGAAACTATGGCCTGCCATGTTTTTTGTCAATGAAGTTTTTTGGACCACAGTTATGCTCATTCTTTTACATATTTATGCTTTCATGCTATAATGGCAGAGCTTAGTAGTTATGATACAGACCCTATGATCTGTGTAGGGGTGAAAAGGGTGTGATACCTTTTCTTCCCATCATAAGGGTCGCAGCAGACACTTCTATAACAAAAGAGACGGTTAACAAGAGAAAAGTGTAACAAGTTTATTTAATCATGGTTTTACATGACATGGGAGCCTTCAAAATGAAGACCCAGAGATATAGGAAAAACTGTCCATTTGTATGCTTCGATGCAATGAAGAGTGGACAGTCATGTACAACTGTGGCAAAGGGTGTGATCTAATGTAGTAGACCGAGAGGAGGAAGCCCAGCAAGACCTGTCTGTTGAGGTTCTTCTTGGTGTCTCTGTTGTAGCATTTCTTCCTCTCAGGTATGGAACAGGATCCTGGAATGGGGGTCTTATGACCTACTGTCAAGCCAGATAGGTCAGGGAATTTCTTTATGACCATCTCTAGACAGAAAGGTGGGGAGAGGTTAGAGTAATGTTTTTAGGCTTTATAACCCACTGTGGAGAAGAAGGATTCTAGTTTCCGTGGCATGCCCTGGGGGAGAAAGCGGGGAAGAGACAGGAGGGCAGGAGGAGGTCAGAGAGAGCTGCTTCTGAGGCTTTCGCTTTGAGGTAGCATTTCCTGAGTCTCAATATCCAGAAAGCCTAAATATTTACCACCTAGTGTTTTACAGAAGTTTTCCAGCCCCATCAATAGACAATCCATCACAGAGATGCCAATTGCTAAGTGCTGCTTTTCCAGCGAAGTGTCAGAGAGCTCATGTTCATCATGGGATGACCTTTCCTGCCACTTCCAGGCATATTCTTCTGGATTAAATTAGGTAGTGTCACAGTACCTGGCACATAGTTGTTTACTGAGCTTTATGTTTATGAGGTTATTATTCTCTGCTATGGCACACTGACTTTTAAAAACAAATTCTTACAAAATAAGAGTAACCTGAAAATTATATATATATATATATATATATATAGAGAGAGAGAGAGAGAGAGAGAGAGAGAGAGAGAGAGAGAGTGTGTGTGTGTGTGTGTGCGCGTTTAAGACAGAGTCGGGCTCTGTTGCCCAGGCTGGAGTGCAGTGACGCGATCTTGGCCCCCTGCAACCTCTGCCTCCCAGGCTCAAGCCAGCCTCCCACTTCGTCTCTCCAGTAGTTGGGACTACAGGCATGCACCACCACATCCAGCTAATTTTTGAATTTTTTGTAGAGATGGGGTCTCATTTTGTTGCCCAGGCTAGTCTCAAACTCCTGAGTTCAAGTGATCCTCCTGCCTCGGCCTCCCAAAGTATGGGGATTATAGGCATGAGCCACTGTACCCAGCCAGTATTATGTTTTTAAAGTAAATTTTTATTATATTTTAGTAATTTAATAATGTCAACACTTTGCAAAACGTTACTGTTGGTGGAACATAGTTTGGGAAGCGCCCTAGGTCCTTGCTAGTCAAAGCATGCTCGGTGGACCAGTGTGGGCATCAACTGGAGCTTGCCGCAGACTACTGGATAAAATCTACCTTTTAACAAGATCTCCAGGTGAGTCAAACATACAGTAAAGTTTGAGGAGCACTTCCAGGTACATCTCAATAATTTTATTTTATTTATTTATTTATTTTTTAGACGGAGTCTCGCTGTGTCACCCAGGCTGGAGTGCAGTGGCGCCATCTTGGCCTGCGCCCAGCCTATTTTTAAACATTTTAAAACATGTCTTTGATGCCAGGCACAGTGGCTCATGCCTGTAATCCCAGCACTTTGGGAGGCTGAGGTGGGCGGATCACCTGAGGTTGGGAGTTTGAAACCAGCCTGACCAAAGTGGAGAAATCCCATCTCTACTAAAAATGCAAAATTAGCTGGGCATGGTGGTGCATGTCTGTAATCCCAGCTACTCGGGAGGCTGAGGCAGGAGAATCGCTTAAACCTGGGTGGCGGAGGTTGTGGTGAGCCCAGATCCCACCATTGCACTCCAGACTGGGCAACAAAAGCGAAATTCTGTCTCAAAAACAACAACAACAAAAACATGTCTTTGGTACGTATCTGCATCTATTTCTGTAACAGGTGAAATTGCAAAGTCATAGGATACATGTGTGTGAGCAACTTTAGCAGATACAACTAAACAGTTTTCCAAAGTGACTATGCGAATTTACACTCTCACAGCAGGGTATGAGAGTTTCAGCTGTTTACCATCACTTGGTATTGTTAGTCTTTTTATTTTTATTTATTATTTATTTATTTATATTTATTTATTTATTTATTTTTGAGACGCAGTCTTGCTCTGTCCCCCAGGCTGGAGTGCAGTGGCGCAATCTCAGCTCACTGCAAGCTCTGCCTCGTGAGTTCATGCCATTCTCCTGCCTCAGCCTCCCGAGTAGCTGGGACTACAGGCGCCCACCACCACGCCCGGCTAATTTTTTGTATTTTCAGTAGAGACGGGATTTCACCATGTTAGCCAGGATGGTCTCGATCTCCTGACCTCGTGATCCGCCTGCCTCAGCCTCCCAAAGTGCTGGGATTACAGGCGTGAGCCACTGCACCTGGCCAGTATTTTTATTTTTTATTTTCTTTATTTTTTGGAGTCAAGCATGGTTGTAGAGGGAGACAATATTAATCAGCTTAACAACCCACAACTCTTGGACCAACTGTTAGTCTTTTAAATTTTGGCCATTCTCATGGGTGTAGTAGGTATATACACTGTGGTTTTAATTAGCATTTCTTTGCATATAATGAGCTTAAGAAACTTTTCATGTGTATTGACTTTTCAGTGTTCCCTTTTGTGAAGTCTTTCACCAATTTTTTTTTGAGACAGGGTCTCTTTCTGTCACCCAGGCTAGAGTGCAGTGATGCAGTCATAGCTCACTGCAGCCTCAAAATCCTGGGCTAAAACAATCCTCCCACCTCAGCCTTCCAAGTAGCTAGGACTACAGGTGTGTGCCATCATGCCCAGCTTATTTTATTTTATTTTTTGAGATGGAGTTTCACTCTTACTGCCCAGGCTGGAGTGCAATGGCACGATCTCGGCTCACTGCAACCTCCGTCTCCCGGGTTCAAGCGATTCTCCTGCCTCAAACTCCCGAATACCTGGGATTATAGGCATGCGCCACCACCCCCGGTGAACTTTGTATTTTCAGTAGAGATGAGGTTTCTCCATGTTGGTCAGGCTGGTCTCGAACTCCTGACCTCAGGTGATCCGCCCACCTCGGCCTCCCAAAGTGCTAGGATTACAGGCATGAGCCACTGCACCCGGCCTTTTTCTTTTCTTTTCTTTTCTTTTTTTTTTTTTTTGAGACAGAGTCTTGCTCTGTCGCCCAGGCTGGGGTGCAGTGGTGCCATTTCGGCTCACTGCAACCTCCGCCTCCCGGGTTCAAATGATTCTCCTGCCTCAGCGTCCCGAGGCAATCTCTGTAGGTAAATTATATAATCTTCCAAAGGCCCTCTTACAACTTGCAGAGAGGAAATCAAGGAGTTGCTAGCAATATGAGAAAAGTTAACACCTTGTCAACTTTTCGTATTTTTAGTAAAGATGGGGTTTCACCATGTTGGTCAGGCTGGCCTTGAACTCCTGACCTCAGATGATCCACCCGCCTCAGCCCCGCAAAGTGCTGGGATTACAGGCGTGAGCCACTGTGCCCAACCATGCCCAGCTGATTTTTTAATTTTTTTGTAGAGACAGGGGTCTTGCTATGTTGCCCAGTCTAATTTTGAACTCCTGGTCTCAAGTGATTTTGCTTGGCCTCCCAAAACGCTGGGATTACAGGCATGAGGCACTGTGCCTGGCCTCTCAGCCATTTTTTAATTGTGTTGTCAATCCTTAGTGATTTGTAGGAGTCCCATATATTTTGGGTCTGAGCTCTTTTGTTATTTTTATTATTTATCACTCTTTGGCTTGTCTTTTCACTCTTAATGGTATATATTGTACATCTTTTCTAGTTTGTTTTCAGTGAGAGGTTTCAGCACCATCTAGTCAACCACTGCCAGAGCAGAACTTGGTCTCCTATTTTAATGACTAAATTTTATTCCAGGCTGGGCATGGTGGCTCACGCCTGTAATCACAGCACTTTGGGAGGCTGAGGCAGGCAGATCACCTGAGGTCAGGAGTTCGAGACCAGCCTGACCACAATGGTGAAACCCCATTTCTACTTTTAAAAATACAAAATTTAGCCGGGCGTGATAGTGGGCTCCTGTGATCCCAGCTACTTAGGAGGCTGAGGCAGGAGAATCACTTGAACCGGGAAGCAAAAGATTGCAGTGAGCTTAGATTGCACCACTGCATTCCAGCCTGGGCAACAGAGGGAGACTTCATCTCAAAAAAAAAAAAAAAAAAAAAATTCCAATAATGCCTGCATTATGATGAAGACTGACCCATTGTCATTGGGAATTAGTTTGAGAAGCTTTTTAAGAAGATAATGAGCTGAGAAAGAATCAGATCCCGGCAAGGTAAGTTTTAATAAACGAAAAGATGGAGGGAAAAGCAAGATCTGGGTGGGCACCTGAGGCCTTCCAGGGCCCTGTGCCCTCAGGCAAATATTGGCATTCATGAGAAGAACCAGAATTAAACAAGGATATACGCAAGAAAGCAGCCAGGAAACATATATGATACCAAAAGCAGGTGGAAACCACTTCACAGTTTGGCCCAGGGACAAGTCTGATGGTGTGTGTATTTGCATGTCTCTTTGCTCAGCACATTTCTGCCTCATCATAGGGAGAGTTGCACAGAAAGCAATTTGGATTTGGGTTTAGATTTCTCATATTGCTAGCAACTCCTTGATTTCCTCTCTGCAAGTTGTAAAAGGGCCTTTGGAAGATTGTATAATTTACCTACAGAGATTGTTCTTTTTACTTTATGGCAGTCTTATAGAAGGAATGATTGTTCCAGTATTCATAACTGACTTAGAGTTTCTTCTAACTTATTGGTTTTTAACCCTAATTGCATATGAAAGTTGGCTACAGATCTTTTTTTTCCTGCTTCCTATCGCCCAGCTACAGATCATATATATATATATATATATATATATATATATATACACACACACACACACACATATATACACACATATATATACATATATACACATATATATACACATATATACATATATACACATATATACACACACACATATATATACACACACACATATATACACACACACACACACATATATATATATAAAATATATATCTACACTAACTGAGTTGGTGGGGATGGGGTAGAGAGGACTGGATATTGGATTGTTTGCAAGTCCTCCTCGTGATCCTTATGTGTGTTTAAGGCCAGAGAACCACTGCTGACATTGCAAAGATAAGGTTGTCCACAAGATGGAGATAAAGCACTTCTCAGTGAAAAATGCTCCACACACTCAAAACCCATTCTCTGGCTTTATGTCTACACCAACTCCAATTTATGGTTTCTTCTTTTAATTTTTTTTTTTAGACGGAGTCTTATTCTGTCACCCAGGCTGGAGTGCAATGGCGTGGTCTCGGCTCACTGCAACCTCCTCCTCCTGGGTTCAAGCGATTCTCCTGCCTCAGACTCCCAAGTAGCTGGGACTACAGGTGCCTGCCACCACACCCAGCTAATTTTTGTATTTTTAGTAGAGACGGGTTTTCACTATGTTGGCCAGGCTGGTCTCAAACTCCTGACCTCGTGATCCGCCCACCTCGGTCTCCCAAAGTGCTGGGATTACAGGCGTGAGCCACTGTGCCCAGCCCTTAATTTTTTTTTTTTTTTTTAGAGACAAGATCTTTTTCTGTCTCCCAGGATGGAGTGCAGTGGTTCCATCATAGCTCACTGCAGCCTGGAACTCCTGGGCTCAAGTGATCCTCCAGGCTCAGCTTCTCGAGTAGCTAGGACTATAGGTGCTCACCACCTTGCCTAATTTTTTATTTTTTGTAGAGGCGGGGTCTCACTATGTTGCCCAGGCTGGTTTTGAACTCCTGTCCTCAAGCCATCCTCCCATCCTGGCCTCCCAAATTGCTGGGATTATAGGCATGAGCCATGGAACCTGGCTGACTCCAATTTATGTAATGTGCCAAGCGGGGACAAACGTGGGAAGATAGGTAACATTACCTTTGGTGCTGTTGCTTGCCAGTCAAAGAAATTTTTGCCACCTCAGAGGAAAAGACCAGGAACTAACTTTAAAAATGACAGCCAGGGCTGGATATGGTGGCTCATGCCTGAAATCCCAGCACTTTGGGAGACTGAAACAGAAGGCTCGCTCGAGCCCAGGAGTCCAAGACCAGCCTGGACGACATAGGGAGACCTCATTTCTATAAAAAATAAAAATAAAAAAATTAGCCAGGCATGATGGCTCTTACCTGTAGTCCCAGCTACTCTGGAGGCTGAGGTGGGAGGATCACTTGAGCCCAGGAGGTCAAGGCTGCAGTGAGCCATGATCATGTCACTGCACTCCAGCCTGGGCGACAGGCAGACGGAGATCCTGTTTCTAAATAAATAAATAAATAAAATAATAAAGTAAAATAAAAATGACAGCCAGGTGTGGTGGCTCATGCCTGTAATACCAGCAACTCAAGAGGCTGAGGCAGGAAGACTGCTTGAGCCCAGGAATTTGAGGTTGCTGTGAGCTATAATTGTGCCTCTGTACTCCAGACTGGGCAACAGAGCAATACCCCATCTCATAAAAAAAAAAAAAAAAGAAAGAAAGAAAAATGACACATGGCTAAAAATATCTCTTATTTGGCTGGGCGTGGTGGCTCACACCTGTAATCCTAGCACTTTGGGAGGCCGAGGTGGGCAGATCACTTGAGGTCAGGAGTTCAAAACCAGCTTGGCCATCATCGTGAAACCCCATCTCTACTAAAAATACAAAAATTATCTGGGCGTGGTGGTGCGTGCCGGTAATCCCAGCTACTTGAGAGGCTGAGGCAGGAAAATCGCTTGAACCCGGGAGGCAGAGGTTGCAGTGAGCTGAGATTGTGCCACCGCACTCCAGCCTGGGTGACCGAGCGAGACTCCATCTCAAAAAAGAAAAAAAAAAAACTCTTATTCACCCAATTACCTGAATTAGAATCTAGAAATATTTTCAATCCTTTTCCTAGTTCACTTTGATAAAATAGACCATATAAACTGACACCAAAACTGAAAATAAGAAAGGAGTGTAATATTGTTCATATTTTATGGAGTGGAAATTTTTGAAATGAGATCATTCTGTAAATTATGTAGATAGAAATCAACATCTGCACAAGTAAATTAGCGTAAGATGTGTTGCTCACAGGATTTTAGGAAATATGCAGATGCAATAATGTGATTTCTATTTTTTTCTTAAGTCTGAAGTACTTGATTGGTAGCTCCCAATCATTTCTCCCATCTCACTTGTCTAGCTCTGTCACAGAAGCTGTAAAAGCTACAAACTCCGTCTCTCTGTTCCCTTGTAGGGAGAGATGGTCAATGAGATCTAAGTGAAATCACTAAGGAGGGCTTCCCTTCCTGAATAAAATGACAATACCTCAGTACAAGAAGTGTCTTTTTCCCTTGTCCCTCCACCCCCGAATTCTTGCTACCATCTTCCTGGGGACATGAAACTTAGAAGTGGAGCAGCCACCACTGGCCATGAGATGACAAGTGTGAGGACAAAAGCCACTGTAACTAAGAAGGACAGAATGGACAGGTGAGAGCAGCCCGGATCCCTCCCTGATGGCGACTATGGGCAGCTTTTATGCTGATCAGCCTCCCGAGTAGCTGGGACTACAGGGGACTGCCTATCCCTGCACTTGCTATGAGGGGAAAAGCCACTGTTGATCAGGCTTCCTGTTGTTCTCCGATGTTGTTAGGGCAGGAACACTTGGCAGATTTCCTGGTATTTACAATTAGACACTTAATAAATGGAGGAATTTATCCCTTACTGAACATCACTGAGAAGTTGCTATGTTGGCATATAGAACATAAATATATTTACTTATTTATTTTTATTTATTTTTGCGGGAGACCGGAGTTTTATTACTCAAACCAGTCTCCCATAAATATATTTATAATGTTGATTTTAGACATTATCCTTTCTAAAGAGACCCTGTGGGCTTTAGACAAAGCTAAGACTTGAGAAGCTCAAGTTCCTTTGTTGTTGTTGTTATTTCTAAAAAGTATGTATTAAATGCCTAATTGTAAATACCAAGAAATCTGCCAAGTGTTCCTGCCCTAACAACATTTTCTGAGCCAAAATGCACAGTTTGGGTTTGGCATGGTCGCTCACACCTGTAATTCCAGCACTTTGGGAGGCCAAGGTGGGAAGCCAGGAGTTCAAAACCAGCCTGGGCAGCATAGTGAGACCCTGATTCTATATAAAACAAAGAAAAAGAAAACAAAATGCATAGTTTGACATATCAAATGAATATTTTCAACAGAACTGTGCTAGATAATCCAGACTGTCCATGGCTCTACCTGACACAGCCTATGATTTCTTCAGGGTAAGCACCAGATCAGGACACATACATCACTGCTATGGCCGAACACACAGACAATGACACAGAAACAATAAACCAAATAGCAACAGACAACAAGGTGTTTGCATCAAGATAAGCCTAATTTGGGTAAGGCATGGTGGTTCACACCTGTAATCCCAGCACTTTGGAAGGCTGAGGTAGTCAGATGGTTTGAGCCCAGAAGGTCAAGACCAGCCTGGGCAACATGGCAAGGCCCTGTCTGTACAAAAAATATAAACATTAGCCGGGCATGGTGGCACGTGTCTGTTGTCCCAGCTACTTGAGAGGCTGAGATGGGAGGATTGATTCAGTCTGGTAAGTCAAGGCTGCAGTGAGCCATGATCTTGCCACTGCACTCCAGCCTGGGCGACAGAGTGAGAACTGGTTTCAAAAATAAATAAATAGGCCGGGCGTGGTGGCTCATGTCTATAATCCCAGCACTTTGGGAGGCTGAGGAGGGCAGATTACGAGGTCAGGCATTCCAGACCAGCCTGGCCAACATGGTAAAACCCCGTCTCTACTAAAAATACAAAAATTAGCCAGGTGTGGTGGTGCGTGCCTGTAATCCCAGCTACTCAGGAGGCTGAGGCAGGAGAATCACTTGAACCCAGGAGGTGGAGGTTGCAGTGAGCCGAGATCGTGCCACTGCACTCCAGCCTGGGTGACAGAGCGAGACTTCATCTCAAAAAAGAAAGAAAGATGAAAGAAAAAGAGAAAAGAAAGAAGGAAGGAAGGGAGGGAGGGAAGAAAGGGAGGGAAGGGAAGGAAGGGAAGGAGAGGAAGGAAGGGGAGGAAGGAAGGGAAGGAAAGGAAAGGAAGGAAAGGAAGAAAGGAAAAAGAGGAAAGAAAGGAAAGAGACCTAAGTTGATTTTAAGAGTAAACAACAAGGCATCTAATTGGAAAAAGAACTGGGAACGAGTAAGAGTTCCACATTTTGATTCAGCAGAGTGGTAATTTGCTATTCAGGGGTCAGAATATTCAGGATAGTTGCTATTCTGTGGTCTGCAGCAAAAGGATTTAATGGAAGAGGATTTCCGTGAATTCACTGGCTGTTTAAGGAATTGGAGAAAACTGAGTTGGCAAATGGAGAAAAGATATTATAGGCACATGATGTCACCTTGGAAAAGGTCATGAAGGCAAAGGCAGGCCCTCCCTGGAGCACAACATAGTAATGTGTCCCCTGGGGCTGTGTCATATGCCATCCCTGTAAGCAGCGCAGGGGAAAGTGAAGTGCACTTGGATAAGGCAGAGGTGATTGACTAAGAAGTAGGAGGAAGTAAATGACATTAAATGTTGAACTTCATTGGGGTCTGCTCCTACACATTTCTTTCTTGCTTTTATTTTATGACATGCTGTTAACTCTCAACTTTCTTTTTTTTTTTCTTTTTTTTTTTAAGTTGGAGTTTCGCTCTTGTTGCCCAGGCTGGAGTGCAATGGTGCAATCTCGGCTTACCCCACAACCTCCGCCTCCAGGGTTCAAGCAATTCTCCTGCCTCAGCCTCCCGAGTAGATGGGATTACAGGCATGCACCACCATGCCTGCTAATTTTGTATTTTTAGTAGAGATGTGGTTTCTCCATGTTAGCCTGTTCTCAAACTCCCAACCTCAGGTGATCGCCAGTCTCAGCCTCCCAAATTGCTGGAATTACAGGCGTCAGCCACCATGCCTGGCCTTAACTCTCCACTTTCTATCTCCAAACCTAATCTCTCCCTGAATCTCAAATTCATTTCCAGCTGCCTCCTGGCTATCTCCACCTGGACTTTTGCACAGTCATTTCAAACTCACCATGTCCAAAAAGGAACTTCCTTTTTTTTTTCCTGGGACAGAGTCTTCGCTCTGTCGCCCAGGCTGGAGTGCAGTGGCTCGATCTCTAGCTCATTGCAACCTCTGCCTCCTGGGTTCAAGTGATTCTCCTGCCTCAGCCTCCCAAGTAGCTGGGATCACAGGAGCATGCCACCATGCCCCGCTAATTTTTGTATTTTTAGTAGAGACGGGGTTTCACCATGTTAGTCAGGCTGGTCTTGAACTCCTGACCTCATGATCCGCCCACCTCAACCTCCAAAAGTGCTGGGATTACAGGCGTGAGCCACCACACCCGGCTCCAAAAAGGAACTTCTTAAACTGTCTTTTCTTTCTGTATGCTCATTTTCTCAGTCCATTTTTAATTTTTTTCCCCGATTTATTGAGGTATAATTGACACAGTCTATATTTGTTGACAACTATTTATCAGGTGCCTACTCTGTGCCACTCACTGTGCTAGGGCTGGGATAGAAGGATGAACAAGACCAGACATGGTTCCACCCCACTGCCTTTTCAATCTAGAGAAGCAGACTGCCACCAAACAAATAAGCCTGGCCCAGCACGGTGGCTCAGGCCTGCAATCCCAGCACTTTGGGAGGCCAAGGTGGGAGGATTGCTTGAGCCTGGGAGTTTGAGACCAGCCTGGGCAACATAGTGAGACCCTGGGACTACAAAAAAATTAAAAATTCCCTGGGTGTGGTGCTCGTGCCTGTAGTCCCAGCTACTTGGGAGGCTGACATGGGAGGATTGCTAGAAGCCCAGGAGGTTGAGCCTGCAGTAAGCTGCGAAGGTGCCACTGCACTCCAGCCTGGGTAACAGAGCAACACCCTGTGTCAAAACAAATGAACAAAGAAACCCACAATTACATATTTCCATCTATGATGATAGAGGAATGGAGGTGAGTGCCATCCGAGAGTACAAAAGGGGTACTTGAGATCTAATTAAGTAGAATTTTACCCACCCCATCACCTATGCTAGAAAACTGGATGTCATTCTTTTCCTTTCCCTCTCTTACTGTACAAATAAAACCAATCACCTCATCTTGCCTATTTGACCCCCTAAGTATTTCTCAAGCCTGCTTCCTATTTCCCTTCTTCATTATTCTAGCGGAGACTGTCACCTTCTTCTACTTGGACCGTGCATTACTCTTTGATGCCAGGCTTTGTACGCTTTCCCCTTCTGCTTCACTCTACCACCCCACCATGGCTTTTCATACTGCCTCCAGGCAGCTTTATTCAAGACCTATATCTGACCATGTGGCTTTCCTGCCTAAAGCCTTTCCCATTTTGTGTTAAAAAGTCAACTTCACTTTTAAGTAAATTAATAGATTTTATGGGGGAGGAGTATAGTTTTAGGTTTACAGAAAAATTGAACAGAATGTACAGAGAGTTTCAGAATACCCGCCCTTTTTTTTTTTTTTTTTTTTTTTTTTTGAGACTGGATCTTGCTAGGTCACCCAAGCTGGATTGCAGTGGAGCTATCTTGGCTCACTGTGACCTCCACCTCCCAGGTTCAAGCAATTCTCCTGCCTCAGCCTCCCAAAGTGCTAGGATTACAGGTGCCCGCCACCACGCCTGGCTAATTTTTGTATTTTTAGTAGAGGTGGGGTTTCACTGTATTGGCCAGGCTGGTCTCAAACTCCTGACCTCAAGTGATCAGACTGCCTCAGCCTCCCGAAGTGCTGCGATTACAGACCTGAGGCGCCTGGCAATATCCCTATTATTAACATCTTGGATTAGTGTGGCACATTTGTTATAATTGATAAATCAGTATTGATATATTATTGTTAACTAGAGTCCATAGTTTACTTTAGAGGTCAGTCTTTGTGCCATTTTTTTTCTTCTATAATTTTACTCTTTTTTGTTTGTTTGTTTGTTTTGAGACAGAGTTTCACTCTTGTCATCCAGGCTGGAGTGCAATGGCACGATCTCGGCTCACTGCAACGTCCGCCTCCCGAGTTCAAGTGATTCTCCTGCCTCAGCCTTGCAAGTAGCTGGGATTACAGGTGCCCACCATCACGCCCAGCTAATTTTTGTATTTTTAGTAGAGATGAGGTTTCACCATGTTGGCCAGATTGGTCTCGAACTCCTGACCTCAGGTAATCATGAGCCACCATGCCTGGTTAATTTTCCTCTTTTCAATGTCATCAATTTTTGCAGTAATTTTTTTTCTTCTGCTTGTTTTAGAGATGGCATCTCACTATGTTGCCCAGGCTGGAGTGCAGTGGTGCAATCAAACTCCTGGGCTCAAGCCATCCTTCCACCTCAGCCTCCTGAGTAGCTGGGACTACAGGTGTGCACCACCAGCCTGGCTAATTAAAAAAAAAAATTTTTTTTAAAGACAGGGTCCCACTATGTTGCCCAGGCTGGTCTCGAACTCCTTAGCTCACTTGTTTGGATTTTGATTGGGATTGCATTGAGTCTATAGATCAAGTTGGGAAGAAATGACATCTTAACAATATGAGTCATCCTGTCCATGAATATGAAATATCTCCTCATTTATTAATATTTAGATCTTCTTGATTTTGTCATCACAGTTTTGTAGTTTTCCTCATGTATATCTTTTATACATTTGGTATAATCTGTATAATCCAACCATATGTTGTCTATAATAGAGTCACTTTGGATACTAAGACACAAGGAAGTTGAAAGTAAAATAATGGAAAAGATACTTTATGCAAATAGTAACAAAAATAGAGATGAGGTGGCTATATAATTATATAATTATCAGATATATAGATTATTGCCAAGCATGGTGGCATGCACCTGTAGTCCCAGCTACTCCGGAGGCTGAGGCAGAAGGATCACTTGAGCCCAGGAGTTAGAGGTTGCAGTGCACTGCTCTCCAGTCTGGGCAACACTGTGAGATGCTGTCTCTAAAACAAACAAATAAACAAACATTATAAGTGTAAAGTTACAAGAGATAACAAAGGATATTACATTTTGATAAAACTTTTTAAGAATATGTAACAATTGTAAACATATACACATCTAATAACATAACTCCAAAATATATTAAGCAAAAGCTGACAGAATCAAAGAGAGAAATACAATAATGGAAGGATATATATATATATATATATATATATATATATATATATATATATTTTTTTTTTTTTTTTTTTTGAGATGGAGTTTCGCTCTTGTTGCCCAGGCTGGAGTGCAATGGAGTGATCTTGGCTCACTGCAACCTCTGCCTCCTGGGTTCAAGTGATTCTCCTGCCTCAGCCTCCCGAGTAGCTAGGATTACAGGCATGCGCCACCGTGCCTGGCTAATTTTGTATTTTTAGTAGAGATGGGGTTTCTCCGTGTTGGTCAGGCTGGTCTGGAACTCCCCACCTCAGGTGATCCACCCACCTCCACCTCCCAAAGTGCTGGGATTACGGGCGTGAGCCACCGTGCCCGGCCTGGAGGGATACATTAAAGGGAGTTCTCCAATACAATAAAGGGAATTCTACAATAATGGTTAGAGACTTCAATAACCCACATTCAATAATGAATAGAACAACCAGACAGAAGAGTAATTAGGAAAGAGAAGACTTGAACAACCCTATATGCTAGTGAGACCCAACAGACATATACAGAACACTGTACTCAAGAGCAGAATACACACTCTTCTCAATGCAAATGGAATATTCTCCAAGAGAGACCATATATTAGGCCACAAACCAAATTTTAATAAATTTTAAAAGATTGGACCAGGTGCAGTGGCTCACATCTGTAATCCCAGCACTTTGGGAGGCCAAGGCAGGTTGAGCTCAGGAGTTTGAGGCTAACCGGGGCAACATAATGAGACCCCATCTCTATTTTTTAAAATAAAATAAAATATTGTATCATATTGTATTCTATCATACCATCTTTTCCACTTACAATGAAATGAAACTAGAAATCAATAACAGAAAGAGGCCAGCCACGTTGGTTCATGCCTGTAATCCCAGGACTTTGGGAGGCAGAGGCAGATGGATCACCTGAGGTCAAGAGTTTGAGACCGGCCTGGCCAACATGGTGAAACCCTATCTCTACTAAAACTACAAAAATTAGCTGGGCGTGGTGGTGGGTACCTGTAATCCCAGCTACTTGGGAGGCTGAGGCAGGAGAATCACTTGAACCCAGGAGGCAGAGGTTGCAGTGAGCTGAGATCGCACCACTGCACTCCAGCCTGGGTGACAGAGCGAGACTCCGTCTCAAAAACAAAAACAATTAAAGAAGGAAACTGAAAAGCTAACAAATATGTACAATAACACATGCTGAAACAACCAACGTGTCAAAGAAGAAGTCACAGGGGAAATAAGGACAGATATATAAATAAATGGAGAATGGAATAGAATTGAGAGCCCAGAAGGAAACCTTCCTATATATGACCAATTACTTTTTGACAAGGGTGCCAAGACCATTCAGTTTGGTACATACAATCTTTTCAACAAATGTTGATGGGTATCCAAATGCCAAGAATGAAGTTAGACCCTTACCTTATACGATATACAAAAATTAACTCAGAATGGACCAAACACCTAAACTTAATAGCTAAAATTATAAAACCGTTAGAAGGAAACAAAAGGGAAAATCTTTATGACATTAATTTGGCAATGATAGCTTGGATATAACATTAAGAGCTCAGGCAACAAAAGAAAAAATAAACTGGGCTTCAAATAAAAACCTTCAGTTCAAGGCCGGGTGCGGTGGCTCATGCCTGTAATCCCAGCACTTTGGGAGGCCAAGGCGGGTGGATCACCTGAGGTCGGGAGTTCAAGACCAGCCTGACCAACATGGAGAAACCCCGCCTCTACTAAAAATACAAAATTAAAATTAGCTGGGCATGGGGGCGCATGCCTGTAATCCCAGCTCCTCGGGAGGCTGAGGCAGGAGAGTCATTTAAACCCAGGAGGCAGAGGTTGCAGTGAGCTGAGATCGCACCATTGCACTCCAGCCTGGGCAACAAAAGCGAAAACTCCGTCTAAAAAAAAAAAAAAAAACCTTTAGTTCATCATAGGACACTATCAAGACAGTGAACAGACAACTCACAGAATGGGAGAAAATACTTGCAAGCCATATATCTGATAAAGGATTAAAATCCGGAATATATAAAGAACACCTGGCCGGGCACAGTAGCTCACACCTGTAATCCCAGCACTTTGGGAGGCTGAGGTGGGTGGATCGCTTGGGTCAGGAGTTCGAGACCAGCCTGGCCAACATGGCAAAACCCCGTCTTTACTAAAAATATAAAAATTAGCTGGGCGTGGTGGTGGGCGCCTGTAATCCCAGCTACTCAGGAGGCTGAGGCAGGGGAATCGCTTGAACCCAGGAGGCGAAGGTTGCAGTAAGCCGAGATCGTGCCACCGCACTCCAGCCTGGGCAACAGAGCGAGACTCTGTCTCAAAAATAAATAAATAAAAATAACAAATGTTCACTATAATGTGGAAAAATTAGAACGCTATGCATTGTTATTGGGAATGTAAAATGTTGCAGCTACTCTGGAAAATAATTTGGCCATTTCTCATAAAATTAAACATAGCATCACCATAACATCCAGTGAATCCACTCTTAGGTCTATTCCTTAAAGAACTGAAAGCAGGGACTCAAACAGATCCTTGTATGACAATGTTCATAGTGGCATTATTCATAATAGCCAAGAGGTGAACACAACCCAAATGACCTTCAATGGATAAACCAATCAACAAAATGTGGAAATAACTGGAATGGAAACAATGGAATATTATTCAGCCATAAAAAGAAATGAAGTTCTGATACATGCCAAAACACTGATGAATCCTGAAAACATTATGTGAAATGAAATAAGAAAGACACAAAAGGACATATATTATGTGATTCCACTCATATAAGATACCTAGAAGAGGCATATTCATGGAGACAGAAAGTAGAATAGAGGTCAGCAGGGACTTGGAGGAAGGAGAATGAGAAGTTATTGTTCAGTAAGTACAGAGTTTCTGTCTGGGATGATGAATTTCTGGAAATAGTAGTGATGGTTACCGAACATTGTGAATGTACTTAATGAAATGCCACTGAATTATATTAATACACTTAAAAATTATTAAAATTGTAAATTTTGTGTTATGTATATCTCACCAGAATTTTTTTAACTTCCAATTATCTATTCCTAATTTATAGGAAAGCAATTGACTTTTGTATGTTAACCTACCTGCAACCTTCTTATGATCACTTTTTGTTGGTTCTTTGGGATTTCTTTATATAAATAATTATGTCATCTGTGAACAAAGACAGTTTTATTTCGTCCTTCCCAATCTGGATGCCTTTTCTTTTCTTGTCATATTGTATTAGCTAGAACCTCCTGCAATGTTGACTAGAAGTAGTGAGAGGAGACATTCTTGTTTCTGATCCGAGGGGGAAAGCATATAGTTTCTCACCATTAATTATGATGTTGGTTATAGGTTTTTTGCAAATATTCTTTATCCAGTTGAGGATATTCCCCTCTATTCCTAGTTTGCTGTGAGTTTTTATGGTGAATGGATGATTGATTTTGTGAAATACTTTTTCTGCATCTATTGAGTGAAATACTTTTTCTGCATTGATATGATTTTTCTTAGTTAGTCTATTGATGTAATGGACTATAGTGACTGATTTTCCTGTCAAACCAGCCTTGCATACCTGGGATAAATCTCACTTTGTCATAGCATGTAATTCTTTTTATACATTGTTGAATTCTGTTTAAGTTCATATGTGCTGCTATAACAAAATACTTGAGACTGGGTAATATAAAAGAACAGAAATGTGTTCACAGCTCTGGAGCTAGGTAGTCCAAGATCAAGGCACCAGCAGGTTCAGTTTTCTGGTGAGGGCTACTTTCCGCTTCCGAGATGGTGTTTCATTGCCTCAACCTTCAGAGGGGAAGAACACTGTGTCCTTACATGGCTGAAGGGGCAGAACGGAACAACGCTGAAGGCTGCAAAACCCCCACCTCTTAATACTCTTGCATTGGACATTTCAACATGAATTTTGGACAGTAACATTCAAACCACAGCAGATTTCGTGTGCTAATATGTTGTCCAGAATTTTTATATCTCCAATACAAAAGATAGAAAAAAGATACATTTTGTACATGGTAGATATATTGGTCTGTAGTTTTCCCCTCTTGTAGTATCTTTTGTTTCTGTATTAGAATAATGCTGGTTTCACAGAACTAAGGAAATATTCCCTCCGCTTCTATTTTCTGGAAGAGATTGTAGAGAAGTGGTATTAGTTCTTAGAATTCGCCAGTGAAAACACTTGGGCTTGATGCTTTCTTTTTTGGAAGATTATTGATTCAATTTTAAAAGTAGATATAGGTCTATTAAGATTATCTTTCTCTTTTGGTGAGTTTTGGTAGATTGTCTCTCTCAAGGAATTGGTCTATTTCATCTAAGTTATCAAATTTGTGGGCATAAAACTTTTTTTTTTTTTTGAGACGGAGTCTTGCTCTGTCACCAGACTGGAATGCAGTGGCACAGTCTTGGCTCACTGCAACCTCCGCCTCCTGGGTTCAAGCGATTCTCCTGCCTCAGCCTCCAGAGTAGCTGGGACTACAGGTGCATGACACCACGCCCAGCTAATTTTTGTATTTGTAGTAGAGATGGGGTTTCACCATGTTGGTCAGGATGGTCTCGATCTCCTGACCTCGTGATCTGCCCACGTTGGCCTCCCAAAGTGCTGGGATTACAGGCGTTAGCCACCACGCCCAGCCTTTTTTTTTTTTTTCTTTTTTTTTGAGATGGAGTCTAGCTCTGTTGCCCAGGCTGGAGTGCAGTGGCGTAATCTCAGCTCACTGCAACCTCCGCCTCCTGGGTTCAAGCCATTCTCGTGCCTCAGTCTCCCCAGTAGCTGGGATTACAGGCAACCGCCACCACGCCCAGCTAATTTTTTATTTATAGTGAGACAGGCTTTTGCCATGTTGGCCAGGCTGGTCTTGAACTCCTGTCCTCAGGTGATCCGCCCACCTTGGCCTCCCAAAGTGCTGGGATTACAGGCATGAGCCACCGTGCCCGGCCGACTTTTTTCTTCTTACATGGCTGTCATAGAACCTCTATTAGACTTTTAATGTCTGTGGGATTAGTAAACTCTTTTTTATTTCTGATATTAGTAATTTGTGTTTTCTCTTTTTCTTGGCTAGCCAGTCCAGAAGTTTATCAATTTTACTTATTGTTTCAAAGATTTAGCTTTTGGTTTCAGCTTTTATGTTTTGATTTTCTCTATAATTTTCCTCTTTTTAATGTCATCCATTTTTTTTCTAATTTTTTTTCTTCTGTTTTAGGTTTATGTAATTCTTCTTTCTCTAGTTTCCTAAGGTGGAAGCTTAGATTTTTAATTTTACATATTTCTTCTTTTCTAATATATTCATTCAATACTATAAATTTTCCTCTAGCACTGCTTTTGCTGCATCCCATACATTTTGATAAGCCATATTTTCATTTTTATTTAGTTCAAAATATTTTTTAAAATTTATCTTGAGACTTCTTTGACCCATGTGTTGTTTGGAAGTATGTTGTCTAATGACCAAATGTGGGTATGCTGCAACCCACAAATTTTGATGAGTCATATTTTCATTTTCATTTAGTTCAAAACATTTTTTAACATTTCTCTTGAGAATTCTTTGGCCTATGTGTTATTTGGGACCATGTTGTCTAATGACCAAATATTTGGTGGCTTTCCAACTGTCTTTCTGTTACTAATTTCCAGTTTAATTCCATTGTGATGTGAGTATACTTTGTAAGATTTTTACTCTTTCAAATTTGTTAGAAGTGTGTTTTATGCCCCAGACCATGGTCTATCTTGGCGAATATTTCATCTGAGTTTGAGAAGAGTGTATATTTGTACTCGTTGGATGAAGTAGTCTATACATATCAACAGGTCCAGCTGATTGACGATGCCCTTCAGCTCAGCTATGTCCTGAGTCCATCAATTATTAGTAGATAGGTGTTGAGATATCCAACTATAACAGTGGATCTGTCTGGTTTTTCTTGCAATTCTCCCCTTTGATGGATTCCATATTTTGAGGCTCTGTTGTTAGGTCCCTACATATTAAAGACTGCTATGTCTTTCTGGAGAATTGACCCCTAGTCATTATGAAATGCCCCTCTTGCTCCTGGAAGTTGTGGTTGGCCACTTCGGACTCGGCCTCTGAAGCCTCCTCATGCCTGCGTGAAGGAGGTGGACGGCCCCTGGTTTTGTGAGGTTGGCTTACATGAGCTGCTGTTATCCACAGAGCAGCAGCCAGGGACTAGTGATGAAGTACTTAGTGTCTGGTCAGAGCTCTGGGCCTTATCTGTCTCCACGTCGACTCCCGCGATCGTTTTTGCCTTCGCTTAGTTTGTCGTCGAATCCACCTCGATGAAACCGTTTGCTTTTTCCTGTAAATGCTTCCCATTTTAGCAACGGCCGCTTGCAGTTTGGCCACAGAATCTAAACTCTTCCCAGGCAATTTGCATATGGTTTTTTCGTAGTGCAAAACCCTCTCCTGGGGCTTCCACGCCTCCCGCAGCTCGGCCCAGCTCCTCCTGAGTCCCGGGATCTGGGGCTGAGCCCCCGCCGCGAAAACCTCCCGAGCCCAGGAGATGAGCGGTGGACGCTCGGGCCCGGAGCCCCTCGGCGCCCCGAGCTCGCGCTCCAGCCGCGGCCGTTAAGGGTTTTGATCCGTTACCCAACGGCTGTCGAAAGAGGAGCACGACGTGAACTTCCACCGACAATCGTTTAAATACTGCAGGCGAAGGACGGGTTCTTATTGTGAGCACCTACTGAGCTCTGTTTAATATTTGGGAGAGGGCGAGGGTAATTTTTTGTTGTTTGGGGGGTTTTTTGTTTTTTATTTTTATTTTTCGTTTTTTTTTCTGTACCAAAAAGTGACTCTAATTTCTAATTGTGAATCGTGTCCTCCTCCGTCTTTGCTTTCAGGTTCCTTCAGGCAAACCGGCAGCTGAGTCCAGCTTGTGAACTTGAACTTGAACTTGCTGAAGAAGCTCCCGGCGGCCCTCTGCTGGCCGCCGCCTTTGCCAGAGGGAGAGGCTGGAGTCACCCTGTTGGAACCCATTTCTGGGGCTGGCACCTGTTGGGCTGCCCGGCCGCGCGTACCTGGTCCCATCGGGGGCTCTGCCCACTCCGCTGATGACGCGGGTAGAAGGGAGGCCGCAGGGACACTCTGGGGGGACTGTGCCGGGCGGGCACCCCCCAGCTGCTCACTGTGGGGTGCGGCACCGAGGCCTGGTTGGGCTGCAAGGAGACCGACTGGGATTCCCGGGCTGGTGGCCGGGGAGACGGGGTAGAGGTGAGAAGCAAGAGCTCAGGAGGCCTCAGGCCCCAGCGCTGTGGGGCTGCCGTTGTCGTTCTGGGTGGAGGTCTGGCCAAACCGGCTTTTGCCCCGAGTGAGGAATTCCTGCTCATTTTGGTGTTAGTGGAGAGGTCGCTGTTCACAGCGGGGGTGGGGTTCGTCCCCTCCAGGCTAGTAGGGAGCTGGCTGGTGCATTGCTGTGTTGCTGCCCTTCTGCCCTGTCTCCTGATCCTGTTCAGACTCTGGGTGGCTCCTTTGAGTCTTCTCAGGCCGTGAAAGATGGGAAAGGCAGGTTGTTGAAACCACTGCTGCTCCGGGCTGGCAGAGACCCTGAGCTGTACCTCCTGGGATGAAAGGAGAACCCAGGAGCAGGCAGGTGACCACTGCTTCCTCATACTCCTCAGCAAGTCCTGGATCTCTTCCTGTCTGTAACCCACGGATACCATGAACTTAGTTTGCAGGGGGTCCTCCCAGTGGGAGAGTGGCTGCACACAGCGCTTAAGTTCCTCACCTTCATGACTCGCATTCATCCATGGACCCCTCACAGTGTGCTCTGAAGGGCCTCTCTTCCTGCAATTGACAATGAGAAATTTCTTCAGCAAGTTTTCACTCTCCGGGGACATGGGGGAGGGAATGGAATACATCCTGCTCAGTACCTGCTCCTATAGCTCCTTGAAGTTCTGTCCATCGAAAAATAAGGATCCATTTACCAGTATATAGAGGATAACTCGCAGACGCCATACATCCACCAGCTCATATTTGTGGCCCTAGAAGAATTCCAGGGCAGCCTAAGGGGACTGCCACAAAAGGTATCCAGCTTGTTGCGAAAGGCGAATTTATTCCTGAACCCAATCTGTGATGTTCATGTTAACATGGACAATACATTTCTGGTGACAATACACAATATCTGTGGACAATGCA
This sequence comes from Homo sapiens, assembly GCF_000001405.40. Classification (NCBI taxonomy): domain Eukaryota; kingdom Metazoa; phylum Chordata; class Mammalia; order Primates; family Hominidae; genus Homo; species Homo sapiens. Next base: position 92,419,086 of record NC_000010.11, on the reverse strand, counting down.
CTTCTGGTAACAGCTTGCATAGCAGACACTTTTGGTGGAATTTGCTTCAGGCCTCTTTCCTGCTGCTGTGAGCAGGTATTCACAAACTTCTCGCTAGCGTGCTTTGTGATGAGGCAGAGATTCCTCACTATCGATCACAGCAAATACTTCACTATGTTGGGGTGATCTGAGCCTTCATGATTCCTACTTTGTGGATGGTGTCTGGAGGCTGGAGGAGATCTGCTGAGTCTCATCAATGAACTTCACGGCGGCTGCTTTCCCAGTCAGGATGTCCCAGGCCAACCCCACCTTAGCCAGGTTGTCCTTGACGATGGTCTCAAGGATCCTCGCTGCCAATAAGGATCCCTCCTCAGCAGAGATGGCTGAGAGGCCCTGCGGCGTGTGGGACTTACTACTGGGCTTGGAGTCAAGGTGTCCCAGGTCGGCTTAATTTTGGGAAAAGCTGGTGAGAAGCTTGGTCCAAATCACCTGAAAAGAAAATCACTTGCATAGTTTACCTGAAGAACGGATTTCTATAATGGAATCAAAACACAATACTGGACAAAAATCAAATAAGCAAAAGCAACAAACTGAAAAGGAAATGCTGAGTAAAAAAGAACTTAAAAATTAGAAAAATAAGAGAAAAAAGAACAAGAAGAACCAGTAACCTCAGCCAAGCCAGGGACTTACATACGTGCTTGGAATTCCAAAGCAGCAGTTCCTTATGAGGAAGAACTAAGCCTAGTAACAAGGCTGAGGATAATCTATGTGGCTTTCTCATGCTTTGGTCTCAAGAACTCTTTACTCTTAAAGAAAATATATTGAGGACCACAAAGAGGATTTTTTATTGATATGGGTTACAGTTATGAATATTTACCTTATTAGAAATTAAAACCTCTAGGATGCTTCAATGGCCTTTTCTAGTTTGAAAAGATAACAGGCTGGGTGTGGTGGCTCACGCCTGTAATTCCAGCACTTTGGGAGGCCGAGGTGGGCAAATCACCTGAGCTCGGGAGTTCGAGAAAAGGTATAAAAATGTTTGGCTTTTAAAGAGCCCACAATATCTACACTTAAAATATTTCATTTTTTTCTTTAAACTCTAAATGATTGGTTTCAAAATGATGCCACAACTTAGCTGGCATTATGATAGTGTATAAGTATGTTCTGTTGTGTACGACACAATGAGCTTCATTATTACCATCTGCGACACTGAGGGGAAGATAGCTTTCATCATATTTTCTCATTTAAAGTTTTGCCCAGTTTCATTTGCATAGATTCCCTTTTTCCATGAGCTGCTATGTCAGTCTCAGCATCTTTCAATGTAGAGTTTGCAGCTATGAGTTGAGAAAGCACATTTTCTACTCTTTTTAAGTGAATAATCCACTGTGCCTGGTGTACCTCTCCTTCAGCATAGGATAGGGACATCCAGGTACTGGACCCGTCACTGGCACCTCAGTGGGGAGAACCCAGATGCCCCTACATGATGTTTAAAGATGCTTTATATACATAAAAGTGCACAAATCATCAGCCCACAGCTTGGTGACTGTTCACATATTGAACTCATCTATTTATCTAGTATCCAGGTCAAGAAACAGCCATTACAGCCCCCCAAGATCCCACACCCCTTTTCCAGTCACTTTCTCTGCAGTGATAACCACTCTTCTGTATTTTGACAGCATAGATTCATTTTGCTTATTTTTGAACTTTACATACATGGATTCATACAGTATTGGATCCTTTGTGTCTGCTTCCTTTGCTTAATTTGTTTTTGTTTGTTTGTTTGTTTGTTTGTTTTTCTTGAGACAGAGTCTTGCTCTTGTTGCCCAGGCTGGAGTGCAATGGCACGATCTCAGATCACTGCAACCTCCACCTCCTGGGTTCAAGCAATTCTCCTGCCTCAGCCTCCCAAGTAGCTGGGATTATAGGAGCTTGCCACCATGCCTGGCTAATTTTTGTATTTTTAGTTGAGACGGGGTTTCACCATGTTGGCCAGGCTGGTCTCGAACTCCTTACCTCATGTTCCGCCTGCCTCAGCCTCCCAAAGTGCTGGAATTACAGGCATGAACAACCACGCCTGGTCCTTTGCTCAATATTTTTGTGAGATCCATCCATATTGTTTATTATTCTAAATGCTCATTGTGTGACTGTAACACAATTTGTTAATTTGTTTATTCATTTTACTGTTACTGGGCAGTTGAGTAGTTCTCAGTTTTCAGATGCTATAGTGCTGCCATAAACATTCTTGTTCAGGTTTTTGGGGGACATATATATGGCTTTCTGTTGGATATATATAAATATATTAAGGGTGTGGCTGAACAACCATTTGACAGTTTATGCTAACAAGGTGACTCGTGGTAGGCCCCTTAGGCCAGGTGATATCAGCCTGACCTCCAGAGAGTGGGGTGGGGGCTGGAGACTGAGTTCAACCACATGGACAATAAGTCTATCATGTAATGAAGCCCCAGTAAAAACTCTGGATGCTGAAGCTCAGGTGAGTGTCCCTGATTGGCAGTACTCTATATGTGTTGTCTCACACATCCAAATCAGCAGGGTAATGCATTCTGAGGACCCCAGAGGCTTCACATTTGGAACCCTCTCAGACTCTGCTCTATCAATCTCTTTCTTTGGCTAATTTTGATCTCTATCCTTTCCCTGAAATAAACTGTAACTGTGAGTATAACAGCTTTCAAAGAGTTCTGTGATTCTTTTTAGTGAATTTTTGAACCTGAAGGTCGTTTTGGAAACTTCCTGAACTTGCAGTTAGGTCAGAGGTGACAGAAGTCCTAAAACCATGCCCCCTAACCTTGTGGGACCTCCTTGCAGGGAGTATCAGAGGCTTGGGCAAACTTTGCAGTCTGGGAGACTGTGCTCTCAAACCTTGAAGTCTGGCTCACTTCAGATAGTGTAAAGACAAATGGCATCCATTAGAACAATGCTGACTCCTGAAATGTGGCTTGGCAAGAGGGCAGGGAATGAAAGACCTTTGATTCTGGATAACCATGGAGTCTCCCATGGTATGAAATGGCAGCTTTGTTGTGATCAGTTACTAGAGGTAAAAGTGTTTATCTTTTTTTTTTTTCTTTTTTTGAGATGGGCTCTCACTGTGTTGCCCAGGCTGGTCTTGAACTCCAAGGCTCAAGCAGTCCTCCTACCTCATCCTCCCAAGTAGCTGGGACTATAGGCCTGTGCTGCCATGCACAGAGAGGTAAAAGTTATCAATGGAATTTAGAAATGATGACTCCAACTTACCAACTACATAAGGAAATGCAAAGAAACACAAAGCAA